>NC_000003.12:138251028-138554058 GCF_000001405.40 Homo sapiens
TGGTCCCAGCTATTTGGGAGGCTGAGGTGGGAGGTTCACTTGAGCCCAGAAGGTCGAGGCTGCAGTGAGCCGTGATCACACTGTCACACCACTGTACTACTGCACTACAGCCTAGGTGACAGAGTGAAACCCTGTCTCAAAAAAAAAAAAAGATTGCTGAGCATGCATTCACTTTGAACATTTTTATTTATTACTAGTTGATCTTCTGGGTAACAGTATAAATGTACCGTGAATTTATATTGTTAAATATTTTGCAAAGTTTAATGATTCTAAATGGGCATTTAAAGGGCACAGCATCAAAATTTTGTATTTTTGTCTACCGTGAAATCAGGCAGATGCAAGGGATTATTTCTAAGCCTTAGCCTGCATATTGAAACAAACACCTTGTACATTTTGAAGGTTTTCCATGGTACCACAGAAGTAGCACCCTTCAGGACTTGGCTCTGCTACTGAATAGCAGCAAATTCATTCGGATTTCATAATTCCTTGCCTCAAACTGTGGTTAAGTTGTTAGTTACCTTCTTAAAGCAAATCCACCAAAGAATTTTATGTGAACCTTGCAACATTCATTCACAATGGTAAGTATTTTTAAAGAAATAACCATGACAGGACCAGGTTTTGCCACTTGCCCACAGTATTGAGACCTTTGGCCTTCAACATACTGAAAGAAGCAAACCTGGGAGTGATAATGCTGTATATATAATAGAGGTATTTATAAAATAATGAATTTTTATTTCATAGTTTCATTAAATGGAGATATAAAATTGAGTGTTATACTATTTGTGGTATGTCCCTTGCTTAAGCCATTGAAAGTATGATGGACAAGTTGGTTTATTGTTTATTATCTAGTTAAAAGACAGAGGTTATATACACCAAGAAATGGGCTAAAATATCTTTATTAGATCTGTAAATCTAAATGTTGTGACTTAGTTGGATTTTCAAGAACATTCTTTCTGGAAATGAATGAAATATTTGGAATAATTAAATATGTATGGAATAGTAGAACTTGAAAAGATTAGGATTGTGATAAGAATCAGGGATTGTTGCTATGCTCTTTCCTATGAATAAAGTGCTAGCATAGAGGTTGGTAAACTACAACCTGTGGGTACTGTTACCTACATTATAATTTTGTAGCTTGCAAGATAAAATTATTTTTGCATTTTTTGATGGTTGGGGGAATTAAAAGAAGAATATTTTCTGACATATGAAAAGGAAATTAAATTCAGGTTTATGTCCGTAAAGTTATATTGCCGTACGACCTTGTTGGTTTATGTGTTGACTTTTGACTGTTTTGCACTACCGAGGCAAGTTGAGTAGTTGTGACAGAACTGTATGTCCCACAAAGTCTAAAATATTTACTGCTTGGCCCTTACAGAAAAAGTTTGCCCACCCTGTGCTAATACTGCATAGCTAACCATAAACTCTTTTTTTTTTTTTTTTTTTGAGACGGGGTCTCGCACTGTCGCCCAGGCTGGAGTGCTGTGGCACGATCTCGGCTCACTGCAGCCTCCGTCTCCTGGGTTCAAGCGATTCTCCTGCCTCAGCCTCCCAAGTAGCTGAGATTACAGGCGCCCGCCACCACGCCTGGCTAATTTTTTGTATTTTTAGTAGAGATGGGGTTTTCACTATGTTGGCCAGGATGGTCCCGAACTCCTGACCTTGTGATCCACCCGCCTCGGCCTTCCAAAGTGCTGGGATTACAGGCGTGAGCCACCCCGCCCCCCCCCCCCCCCCACCCGGCCTAAATAGAAACTCTCATAAACCAGTTTGGCGAAATACCAAACTTCGCATATGCCTGTGTGTACTGGCATATAGAAAGAAACAGGGCCCTGACCAGAAGAGGGAGAAGCCAGTTGTCTGACTTTCTGAAGAAAGGCATTATCAATTGTTGACAGTAGACATTGTCACTGGATACTTTCCTACATACTGATTCCCTTGTTTGAATGATTTTGGCATGTGACAGACCCTAGAAAAATTAGATTAAAACTATGGCTTTGGGTTATGATTGGAAATCTTACTGGGTTCTGTGTATTGGTTAGCAAGGTTCTCTGAATAAGATTTTTCACTATGCTTGAGAGAAAAAAAAATCTAGTTCACTTATTAAGCAAATATATTAAGCCTTTGCTAAATATAAAGTGTTAGGTGGTATGGGGCAAGCAGAAATCATATAAGTCAGATACTTAAGTCAACAGAATCTGTTTGGGAAACCATATACAACAGAAATATAACTACTACCATTTGTTGAGCACTCACTATGTGCTGGACCCTGTGCTAAGCATTAGCACATTCTCTCCCTTAATTGTCATACCACCCTATGAGATAGTTTTTGCAGATCAGGAAATCAGCAATTTGACCAAGGCCCCCCAGCTAGTAAGTAGTAGAGTCTCTGTCTTATCCCAGTCTCTCTGACTCCAAAGCCTATGTTTTTAACTATTACATCACTTTATACATGCTAAGTTAAATACCATTATAGATCCAAATTATGGCATAGAATGGCAAGAAATTTTACTGAAGAGTATATGATTAGCCTAAAAAAATACTACAAACTGAGAGAACTTGGTATATAGCTTAATAGTTTGTCCTAGCTGTTTACAAAGCATTAGATTCAGAAAACGCCATTTCTCTCACATAGCTTTTGGTACTAAGTGGGTAATGAGATGCTTTAATCCATCTGTACACTCATCATGTAACATTGATGTATGCTCAGAATGAAGCAGAAGACTGGCATGTACTTTGTGAATGCTTACAGTTTAATGTAGTTAGGGAGATGAGACACTAAATTGCTATGTAGTAATTCCAGAGCCTCATGTGTGTAAAAAGTCTGTCCACACTGAAAGCCATTTTTGCCCTGAACAGTGTACCCAGATATGATTAAGATATGACTGTAATTGAAATAACCTATTATGAATGAGTCTGGAAAAGTCCCTCTCTTATAAAGAAGTTTATTTGGAAGATTTCTTACCTTCTAAAATACTAAAATCATTTCTTCAGAAGTTTTGACCCATAGAACATGAGGGACCTCCATATCTGTGTTCCTTCTGCATTAATTTTAAATGTTTTTCTAAGGACACTGTCTAAATATGATTTTATTTCATTCTAGAGAGGAAGTATCCAGATTATGTATCAAGGTGCTATTTTAGCATTTTATTCTGTAGACAGCTTCTTTATGGGAATAGAATTAAACTTCAGACAACATTTTGAAATCCTTGAATCTGTTAATAGGTTACTTCTTTGTCAGTGGTTGTCACTGGAATGTAAGCTATGTAAAAGCAGTACCTGGCATATTGTAGGTGTTATACTTTATCTATTGAGTAATTTTTATATGTCTGGACCTGAAAATTTAGCCAGCTAACCTGTGGGGTAATAAAAACTGTGAGGGTGCATGCCTGTGTATATAGAGGATAGGGGCTGAACAGGCATTGTGTTGCACAATTCCTGGGCACTGAATCGTTCATGTGCCCAGGATGGCAAACAGGAGGAGACAGATGGAAGTCTCAGTTGTTTGCATCATAATTTATAATGGTTTTATTTATGTGTTAAAAGAGTGTAATTCAGTGGCTGTTAAGGCTGTATTCTGCCATTAAGCTAATGACTAAACTTTATGAAATTGAACTCATAGAGAAATATTTTTTGATAGAAGTATTGATCTGTTTTTCTGCAGTATAAGTATTTCTGATGCAATATGTTTATACCTTTGGTTTTGGGGAAAGGAAAAGTCGACTCAAGAGAAAACTCCCACTTTTCCACAAAGTGTAGAGAAGTTTAGAACTTTCTTCTAATGTTTCTTCTGAACATTTAACATAAACGACTTTCCCAGCTAGTAAGAAAATAAAAAGATGTAAATGACCTCAGGTATAAATGACAAAATATCATGAGGCTTAAAAGTAAAAATGAAATGTAGAAACTTAAGAATGGGCCCACAATATGTACCCCTCTTCTTTATCTTCTACCCCTAAAGTGAAGTGATACAGCTCCAGCTCCCAGGCAGGCAGGCAGACCTACAGGAGAGGCTAGATGCTGATTTAATTCAGTACCTTCAAGAGAAAGGATCAAAAAGAGGCCCTACAGACCATCTCTTAGATGGTGGGTTTTTTAGGTCTCCAGCTGAGAGAAGATAGACTATTTCCTCCCACCCCATGCCTCCCAAACATTGTTCTGTTCTGTTTTTTTTTTTTTTGTTTTTTTTTTTTTTGAGATGGAGTCTCGCTCTGTTGCCCAGGCTGGAGTGCAGTGGCGTGATCTCGGCTCACTGCAAGCTCCACCTCCCGGGCTCAGGCCATTCTCCTGCCTCAGCCTCCCAAGTAGCTGGGACTACAGGCGCCTGCAACCACACCCGGCTAATTTTTTGTATTTTTAGTAGAGACGGGGTTTCACTGTGTTAGTCAGGACAGTCTCGATCTCCTGACCTTGTGATCCGCCCGCCTTGGCCTCCCAAAGTGCTGGGATTACAGGCCTGAGCCACCGCGCAGGGCCAACATTTTTCTGTTGACTCAAGATCATGGAGTTAGAAGAATTTGGTATGAATGTGGGAGTGGATAGCAATGAAAGAGTGAGAGGAGGGAAGAAATACTTTGTCAAGTGTTTACTGAGACCCCAGAATGTAATATATTCATCAGTGATCTGTTCTAAGAGAAACTGAACAGCTTTTTCTCATTTAGAAAAAAACAAAAGCTGGGAGCGGTGACTCACACCTATAATCCCAGCACTTTGGGAGGCCGAGGTGAATAGATCCCTTGAGGTCAGGAGCTCAAGACCAGCCTGGCCAACATGGTGAAACCCCATGTCTACTAAAAATACAAAAATTAGCTGGGCGTGGTGGCATGCACCTATAATCTCAGTTACTCAGGAGGCTGAGGTGGGAGAATCGCTCGAACCCGGGAGGCGGAGGTTGCAGTGAGCCTAGATTTCGCCTGGGCGACAGAGTGAGACTCCATCTCAAAAAAAGAAAGGAAAAGAAGAAGAAGAAAGAAACAAAACAAAACTGGCTTTTACTTTAAAATTCTTTGCTAGAGGAAAATGTCCAAACATCTTACATTGGAGCAGTGGCACAGGTATTACATAACAGGGTATGGATGGGAAACCCTGCAGTTTTTATTTGCAACAGATGAATGGAACTTGTGGCTAAGGACAGTAGAATGTTAGTTCCATTTGGTTACTATCTGCTAAAGCTAGATCCTCATTCTAAAATGGAGGTCAGATGAGTTGAAATGTCAGTGGAACTCTGTGGTTTCTTCCCGGTTTTTCTTGGCTTATCTTTTCACTGGCTGGCATCCTCTCTGAGCTTTGCCATTTGTACCCCCAACCAAAGCTGAATCATTGATTTGTCATTTTCTCTCTGGGAGGTCCTGTAAAGTATATCTTTTTTTCCTCCTTCTTTTTTTTTTTTTTTTTTTTTTTTTGAGACGGAGTCTCGCTCTTTTCGCCCAGGCCGGAGTGCAGTGGTGCTATCTCGGCTCACTGCAAGCTCCGCCTCCTGGGTTCACGCCATTCTCCCGCCTCAGCTTCCCGAGTAGCTGAGACTATAGGCGCCCGCCACAGCGCCTGGCTAATTTTTTGTATTTTTAGTAGAGACGGGGTTTCACCGTGTTAGCCAGGATGTTCTCGATGTCCCGACCTCGTGATCTGCCCGCCTCGGCCTCCCAAAGTGCTGGCATTACAGGCGTGAGCCACCGCGCCCGGCCTTTTTTTCCTTCTTGTTCAGTTTATTAATGATGCCCCTTCTTGCCAAGTATAGTATACTAATCTTTATTGGCCCAAGATATCAATATATAGTCTGTGGTTTCTACAGCAATGATAATTTTTTATAGTTCTTTTCCTCTTTCCCTGTTTTCGAAGTCAGATCTCAATTTAGTTAAGGCTAAGTGAAAAATCTCATCCTTAAAACATAGTGAATAGAAAGGACCTCATACTGGAAGTAAGAAAACCTGGGAAATGGGGAAGGATGCTCTGCTGCAGTTTGCCTGAAGAAACTGGACCAGTGACTTAATCTTTCTGAACTTCAGAGACCTCAGATAAGACTATTTCTAAGACCTCTTCAGATATTAACATTATTCAGCCTAAAAATGAACAGGCACAAATGTGTTTAGTTCTGTCAGATAGTTAAGTCCACTGCATTAAGAGAATGCAGTAAGAGAATTGGTTTTCCAGTTGAACTGAGTTAGGAGCAAGCACTGCAACTGCCCTTACTTGATTCGTGGAATACCATGTACTGTTGGAGATTTTGGATTTGGGTTTTTTGGTCTTTGGTTTGTTTTTGTTTTGCTTTACTTTGTTTTAATAAAGGAGAAATGGTATGAGGATATACTCAAGAATAATACACATTAGGTGCTCAAGCATTTCCATGATGTATATGGCATCATGTCTTTAAGTATCCTGTGGTCGTCTTATAAAATCACATGGTCACTTCCTAAAGCCTAGTGAAAGATTGGTTTTCCATTTGGGGCAATGGATCTCTCCCCTGACTCTTGCTGGTTCTACCCAGTCTATCCAGATAAGCTGGTTGTATATGCCTATTTCATTCTAGTATCTGCCTTCTTACCTCATGGCCCTTCTCTTTCCTCCCTAGTCTCTATCCCATTTCCAAAACTAGTGTCTTGATGGCGCTGACATGAGATCTTGGGTTTATAGTGCTCATTTCCTAAAAAATAAAAAAAAAATTTAAGTGAGGAACTCTAGACCTTAAATAAATGGTCCTGCTAGGAAAGACTCAAGTGCGTGTCCTGGGACTTGTGTTTCTTGACACTTATGAGACTAAATTGCCATCCGCACCCAGCAGGTCCAGTCTCTGTTATACGTCCTTTTTCCTTGCCAGACCTACTCTCTCTCCCTGACCTCCTTGTGCTGCACCCTGCTTGGCTGCTTAATCCCTCCTGCTTTAACTAGAGTCTGGATTTGATACCTTATCCACTTAGATATTAAATGACTGCGGCTTGTGATTTTCAGAGTTTAATTCCAGGTCCTTATTCTTTCTGGCCAGTTCTGTCTTGTTATTACTCATAATCCATTAAAACTTTCTCTGGAAACTTTCACAAAAGCCTATTTGGAATTAAATTGTATTTGCTTGGCTATTATGCACATTCACATAAGTGATTGATGTTAAGAGAGAGCCCACTTTGCCACCCACTGCCTTGACACCCCCTCAACCCACCCACTTTGAATTGTCTGAGAAGTTTGCTGACACCACTGAGAATCTACCTGGTTTCAGTTTCCACATATTTTGGTTGACCTGGTTTCAGCACAGTTGAAGCTAAAGTCCAAGCTAAAGTTTTTCTAGTATCAAGAATGTTTCATCCCGAATAAAGCTGGAAGAATAGTTTGTCTTGTTTTTTCAAAGACCATATCTCTGACTCTTAGTTCTTCATGTGCTCAGAGGAAAAGATGGCTTATGTCCTGGCCACAACTAAATTTTGGATCTACTAAAGGTCATGGAGGGCTGGGAAGTTCCCTTGTAGCCAAAGGCCCATTTTCAAGTTGTTGGAGTTCCTGTGTATACCATAAACCACCACCTTAGTATTATCTGGATTCTGCATTTTCCCCATGATCCTCTGGACTGAGTGCCCCTCTTTCCCACTGGTCATAAAAGTCTTGTCCCGATTACAGGGGGCTCAGATCCTGTTCTAATAGATCCTTATCCACTCCTGCAAGAGCAGCAATGCAAGAGACAGTTTCGCAAAAGCATGTCATAAAAGCTAAAGACACCAGCAGGGAGGTACACAATACCTGATCCATTGACCTAAAGCGGTCAGTTGAGGATGCAACATTTTTTGTGTTACTTAATTCTGTAGTTTACAGCCCAGGCCCCTAGAAAAGCCTAGGAAGAAAGATGGCCTCCTCCACTCTGAGGATTCAGTCTACTACAAGTACCCCTTCTGGCTGGGCACAGTGTCTGTGTAACAGAGGGCACTGTCTCTTTTTCTTTTTTAGCAGATCCAACCAGCTATGCCACAGGGCATATTTGCTGAGCTATGGCCGAGGAGTCTCCAACAAGAACCATGAGGGAGAACAACTTTCAGCTTTACTTGGCATTGCTCTTACATCCTGGAAGGACCTAAGATGCTTTTGCAGGGTGCTAGGACTTGGCACCCTCCATCATATCAAGGCTGTGGAGCACGGTACTGGGGTCGTTAAAAGGCACCACGGAGGACATGTTTTATTGCTCTTGGTTTTCCAATCCCATGTTTGAAAAGCTGTCTGGTGCACTGTTAAACCTTCATATGGGTCAGAGGGCTGTGGCAGCAGCCACTACCAGCTCCTTCCCTGCTGACCTGAAAATTTTTTCTCTGGACTGGATTCCAAACCTTTTCCTGTCTGTGATCACATTTTTGTCCTCATTTTTGTCAGTGTATTCACTATAGTGCCCTTTGTATCCATACACAGACGGTCTCCATGCCCTCAAGCTTGCAAAACCCTGGTTAGATCATATTGTCCATACCCTTTTGGAATTCAAAGTTTACATTCTAATTTTATATTGTTTTTCACTCTCACTCCCAGACTGATGTCTTGATGGAGAAGGTGGACCAGAGATTCAAGCATGCTTTCTAGAACCCTAGCAGGGTTACTGAATTATCTCCATTACAAGTTCAGTTACAGATTCAGGCCTTCTGCTATAGACATTCTGTTAGACTATGATCTAAGAAGGGTCAACTTGTGCCTGAGGGGAAGATACCTCCAGATAGTTTTATGTCCTGACTTGGAAAGCGTTTACCAGCCACCTTATAGCTATACTCTGTCTCCAAAGTATCAGGGACCATACACCCCTAGAAACTTTAAAAGAAAGCGCAAAGCTACACTCTTAATGTTACAGTGATTGAGCCCTAATGTTTTTCCACTGTCCTAGATTGTAAAATTCCTGTTCTTGAGAAAAGATGTCTTCCTACCTTCCCTTTGTAGATACTTGTTTCAGTGTGTGGCCCCATGGTCCCTGTCATTCCCAAGGTGTTCTTTCTACCATGAAATCAAGCACCATAGCACTGAAACACTTAAATTATGTTTGCTTATTCAATACTGTGAGTTTGGTAGAAGCAAGGGCTTTCTCTTCCTCACCGTTTTGTTTTTGAGTTTCAAAACCATGCCTGTCACTCTCTGGGCACTCAGATATTTGCTGAATACATAATTATAGAAATGCAAGTAGGAATTGCGCTGTTTGCTTTTCCTTGCCTTCTCCTTTAGCACTCTAAGTAGACCTGAACCATTCTCCAGCCTCTCCTCACCCGCCTTCTTCCCAAGTTCCTTCTAAACAACATGGTAGTTTTGTCCAGACTGACTAACATGATCCTTATTCACCTGCTGATTACAAAAGATTGGAGATAAAATAATCATTACTGTATCTCCTCATTTTACTGAAGGCCCAGAGAGGTAAATTGCCCAAGATTATACAGCATATCCACTCCATAACATTCCATTTCCCCTGCTTCACCCACTAGGCTGGCTACCTACTCATTTTATTTCTGATCATCACCCTATTCCCTTTCCACAGGTTCTTTCATATCAGCCTTCCAGACTTTGGGAAGAGGCTACCGTCTGGACTTTAGCCCATACTAAGCTTGTAGAATTTTCTGTCACATCTCTTGTGTGGAATTAGGCTTTTTCTTGGTGCTAAGCAACTTCAGGGATTTGTGACCTATGGCTATACTGAGATATACTTTATTAAATGCCTATGATTGCTACATCATTCTGGTTCTTTGGTAGATTTACATCTTTGATTGAATGTAGCCAGGAAACCTTATCTAGAAACCTCTTTCAAGTCTTGGCCACACCCAGGGCAAGCATCTGGAGCCAATGCTAATAGTATTTCTCAGTTCTTTCTGGAGAGTAACCATGTGTTCAATCCATCCGTACTTCTACCACCACCACATTCTCTGATGATGTAACTATATCCAGTACAGGCAGTTGTTTCTCCCAAGTTATCACTTCTCATTCTTAAGTAAAAATAATTTCCCAAGCCAGAAGGATCTTTCAGGCATAAGCATCTAGTCCTCCACTGCCTGAAACTTTTGCCCTAGGCTTTTGTTTCCTTCCCATATTGAAGGTACTGATTTGGCCTTGTCTGTTTCAAGAACAGTGACTAGTGCATGATTGAACTAACCCAGCCAGTCTTTGATGGTTGCTGTAGCACAGAAGATTAGGTAATTTGGAAAACACACTACTATGACCCCCAAGGTAATAGTAATAAGGTCCCAACTAGTTTAATGGAATGCGAAAGGAATGAATATAAGGTATAGTGCTAAGTAAATTGTTTTGGTTTTGTGTGGTAAGGGAGGAAGAGTTGGGGTCAAAATTAGCACAAATGTAGGGCCTGGGTGGCTGGGAGAATGTTAAAATACCGTTAGCAAAAACAGAAAGACACAGAGAACAAGCAGGTTTAGCCAAGGCTAGGGGGTGGGAGGACAAATTCAGTATGAGGCGTAATAGATGGGAAGTTCCACTGAACATCCATGTCATATTTATTAGGCAATCAGAAGTATGGAGCTAGAGGTCAGGAAAGAACTCTAGGACAGAACTTTAGAAAATTTCCAATACTGAGTTGGTTTTTAAGTCACAGTATTGTTATATATAAGAGATGGAGATGGACAGAGCCTTTATTGTATATATGCCCATTTAAAGATGGAAAGTGGGGAGAGGACTAGCTTCAAGAGGTTAAAGTTTGGACACTTAAACGTCTTTTAAACAGGATTGAAAATGAGAGGTAGGACAGAGTAAAGATGTGAGAACATTATGGAAAGGTAGTTTTTGGATCAAGGTAGATAGGCTTTGAGCTTGAAGTACCCAACCTTGACAAGAGTAAAGAAAACAGCAAAAGCATGGAGACCTTTCGTCAGAAGTGGGAAGTTGCAATGTGTGTCCCCAAAATCAAGGTCCCTACGAAGATGAGGTGGGCACAGAGTGGCTGCGAGCATGAGGGAGGCAGAAGAATTTGAAGTAAGAGGTAGCTACCATAAGGAACATGGGCATCTCCAGGGGGTTACAAGGCTGGTCACCAGCAGTGAGGGTGCCGCTGAGGTGGGATAGCTTACACGGAAAGAACAGTCATGTTTGGTGGTTTTTCTAGAGCAACATCAGCAGTTGGTATCTGGAGGAGGAGTAATGAATGGTGGGAGGACAGTGAAAAAGGGAAACTGTCTTCTAAGTGGAGTGTCTGAGCAGGACATCCATGCCAGGGGGAAAAGATATGAGGGAGTCACAAAGAGTAGGTAGACTGAGAAAGGGAGGAATTTAGGGGCTAGAGGTGACAATGAGGACAGAGAGTGATTGTGCATATCAGTAAGAATGGAATTAGGTTTGGTCTAGGGCGAGGAGTAGATCAATATGTAAATGTTTTGGAAACTAAAACACCAGATAAAAATTACCATTCCTAATCTACAGCTAAAATGTGGTTCCCTGTTCTTAATAGATGATATTTTCCCTGATCATTGTTAATTTCAACAATATTTTCTTCTCTTCTTGTTTGGCTGAAACATCCTGAGGTTTTCCACTCTCTCATGTTCTAAGGTCAGACTTCTGAATCCTCTCATTTTAGTCTAGGTCAGTGATCTTCAACCTTGGCTGTGTACTGGACTCACCTGAGGAGATTAAAAAAAAAAAAAAAATTTAGGTGCCTAGCCCTGACCCTGGAGAATCTAATTTAATTGGTCTGCTGTATGGCCTGGACATAGGATTAAAAAAAAAAATCTCCCCAGGTAATTCTTCTGCAAGGACAACCAAGGTTAAGATCTATTGGTCTAGGTATTCTCCCAGGTGAGAGTAACGACTCCCATTAATGAGTTGCCCATATTGGGAACTACCTGGTGAGTACAAGAGGACTACCTTAACCAGGGCTGTATTACAAGTGTGGCTGAGCATATAGACTCTGGAGTCACATGCCTGGGTACGTATCTCAGCTGTGTGATTACAGGAAAGCTCTGTATTATCCAGAATAATGCCTACAGAAGAGTGAGGGTTAAATTGGGTAATATAACATGCTTAGCACAGTGCTTGGCACATGGAAGAACTCAACAAATGTGTTTGTTAATATTTGTGTTGTGATGTCATGAGTACTTTATTCTAATATGAAAAGGCTGTTTTTCAATAGGCCCACACAAGTCAAATTCAGTTTCCTTCACACACTATTTATTTTGTATCTAGACATTGATGAAGGAAAATTGCAGGTTATCTTATTTTTAAGTTGAAACAATAAAGCTTCATGATTATAGTGATTATATGTAGCAGCACTTCGTGCTATAGTGAAAGATGGCAAGGGTTACTTTTCTAAAAGTTTCAGTCGGTTGGTAAGAAAGTAGCCACAGGGTGGCTCTGTCCTAAGCCCAGATTTCATTTTGTGAGGGCTGAGCATGGACTGTGATTTCTTTAGAACCTCACTCTGGAAGGAACCTGCCCAATGAGAGTTCATTTATTTCTTTTCCTTTTTCTCAAGATTATTTACATAACACCTCTGCAGTACTTATACCATTTAATTTTTGTGTTAAATGTCTTTAAAAATAAACAACATAACCTGCCCCTTACGCCTGTCATTCAGCCTGGCAGGTCCTTAGTGGGCTAGACCTACCTTTCTGATGAGCTGCCCGCCCCCAGCGCAAGATGATTGTTTGAGAGGTAAAAACTCTTGCCAAAAACAACGTTAAACTTTTAATGGATGTTAACATACTTGCATTTACAAGCAGTGAAGTTTGTCACCTTCATGTTGTTATTTATGCAGCATTAACCTTTTTCTCCAGATCATTGAGACTGAAAATATGATGGACCGAATTGTGACTGGCTTGTCTGAGTCTAGTGTCAAGGTGCGGTTAGCTGCCGTCAGGTATGAGCTTTAAATGGTCTGAATAAAAACCTTTTGCCATATATTTAACCTGTTTCCTTTCTGGTCCTTCACTGAGTAAACACAGACTACAAATGTTCCTCAAAAATCTGCTCAGGTGAATTCATAGAGTATATAACATTGTCTAACAGAGAGCCTGGCCTCCAAACCCCATAAAGTGGTCTGATGTAGTTCACTTAACAATGTAGATATGCTTGAAGTGTACATTAGTCATTGTAAAATGCCAGCCAGTTTGTTTGAAAAGTAAAAGTTTTGATTTCTTGTGAAGCTAATTTTGATTATTCTTTGTAGATGTTTGCACAGTTTATCCAGATCTGTGCAGCAGCTTCGAACCAGTTTCCAGGATCATGCTGTTTGGAAACCTTTAATGAAGGTAAGAAGAAAGGGTCAGCCAGTAACAGCTGTACTCACAGACCCTAGAGTGAGCTGAGCTAGCTAACACTACTCCCTGGTCTAGGAGTATGTCTGATTTTTGTGTAGAGCATTTTGAACGTTTATCTCCTCAAATCTGATATTCTAAGCATCTACAAATGCTTCATGTGTGAGGGGGAACTACAGGCCTGATTTTCTTTCTTTTTTTTTTTTTTTTTTTTTTTTTGAGATGTAGTCTAGCTCTGTCACCCAGGCTGGAGTGCAGTGGCATGATCTTGGCTCACTGCAACCTCCACCTCCCCGGTTCAAGCGATTCTTCTGCCTCAGCCTCTCTAGTAGCTAGGACTACAGGTGCGCACCACCACGCCTGGCTAATTTTTGTATTTTTAGTAGAGGCGGGGTTTCACCATATTGGTCAGGCTGGTCTTGAACTCCTGACCACGTGATCTGCCCGCCTCGGCCCTCCAAAGTGCTGGGATTACAGGCATGAGCCACTGCGCCCAGCCAGGCCTGATTTTCTTTTATTAACTAAGCTTTAGTTACTCATCTGATCTCCCTATTTGTTTAATATTACACCTTAACCTTATATCCAGAATTATCCTTGTAATTTTTGGTTCTGAAAAGCAAAGGAATCTGCCATTTACAGAGATAATGTGTTGTTCTTAGTCTCGGCAATCCCTGGATTTTTTTTTTTTTTTTAAATAGACACAGGGTCTCACTGTGTCACACAGGCTAGAGTGCAGTGGCTCAGTCATGGCTCACTGCAGCCTTGTGCCCCCCGGCCCAAGTGATTCTCCCACCTTGGCCTCCCAAGTAACTGGGACTACAGGTATGTGCCACTATGCCTGGCTAATTTTTTTTATTTTTTTGAGACAAGGTCTCGCCAAGTTGCCCAGGCTGGTTTTAAACTCCTGAGCTCAAGTGATCCTGCCTTGGCCTCCCAAAGTGTTGGCTAGGATTACAGGTATGAGCCACCATGCCTGACCCCTGGATATTTTTTAACATAACATTTTTGGTGTTAGGTCTTCTCTTCAGGCCCCTTTTGTCCCCCCCAAAAAAGGTTCAGGACAAATGAATCTGAATCAAGACTTAGAGCATGTATCAAGTGGCTGCTAATAATGTTATCCCCTGATACACTACAAAACTTGGTCTTTGGTCTATCATTTTTTTTCTTAAGTGATCATATACCTTGCATTTAGTCAACTTAATTTTTTAGAGTTTTGTTTTGTTTTTGCATACCTGCTATGTACTAAGCAAAGCCTTCAAGTACAGTGAGCTACCAAAAACATTTTATCACAGAACTCTTACTCTTGGCTTAAAGCTTTAGGTTTAGGAGGCGGGGGCATCAATGTGGCAGAAATAGGCAAGAGACCATTCAGGCAGGAAGAATATAAAGTGGGCTTTGAAAGCAAGAGGAAAACAGGAGGATTTTCTGGGGAGCAGAATAGCATGAGGAGAAACATTATGTATGGTATGTGTAGGGAACGGCAAGTATACCTTTATGACTCTAGTGGAGCAGTGGGATATAATGAGACATACCAGTGGACAGGTAAGGACGAAGTGGAAGAGTTAGACCAATGCCAGTGGCCTTGGGAATTGACATGCTGAGTGGTTCTTCCATTGAGGAGGTTCATCTAGTGACAGAGTATATGATTTATGTGTTGAGGTCCTGGAATAAAGCAGTAGGAGTGGCTTAGGAAAGACCATATGAACCCTGGAGCTACTTCAGTGGAAGGAATGATAGATTGAGTGTATGATTCACTACTCAGGAGCTGTCAGGGGGACACCAAGAGTTTTCTATTTTCTAGTCTAAACAAGTGTCACAATATGGTCTTATGAGGCCTATCAGAACAGTATGTTTCTTTAACAACTTATTTTCAGTGGGCCTGCCTAAGCAGTATGTAACATTGAACTTGACCCATTTTCATCCATTGGCACATCTTCCTGAGTTTCACTCTTTTTCACCCTATTAGACATATGTCATCTCTTCTGAATACTCCTCATTCTCTGAGATCCTTTTGCTTCCTGAACCTCATTAAGAGCCCCAAATCTCAGAATGGTTATTTACCTACACTCTACTCTCCAGCTACAGTATCAGTGCCTTTCTATGCTTGGAACACACTTGCTTATGGAGTGTGCCAGCTCCCACCAGCAAAAGTTTATTTCAGGACCACCATCCCTTATCCAAAACTGTTGGGGCCAGATTTGACATTTCTGGATTTTTATAGTTGAGGAATTCATGTACCTATTTAGTTGTTGAGCCCAAATTTGTATCCAAGTAGTCTTATGTTTTTCATTTCCCTGCTACGGTACTTCCCTTATTATTCACTATATCACATTTAATCCTAAATAGTTCTATCAAGGAGGTCTTATTTTCCTCAGTTTATAGATGAAGAAATACAGGCTCAGGCTAGTTAGTGGAAGTGTCCAGTTGGAACTAGGTCTGTGTGATTCCATTTCTGAGAACCAGTCTCCCACACTGTCCTGCCTATGCAGTAGTAGCCTGCTTGATTCGTCAGTGCTCCTGGTCAAACAAGCCCTTCTAAGGACACATCAGAAAGTCAGGCTGTAGGACCATTCTGTAGACTCATAAGGGGCTTGACTGATGGAGTAGAATGAGCTCACTTACCCCAGAGCAGTCCCTTGGCCTTCAAGCATTTCACATAAGAGTATCTTCCCCTGACATGTCTCTCTCCTCCCTGCAAGAGCCCCCAGTGAGGCTGCAGCTTCTCCAAGCAAGACAGATTTGAGGGCGTTAGTCCGTCATAATTATAGCACTAGGAAAAGTTTGACACAGTATCAAGTGGATTCTTCCTATCTCTCCAATACGAAGAATCAGGTTGAAAGATAATTGTTCTTGTTTTTATTTATATTTTATATCTCATTTTATATCTCATCTTCATCATTCCAAATCATTAGTAGTATCCTTTTTTAATTCCATAGGTTTTACAAAATGCACCAGATGAAATCCTAGTGGTAGCATCTTCCATGCTGTGTAATCTTCTTCTTGAATTTTCTCCAAGCAAAGAGGTTAGTATTGATTTTCTTTTCCTAGACTTTGCCCAGTCCAGCTAGAGCTTACTCAAATACTTTTTATAGTAGTTGACATTGAAATCTGTGGGTTGGGTTTAAAAACTACTTCGGAATTGTTTGATTGCATAGCGGTAGGGGTGTGCAAATAAATCATTCATTTTAAAGTACGGTTATCATTTCCCATTATTCTTGTTATTCTATCTAACATATTCAGCTTATTTAAAAGATATTACATCTTCAAGTCTATCTAAACTGCCTGAAACTGTGAATGTAAGAAATAATTTTTCTTACAAATAGTAAACTATTCTCAGGCTATCTTTACTAAAGAATAAATTAAGACTAAATTTTGTAAACCAGGATTATAAATCATTTCAAGGACATAACTGCTGTCATTGGAAAATCATCTTTTGATGTTTAATGTTAATGGTAGTTGTTTGGGGAGGGGTTGGATGGGGGTTCCCTTCTGCATTTTATAAAATATTTGAGTATGTATTCTTTTTTTTAATAGGAAAAACTAAAATATACCTTAATGAAGAAGGGGAAAACCTTATACAGTTAGTTTTATTATGTCATAATACCCCTGATCTGCCCAATTATGAACTCAGGTTTATTGTGCATTTAGTTGTCCCATTTGTGTTGAATTTATTTGCTGCATTATAACACTTGTAGGCATTGACTATAATTAAGAAAGGTAGTATTAATAAGATGGAGGTTCTGGCCAGGCACGGTGGTTCATGCGTGTAAACCCAGCAGTTTGGGAGGCCAAGGCAGGCAGAACACTTGAGGTCAGGAGTTTGAGACCAGCCTGGCCAACATGGTGAAACCCCATCTCTGCTAAAAGTACAAAAATTAGCCGGGGGTGGTGGTGCATGCTTGTAATCCCAGCTACTCGGGAGGCTGAGGCAAGAGAATCACTTGAACCCGGGAGGCAAAGGTTGCAGTGAGCTGAGATCGCGCCACTGCACTGCAGCCTGGGCAAAAGAGGGAGACTCCATCTAAAAAATAAAACAAAACAAAAAAACAAGATGGAGGTTCAGAAATAGTTATTCAACAAGCAGGAATCTTGGAACAAACAGGGCAAGACTGGTAGTTACCCTGATGGAAGAGAAAGGCAAAACAGACACCAGAGCTTCCATCAGTTCTCTGCCCTGTAGACGGGGTCTTGGCCTGATGATAATCCAGTCACAGCTGGTGTACCACCGTTAATCATCCTTAACTGCTCTTATATTGCTCCAGATCTACCTTCAGGATATTTAGGGTCTAGTTAGGAAATAGGTAGATGAGCTCAGGCAAAGGATCACTAATACGATTTTTTTATATTGAAAAATTAACTCCCAACCGGGGCAACATAGCAAGACCTTGTCTCTACTAAAAATTAAACAATCAACCAGGCATGGCACACACACCTGTAGTTCTAGCTACTCGAGAGGCCGAGGCAGGAGAATTGTTTGAGCCTGGGAATTTGAGGTTGCAATGAGGTATGATCATGCCACTGCACTCCAGGCTGGGCTTCAGAGCGAGACCCTGTCTGAAAAAATTAAAATTAAAAAAAAAATAGATTCTGAACCAAAGTGGGGGAGGGAAATGCTATAAGAGCATTTTTTTTGTGCCAACTGACAAAATTAGAGTATGGGCTATAGATTTGATTAAAGTATTATTTTAATTTATTATTACCTTTCCTGAATTTGGTAACTGTACTATGGTTATCTAAGATAATATCCTTGTTTTTAGGAAATATACATTGAAATATTAAGCGTAAAAGGGGCATGATGTACGCATCCTACTTTCACATGGTTCAGAAAAGATAGATAATGTGGATTAGGTACATAGTACGAGAGAGATGATAAATTAACAATGGCAAATGTTAAAAACTGGCGGATCTGGGAAAAGAATATCTGAGCGTTCCTTGTATTTTTTGCTACTTTATAAGTTTGAATTTATTTCAAAATAAGTTTTTAAAATATAATTTGTACAGTTGAGAAATGTATACCCCTTTTTCTGGGTATATAGATCTGAATTGCTTCTGACGTTTCTATAATCCTCTTGACAAGTGACCTTTAAGCATTCATCGGTGATGGTAAATCTTAATCCTCTAAGGTTTGAATATTTTTTAGAAATTACCAAAAATTCATGTTCAGTCAAGTATCATAAATAAAGTTAAGTAGTTAGACTAAAGCATGGTATTTTAGATGTAAAATGTGGCATGACTGTAAAAGTACAGGACTGTTTTGCTTGTATAATTGATAAGTAGTCCTGAAAATATCCTAAAAGATAAATTCTGCAGCATGTTTGGAATAAGACTGACAGCTTGGAAGGAGGATGATTTGGTTTTCTAAGTTCCTTTATATTTCTTTCCTTTACCAACCATATTACTTCATAGAGTTCGTAAGCAATGCACAAGATGTACACATAAAGCAGAAAGTGACAGAGTCTCAGCGAAAGATGAGAGTGGGGAGCTAGGTAATGGGATCATAAGGGTCTGTGTGAAATGTACAGATAACTAGAATGTCTCCTGAATCCTCCAGGACTACAAGGATAAAAGGAAATGACAGAGTGGTTTGGTTTTGTTTTCTTTCTTTTTTTTTTTTTTTTTTGGCTTTTCGGATTTATGAGAAAATAATTGTCTTTGCCCTTCTCAAGGTGATTTTTATGGCTACATCACTCCCTGCTTTGCAAAAGTTGCCTGGAATTGAGTAAGAGTGGGGAAGAAATCACAAAGTGCCAAGGTATATGCATGTTTAGTTTGCAAACTGGACTTTAAAGCTGTGATTTTTTTTTTCCCTGTCCAATGGCAGCCAATTTTGGAATCAGGAGCCGTAGAGCTACTTTGTGGATTAACTCAGAGTGAAAATCCTGCTTTACGAGTGAATGGAATTTGGGCTTTAATGGTACGTTTCACTTTTATATATATCATAACTTACAAAAGGAATACAGCTATTGTCTAAGTTAGAACTATAATGTGTTATTTGAAATGTCTGGAATTTTCTTTTTCAAAAATCTGGCTATTTTGTTCTAGTTTTCTAATGACTAGGACCTAGAAGGCTTAGTATTAAACTAACAGATTTAACTGTAAGCAAGTTATGCCTCCGTTCTCTTATTTATTATTAAGAAAAGTGAACAGATGTTGAAACTTAGCTAATTCTGGGAAAATAAATTTTCCTTATCATGAACATATTATATTTTTGTGTAGCGCCACCTACTTTACAAAGCACTTTCATATCTCCTTTGCTCTTCAGAACAACTTTATGATACCAACCAGAGAGTTCTTACCATACTTTATAGATGAAGTAAACTAAGGCACAGAATGATTATTTTTTTTAATTGGCAAATAAAAATTATGTGTGTTTATAAAGTACAACATGATGTTTTGAAAGATAAATAGATTGTGGGATGGCTAATTTGAGCTAATTAATTAACATGTGTATTACCTCACATATTTAACCATTTTTTGCAGAATGATTAACTTGTCGAAGGTAATAAAATTGGTGCATAAATACTTAATAATTTTTTAACAGTTTCTAGTAAATAATTTGTAATATATTGTAAAACTTTGAGGTTAGAGAACCATTTCTCCTTAAGATTATTAAAATTTTCTTGAAATTGTAAATAGAGTAATCCTAAATTGATTTTTAAAACATATTTATACTATTTACAATTTAATTGCTCTGTACCAGACACTAAGCTGGGCGTTTTATATTTATCCCTCATTCTTATTTTAAGATATATTGGTATATATTCACTTTACAAATGGGAAACTAGGACTCAGGGAGGGTAAGTGAATTGTGAAGGTGAAGGCCTCACAGTTAATAATGGAAATGGGTTCAGAACCTTTTCCAAGCCTGTATTCTCCCTGTTCCATGCTATATCTGCTGTGTTTTTATACAGACTTTAGGATAGAAATAATTATCTTCTAAGAAAGCAACAAATCTGTAGTTTCACAGATATTTTTCTCCTGAACTTTGCACAGCTTTTAGCACTTCTCTTTCTTGAAACTCCTTCCCAGGACTTATTTTTTTTAAACTCACTTTCTACCTAGCTTCCTTTTCAACCTCTTCTCTGAGAACATTCCCCCAAGTTTCAGTTTCTGGTTTCCAATTCTCATTACATCAGTTTCAGGGACTTCATCTCATAACATGGTTTCAACTTCCCCTAATAGGTTACTTTGAAATCTACATATCCAGATGTAACTGTTACCTGTTTCCCACATCTATCACTTAAATGGCGTATGGGACTTCATTTCAGAATTCTCTGACATGCACAACTTTAATGTTGGAAACTGAACTCATTTCACTCCTCAAATCTGTACAAACTATCTTATTCTCGTCAGTCTTCATATTACCAGCTGCTGTGTTTTCTCTCTGCAAAATATAAAACCTTAGAGTCATCTCTGACCTGGGTCTCTTGACACATAGAGTATTCTTTTTGCTCTGCCATGCTGCCTCACATTATTATGTAACTTGATGGCTAATGTCTTAGCTCTTTAATTAAAATAAGTTCCTGGAGGGCAACAACCACATATTATGTCTCTAGTTCACAAGATTTTTTTTTTCTTTCTTTTTTTTTTTTTTTGATACAGAGTCTCGCTTAGTTGCCCAGGCTGGAGTGTAGTGGCATAATCTCAGCTCACTGCAACCTCTGCCTCCTGGGTTCAAGTGATTCTTGTGCCTCAACCTCCTGAGTAGCTGGGATTACAGGCGTGTGCCACCACACCTGGCTATACAAGAGATTTTTGTATCAAAAGTTGATTTGTAAGTTGTTACTTGGAATTTATCATGGTTTTTGTTTTCTTCAGACATGTATAGCTTGGGATTAAGCTGGGTTAACCCATGATACAAATTAGAGAAAAAGGAGCAAAATAGCTACTAGCCACCCGGGATTACTGGTAGCTCAGACACACCTCCTACCCTCTGGAGAGCTTCCTGTGTGATACAGCCCAGCCATGCCAACACCTACCATAGTATTGTGAACACAAGAGATGTTTTCATGCCAGTAAAGTTAAGAAAACCCACTGCTTATTTTCTTCCGTGAGTACTTTGAAATCATTCTCAAAAGGCATGGCACAGTATAAGCATTAATAGTCATTTCGTGTACAGCAGGCAACTTGATAACCATAAAGATATTCTCAAAAGTGATAAATGAGTTTTGTATTTATTTGAGAAGTCTTAAGACATTCAAATGTCTGTACCTAAAAGTGGTCACATTCCTCATGTAGAAGTATATCTAAGAGTAACAGTTACGTTTCTCTTGACGGACAGAAATATAGGTGATTAACAAGAATCAAGAAAATAGATTGATTTATCCTTAAAGATTTTCTGCAGATTCTGTTTGTACTTTGAAAATTATCAGAGTTGGCCAAGCCTGGTGGCTCACACCTGTAATCTCAGCACTTTGGAAGGCCAAAGCAAGTGGATCACGAGGTCAGGAGTTCAAGACCAGCCTGGCCAACATGGTGAAACCCCATCTCTACTAAAGATACAAAAATTAGCCAGGCGTGGTGGCTCGCGCCTGTACTCCCAGCTACTCAGGAGACTGAGGCAGAATTGCTTGAACCCGGGAGGCAGAGGTTGCAGTGAGCCGTTATTGTGCCACTGCACACCAGCCTGGGCGACAGAGCAAGACTCTGTCTCAAAAAAATAAAAAAAAATTACCAGAGTTACTATTAAAATATAATTTAATAAAGTAAATGTAGACATGATTCTTGCAACTTCTTTAATCCTTTCAGAATATGGCATTTCAGGCTGAACAAAAAATAAAAGCAGATATTTTACGAAGCTTGAGTACTGAACAGCTATTCCGGTTATTATCAGATTCAGATTTGAATGTGCTGATGAAGACATTGGGACTTCTTAGAAATCTCCTCTCCACTCGTCCTGTAAGTAAAATCACCCAGGCTTCCAAATTAGCTAGCCCTGCATATGCATTGCAAGACATTGCTCTCTCTCTGTGCTCTCATTAACATCTGCCCATGAGTGTGATTCAAATGCTGCCCCCTTCCAAAGAAACAAGGAGTTGATGTCTAAACCTGTCACCTTCGTAGGTGTTCTGGGAGCTGCTTCACCATATCACCCCCTATTCTCCACTCCTACACTGCTTATCCTGTCTCCCTCTAATCCCTGGAACAGAGGAAAACATGACCAGTGCCTACCTTGATTTGTTACTTTTTTCTTACCTGGTATGCTGTCCAGGATGGATTTTCTCATCTGCCTAAATCACTTATCTCTGGGGCCTCTGCTTCTTTCCCTTTAGAGAATTCTCAGAGCCATTCCATAGACCATCTCCCTACCCACATTTACGGGATTGACCTCTGAAGATGCCAGTGTAGAAAGCAGTGGATACGTGTCAGAGTAGGAGAGGCTGAGCCTTGCTGGTGGGATACCTCTCAATGTTCTCTAATGTTCCCCAAGAAACAATGCAAGTGGCCTTCAGGTAGATGAGGAAATATGAGTGGTTCCCTTCTCTGTGCCCCACAAGTTGTCATTATGCATTTATTCTCCAAGATAGTATTAGGAAATCTACACTGTGTTTTCCATGTCTCTGGCTTCCCCCATTACCCCAGTCCATTTTTTATGCTTCCCCCTTTTTTTTTTTTTGAGACAGAGTCTTGCTCTTTCCCCCAGGCTGGAGTGCAGTGGCACAGTCTCCGGTCATTGCAACCTCCACTTCCCGGGTTCAAGTGATTCTTCTTTCTCAGTCTCCCAAGTAGCTGGGATTACAGGCGTGTACCACCATGCCCAGCTAATTTTTTGTATTTGTAGTAGAGACGGGGTTTTGCCGTGTTGGCCAGGCTGGTCTCGAACTCCTGCCCTCAGGTGATTGGCCCACCTCGGCCCCCCAAAGTGCTGGGATTACAGGCGTGAGCGTACCGTACTTGGCCTTTGCTTCCTTTTTCTTTAATATATTTGGGTTTGAGGACCCCCAATGATTGTGCTTTCATATTCTGTCAGGTCAACTTTATGTATGTATGTATGTATGTGTAATGTGTATATACATGTGTGTGTGTGTGTGTGTGTGTGTGTATGACATATTTGAAGGCAAACTGCAGCTTCAAAATATAATAAACACTGTTCTTTGGCATCTAGTTCTATATGCTATAGTGTTTTGCATGAAGCAGTTGTGAATCATATTGTTTTAACTTTTAGAAGCCTTGTATTCGTCCTGTGGTCTTTGTTTCTTTGATAATTATGGATTTCCCATTGTTTTACAGCATATAGATAAAATAATGAGTACTCATGGAAAGCAAATTATGCAAGCCGTCACTCTTATTCTAGAAGGGGAACATAACATTGAGGTCAAAGAGCAGGTACGTTGTTCCTTTCTCTTGGGGAATATTTTCTGAATGTGAGCACAAAGGAAGTTCTTAAGAGTCTCCTGAAATATTCAAATCTGCAGAAGACAGAGTGCTGAGATGGGAGATGCTCTAGAAATAGGAAGAAATATCTTCCACCATCCCTTAAACTCTCTTTAAGACTTCTTCCTGAAATAGAGGAAAACATGACCAGCGTCTACAGTTTTGCTCTCTGTGTCATGCACTGTGCACACTGTCCCTGTCTCTACAGGAGCAGTCACCTTTCATCATCCTGGAATGAATCCTTTTTCCAGGATAAATAAGTGATTTCCAGGATAAATAAATAGTGGTTTCTAGCCCTCTCCGCCGCCATGCTCTCAACTCAAAATTCCTGCGACTCGCTGATAAAATAATTCCTCATCCTGGAGATAGTTTTCATTTCTTTTCTCTTAGGCATCTTATTCCTCATCCCATAACCCTACTTCCATTAAGTTTCAGGAGGGCAAGTTAAGGGTAGGTATTAAAGTACGAAGCTGTGCATTTATCAGGACAGTTGGGAATTATTTTTCTTTATTTTCTGGGATTTATCATGGGAGTTTTAATGAATATATTTTATTTTGCTCTAAAAACAAAAGTCACCTGCAAACTTAAGATTTTAACACAGGACCAGAGATACTGGCGATCTTCAGTTTTTTGACATAGGTTTTGGCTACATGGTTATGTTCTCTTTCAAAATTCATTAAGCTGGACGGGTACAGTGGCTCATGCCTGTAATCCCAGCACTTTGGGAGGCCGAGGTGGGCGGATCACGAGGTCAGGAGATCGAGACCATCCTGGCTAACACGGTGAAACCCCATCTCTACTAAAAAAATACAAAAAATTAGCCAGGCGCGGTGGCGGGTGCCTGTAGTCCCAACTACTGGGGAGGCTGAGGCAGGAGAATGGCGTGAACCTGGGAGGTGGAGCTTGCAGTGATCCAAGATAGCACCACTGCACTCCGACCTGGGCGGAAGAGCGAGACTCTGTCTCAAAAAAAAAAAAATTCATTAAGCTGTAGACATATAGGTATGTCTATCTGAAAGAAACTCGCCCAAGGTCATCAGTAGAGAGTTGGACCCAGAGAGTCTAACTTCAGGGGCTGTGCTTCTCATCTTCTGTATTCTTGAGTTAAAGTAATTCAGCCAGCCTTGGAAGAACAGTCCAGGAAGTAAGAGTTGTAGGTCTTAGGAGCTGCAATTGAATTTGTGAGCAAAAAGTTGGTAGGTTTGATAAAGTGATTTTAAGACAGATATTTTACGTGATATCTCTTAAAATTTTTTTTAAAACTGTGTTTTGATGAAAAAAATTTAACACAGAGAAAGTATAATCTCATAAGCATCACTAAAATTAGCCGAAATGAAATCCATTACTGAAACACAACAATGAAGAAAGTACATTGTTCAAAATAAACCATTGTACTTTGAGAGGATAGGAATGAATTTTGTCTATAAAGACAACTTACCTGGATAGAATTTCAGTAACTTGAAAAGCGAAGCAAGACAGAAAGGTGAGGCAAGATTTGAATGAGGGCAAAATGAAAGACCAACAACAGTATTGTTTTTGCAGGACACAAAGGAACTTTCTCATACAGATTTTGGAAGTGATCTGGAAATAGGCGAGTATGGGAGGCTAAACAGTCGGCTCACTAGCTAGAAGTTTAATGCTTCTCAAAAGCACCTGATAAATTATTTTTTTGACTGACATACAATTGACATACAATAAGCTGCACATATTTAAAGTATACAGTGTTTCAGTTTTGACACGTGCATCCACCTATGAAACTGTCACCACAGACAAGATAGTAAAACATATGTATCACTGCCCTTAAATTGGGAACAAGACAAGTATGTCCATTTGTACCACTCCTGTTCAACATTGTGCTGGAATTCCTACCAAGCACAAGAAGGCAAGAAAAAGAAATAAGAGGTATACAGATTGGAAAGGACAGTATGAATGCCTATAATAGAAAATGCCATGGACTCACCAAAAATTCTAGAACTAATAAATGAGTTAAGCAAGGTCACAAGATAGAAAAGGCAGTTGTATTTTTATATACTAGCAGTGAACAATTGGATATTGAGATATTAAACAGTACCATTTGCAGTAACTTAGAAAAAAATGAAATTCTATGTATAAATCTCACAAGGATCTGTATACTGAAAACTATAAAAACACTGATAATGAAAGAAATCCAGGACCCAAATAAATGGAGAGATATACCATGCTAAAATGTTGGTTCTCCCCAAGTTGATTTATAGATTAAGCACAGTCCCAAGCACAATCACAGCATGTTTGTTTATAAATATTACTATAGATGTAAATATCTAAAATCTGTGCCTTTACATATAGATTTTAAAATCTGTATGAAAAGGCAAAGGAACTAAAAAGCCAAAACAGTTTGGAAGAAAAAACAGGAACAATTGGAGGATTCACAACACCTTGTTTCAAGACTTAATTATAAAAGTACAGTAGTAATGAAGACAGTATGGTCTTAGCAAAAAAAGATAGCACATATCGACCAATGGAACAGACTAGAGAGTCCAGAAATAGACCCACACATATATGGCCAGTAGATTATTGACAAAGGTACAAAGGCAACTTGGTGGAGAAAGAATGGTCTTTTCAAGAAAAGATGCTGTACAAGTGCCAAAAAAAATTAACTTTGAACTATACCACACACTTGAGATAAAAATTTACTGATAGACATAACATAAAAGGTAAAACTATAAAACTTAGAGAGAAAATGCAGGAGAAAATCTTTGAGATCTTAGATTAGGCGAAGAGTTCTTAGCTATGAAATTTAAAACATTCAGAAAAGAAGAAGGTAAATTGGTCTTCATCAAACTGTAAAACTTCTGCGTCGTGAAATGCACTGTTAAGAGACTGAAACGACAAGCCATCCACCGGAAGGAATATTTGTGGATCAGATATCTGACAAATGACTTGTGTCCAGAATATTTGAAGAATTCTCAAAACAACAAGAAAACAACCAAACATAAAACTGAAAAAACAATATGAACAGACACTGCACAATAAAATATCACTATGCATCTTTTAGAATAGCTAAAAATTTTTTTAAAACAGTACAGTTGCTAGCAAGGATGCAGAGCATCTAGTGGAAATGCAAAATAATACAGTCATTTTGGAAATGGTTTGACAGTTTCTTACAAAGTTGTACATATACGTGCCATACGACCCAGCAATGCCATTCCTAGCCGTTTACTCACATAAAATGAAAACCTAAGTTCACACACATTCATAACAACTTTATTTGTATCATCAAAAATTAGAAATTAACATCCCTCAACAAACTATGGTGCATTCATATAATGGGATATCACAGTCACAATAAAGAGGGACAAACTGTTGCTGTATGTAACAACATGGATGAATCTCAAATGCATTACGCTACATGAAAGATGCCAGATACAATACAAAAGGCAAGATACTATATGATCCCATCTATATGACCATCTGTAAAAGACAAAACAGTAGAGACAGAGAACAAATCAAAGGTATCCAAGCCTTAAAGGTTGGGGGCAGGATTTGACTATAAAGGGATAGCACAGGACAATTTAGGGAGGGAGGCAGTGATAGAACTGCTCTGTAAATGCTGACTGTACTGGTGGTTTTAAGATTCTATATATACATTTGGTAGGCCAGGCACGGTGGCTCACACCGTGATCCCAGCACTTTGGGAGGCTGAGGCAGGCGGATCACTTGAGGTCAGAAGTTCAGGACCAGCCTAGCAACATGGTGAAGCCCTGTCTTTACTAAAAATACAAAAATTAGCCAGGTATGGTCACGCACCTGTAGTCCCAGCTACTCGGGAGGCTGAGGCAGGAGAATCGCTTGAACCTGGGAAGCAGAGGTTGCAGTAAGCCGAGATCACACCACTGCACTCCAGCCTGGGTGACACAGCAAGACTCCATCTCAAAAAAAAAAAGATTCTATACATTTGGTAAATAAAATTACTACCAAAAGAGTGAATTTTACTGTATTTCATAATTCTGTTCTCATTTCTACAAATGAAATGCCACTTGGGATTTCGATCGTATTGTATTTATAAATAAATTTGGGAGGACGTGACATCTTAACAATATTGAGTCTTCCAATTCATGAATATATCTTCCCAATTATTTAGGTCTTCTTTAATTCTTCTTATAGCAGTGTTTTGTAGTTTTTGATATATAGGTCTTGCACTCTTGGTCAGATTTATTCCTATTTCATATGTTTGATGTTTTTGTAAATTTTATTTTTAAAATTTCGATTTCCAGTTGTTCATTGTTAGTATATGGTAATAAAATTTTCGTATGTCAGTCTTGTATCCTGCATTCTTGCCAAAGTCACTTTAAGTTATTTTGCGTGAATTACTTAAAATTTTCAACAAATGATCACATCTGTAAATAAAAATAGCTTTATTTCTTACTTTCCAATCTATATGCTATTTTGTTTTTCTTGTTTCATTGTCTAGCTAGAACTTGCAGTGTAATGAGATGAGGATGAACATATTTGTTTTGTTCCCAATATTAGAGAAAAGCACTCAGTCTTTCACTATTGAATATGTCGGGTGTAGGTTTTTCATAGATTCCCTTTATTAAAGAAAGGAAAAGAAATTATCTTCTAGTTTGTTGAGTTTTTACCATAAATAGATATTGGATTATTTTTACTTTTTTATTTTTAAACCCCAAACATGAGCCATAGATTTTTTTTCAATCAATTACTTTCTTTTGCATCTGTTGAAATTGTTTTTTTAAAACTCTGATTTATATGGTGAATTCATTTGATTCAGTTTCAAATGTTAAACTAACATATTTGAGGTAAACCTAATTTAGTCATTATGTATTATCCTTTAGATATATTGTTAGATTCAATTTACTGAAATTTGGTAAGGAGTGTTTCACATCTATATTCATGAGGGGTATTGATGAATAGTTTTTTAATAATGTCTTTTTCTGGTTTTGGTATTGGGATAATGCTGGCCTTGGGGAATGAGGTGGAGGTGTTCGCTCTTCAATTTTCTGCAAAAATTTGTGAAGAATTAATTATTTTTTTCTTCAATTTTGATGGAATGCTACCAGTTGGAATCATCTGGATACGATGACCGTTTTGTGGAAAGGTGTTTAACTACAAATTCAGATTTTTTAATAGAAATAGGACTACTCAGGTTATCTGTTTCTTGTGTGAGCTTTGGTATTATGTGTCTTTCAAGGAATTTGTTCATTTCATCTAAGTTTTCAAATTTGTTAACATAAAACGGTTCATAATTTCTTATTCCTTTTTCAAGTCTGTAGTATCCTTGGCAGTATCCCCTCTCTTGTTCTTTATATTGGTAATTCCTTTTTTTTTTCTTGGAGACAGAGTCTCGCTGTGTCACCCAGGCTGGAGTGCAGTGGCTGATCTCGGCTCACTGCAACCTCTGCCTCCCGGGTTCAAACCTTTCTCCTGCCTCCACCTCCCAAGTAGCTGGGATTACAGGCACGTGTCACCACACCCTGCTAATTTTTGTATTTTTAGTAGATATGGGGTTTCACCATGTTGGCCAGGCTGGGCTCAAACTCCTGACCTCAGCTGATCTGCCCACCTCGGCCTCCCAAAGTGCTGGGATTACAGACATGAGCCACTGTGCCTGGCTGGTAATTCCTTTTTTCCTGTTCAGTCTGACCAGAGGTTTAGCAAAGAATCAGTTTTTGGTTTCATTGCCAAAGAATCAGTTTTTGGTTTCATTGATTTTCCCACTTATTATTATTATTATTATATATATTTTAAGACAGAGTCTCACTCTGTTGCCCAGGCTGGAGTGCAGTGGTGTGATCTTGGCTCACTGCAGCCTCCACCTCCTGGGTTCAGTCTATTCTCGTGCCTCAGCCTCCCAAGTAGCTGGAATTACAGGTGCCCACCACCATGCCTGGTTACTTTCTTTTTTTTCTTTTTTTTTTTTTTGAGACAGTCTCTCGCTCTGTCGCCCAGGCTGGAGTGCAGTGGTGTGATCTCGGCTCACTGCAAGCTCCGTCTTCCGGGTTCACGCCATTCTCCTGCCTCAGCCTCCTGAATAGCTGGGATTATAGGCGCCTGCCACCATGCCAGGCTAATTTTTGTATTTTTAGTAGAGACAGGGTTTCACCATGTTGGCCAAGCTGGTCTTGAACTCCGAACCTAGTGATCCACCCACCTCGGCCTCCCACAGTGCTGGGATTACAGGCATGAGCCACCATGCCTGGCCAACTTTTTGTATTTTTAATAGAGATGGGGTTTTGCCATGTTGGCCAGGTTGACCTCAAACTCTTGACCTCAAGGGATCCACCTGCCTCGGCCTCCCAAAGTGCTGGGATTACAGGCATCAGCCACCGCACCCAGCCTGTTCTCTATTTCAGAGTTTAGCCAACTGTTTCTTTAAGAGGCAAGGTATATATTTCAATTTTTGCAGGCTCTGGTCTCTAGCAACTACTCCTCTGTGCTGTTCTAGCCTGGAAGCAACTATAGACAATACATAAGCAAGTAGATATGGCTGTCTTCCAATAAAAATTACCAAAAGAGACAGCAGACTGGATTTGGCCCAAACCATAATTTACCAGTCTCTGCTCTATTTCCTTGATTTCCAGTTGTTCATATTAGTATATACACTAATATGCGTACATTAATGGTGTGGGTGTGTGTGTGTGTGTGTAGTTTTTATCTGTTCCTTAGCTCACATATTCAATGAGTTGGCCCAATAATTGATTTCTTTTTCTTTTTTTTTTTTTGATAGAGAGTCTCACTCTGTTGCCAGGCTGGAGTGCAGTGACGCGATATCGGCTCACTGCAACCTTTGGCTCCCAGGTTTAATAGATTCTCCTGCCTCAGCCTCCTGAGTAGCTGGGACTACAGGCATGCGCCACCACACCCAGCTAGTCTTTGTACTTTTAGTAGAGATGGGGTTTCACCATATTGGCCAGGATGGTCTCAATCTCTTGACCTCGTAATCCACCCGCTTTGGTCTCCCAGAGTGCTGGGGTTACAGGTGTGAGCCACCGCCCCGGCCTAATTGATTTCTTTAAGATTTGATTGCTTGTCTCCATAGGAATATTTACAGAGGGGTTTTATGAGCTTCAAAACAGAACTGTACCTCACTTTTTCATGCTGTTCAAGCCTGGGGATGCATGGGCGTATTCTAACACTACAAAAAGGGGAATTACTCACCTGTCTTGCTGACCTGGTCTATTCTGAGGGATCTTCCCTGGAATTCCCCTTTATATTCTGTTTTAGTGGGTAAGAGGGGGTAGCTGTTTTCTAGGAGAGTCTAAAAGTGTTTACCATTTCTCTTCCCCCCATGAATACCTTGGTTATGAAGCCTTATTAAAATTCTTATTCATAATAAGGATCATTTCCATTACTTCCTCTTAAGCTGCTCTGGCCAACCCATAGGATTGAGTCTTCTTGGTAAGAAATGGTGGAGAGATGGAGAACAAGAGAGTAATAAGCTATGATTCTTCCATGTGCTGCCCCCGCTCCTACTTCTCAGCCAGGTTTTACCTGTGTTCCCTAGATTGGCCTCACCCTCTGCATTTTGGTTTTGTCTTAGTAAAGCCTGGCAGAGACTGGTTGGTGAGGATTGGATCACTACCACTGATGAATATCATTTTGCTGGCTTGCTCTTGGAAGGTGGGGTTGTTGTAAAGCTTGCTAAGGCTTTCTGTAATCACTTTAAGGAATTCGAGCAGAACTAGAAGGAATGTGGTATTGTGAGTCTGGTGTTGCCACATTTGGATTGCATGTCAAGACAAGTGATGGAGAGGGAGAGAGAAAAGAATACTTGTAGGCTGGGCACGGTGGCTCATGCCTGTAATCCCAGCACTTTGGGAGGCCAGGGCGGGTGGATCATGAGGTCAGGAGTTCGAGACCAGCCTGGCCAACATGGTGAAATCCCGTCTCTACTAAAAATACAAAAATTAGCTGGGCGTGTGGCACACACTTGTAATCCCAGTTACTTGGGAGACTAAGGCAGGGAGCATTGCTTGAACCCAGGAGGCAGAGGTTGCGGTGAGCCCAGATGCACTCTAGCCTGGTGACAGAGTGAGACTCCATCTCAAAAAAAAAAAAAAAAAAAAGGAACACTCATTGTATTTAATTACCTTATCCTGTAGGCTCAGGTGGGGCTAGAATATAGGGAAAGCAACGATAATTCACTTGGTTCTGATGTCATCTTGAACTTGGACTCCTAAAACATTGACTGTCAACTCTTCCCCAAACTAATTACTCCTGTTAATTACACTTGGCATGCTCATGTCTGCCCCTTCATAAGATCTTTTCCGCAAGAGACTAACCAAAAAGAGTGCAGATTATTATTGATTTCCTTAGAGTATTGTTCCTACCAAGAAATTTAAGACAGTTTCACCATGTACCAGTGCTTATGTACCAGATCACCAGAAATCTGACACCTTCTCCAGATCAGATCATGTCTGTCCCACTTCTTGGGCACATAAAGCCCTCCTCAACATGATCTAACTGCCCTGGAATAAATAGTTCCCCAGTGTTTGCTTAGCTATTGGACTATACAATTTATGTTTCATGTCTACTGTGTCTCAGAGGCAGCCTTTTCTGGTTTCACACCTCAGGACTTACTCCCTAATAATCTAGTGACAGCAGTGTGTTAATCTAGGAGAAATAAAACCACACACGCTTTAGGATATTTTGGGGCTTGGGCCACTGCAAGAAAACAATCTCCTCAATTAGCTTAATTAGCTTGTCTTGCAAAGAAAAAGTTTAAAATTGGAGAAAATTATGTGAGTCTGAATCCCAGCTTCACCTCTCATTCCTTTGAGGTATTCCTGACTGGGTTCCAGGACTGTGTCACTTCCTCCGGGAAGTTTTCCCTAACCCTTGCAGTATCCAACAAGTGCTCTTTCTTCATGCCTTCTCTATTCTCTGTTTACTTCAATCACAGTGAAATGTAATTGTTTGTGTGACAGCTTCAAAGTCAGGGAGTGTGTTTTTTTTTCCTGCCTCATCCTGATGCCCTGCAGAGGGCATACCCATAATAGTTACTTAGTAAATGGTTTGTTGAATTGCTAAGCTTGGCACTGTTGGTATCCCTATCATAGTCCTTTCACCATTATCTTAATTTTTGCCTCCTGCTGGTCTGGCTTTGAGAATGGAACAGCTGACAAGAACAGTTTTTCCTTTGAGAAGACTGCAGTCATCAGTGCAGTGGTTGTCCTCAAGGTGTACTGTCCTTCCAGCTGGCACAGGCTTCCTCCAGTCTTCACATTAGACCAGCCTGGACTAAGTTGCTTCATACATTTTACTTCTTTTCTCTTCCCCTAACAGGGTTCAAAAAAGTTAAAAGGTCCTAAGTGCACATGGCTGGTGTAGCTGGTGGACAGGGTCTAGGCCTTCACCCAGAAGGTCATGAGCTTAGGAGCAAGCAGCAGGTGGAGGCCTAGGAAAGGGAGGCTTCCCTGGGAGGGGAGTTGCAACACCTACAGAGCTTCCACCAAAGAGACTACATTGTTGAAGGAACATTGTGGTTTGTCACAAGAGCTTCTCTTAGAAATGAGATTTTCAAGAAAAATAATAAGTTACATTTTCTCTTTGATTTGATAGTATGACCTATACAAAATAGCTGCCTTTGACCAGCTATGGCTTCCCATAGCTCAGGAAGAAACCACCAAAGTGTTGGGGTTCTCTTTTGCCTAAGGTAGATTTTGTTTGGGTGTGGTTACTGTTACTAGCAATGATGTCAGCAGATGAGAAATCAGGGCATTGAGAGTGGAACCTGTGAGAATCCATGTACCTTCAAGTGAAAAATTGCCCAAGCTCTTGAGACAGCTTGACTCTGGGACTTCAGAGCTTTCCTGACTGTTGGCCCTTTGTTCTTTTCCAGACACTGTGCATCTTAGCCAACATAGCGGATGGGACAACAGCAAAAGATCTTATTATGACCAATGATGATATCCTACAGAAAATCAAGTATTACATGGTGAGCCCTTGTCCCCTTTCACCGTAGGATTAGAATGCAGGGACTGTTGCATTTTTAACTCAAAATAAATTGTGCAGAGATTTTAAAAAGAGGAAAAGAATAGATTACTCTGTGACTCCTCAGATTCAAAGAACTCTCTTCCATCCTGAAGAAAAAGAAAAAAACACCAACTCCTTGAAGCTTGTACCACTTGGTAATATTATTACCTGCCAGTCGACTCCCTGCCCTTGTCATCTACTGGTTGCCTCCCTCTTACTGAGTGAAGACCCGGGCTCTTGGCTTTCTCTCAGTGGCCTCCAGTCCCTGTCTTCTGTCTCAAGGCTTCAGTCCCATGGTGGATGAACCCTCTAGCCCCCTGGCACCATAGTTCCTTTACCTGTTTGCTTCTAAACAATCTGCTACCTACTGCCATGGCCATATCCTGCATCTGATCATCACCAGAGACTGCCCATTGCCAAAATGTGGGTATCAAAAAGCCCTCCACTTCTCATTCTGTCAACATCTCCTGACAAAATTCTAATCATGGAGGAAGCCTCCCCTTGTCACACCTATCTGTCTTCTCTATCCCTGCCATGTCAGAGTTAACAACTGCAGAGAAAGGCACAGAACCCCACATGGGCACAGCTCCTCCTAGTGTCCTTCAGTGATTCTCTAGGAAGCTGGCACCCTCATTCTCCATGAGAATATATTCTTACCTGCCCCTCATTCTTTAGACCTCACCTCTTCCCTCCCCCATTACAGTTAGTGATGACCTCAGCTTTTTGTCTTATTAAGAGAAGAGAAACTAAAATCCTTCAGTGGCTCCTTGTTATACCTTGAATAAAGTTCGTATGCCTTTATGATGGCCTGTCAAGTCCTACGTGACCTAACCCATTCATATCCCCAACTTATCTTATTCCTCTCTTCCTTTGTTCACTACACTGGCCACTTGAAGTTTCTCAAAAAGGCCACGTTCTTTCCTTCCTTGGGACCTTCACACATACTGGCTTCTCTGCCTGGAACACTTTTCTTCTCTCTGTTTCACCCTTCAAATCTCAGCTGAACTTATACTTTCTTACTGGACTCTTGCCCTTATAGATTATTCCTCATTACTGCATTTTGTTCACTTCCTTCAGAGCACTTAGCTCAGTTTTAGTGATATATGTTTGTGTGCCTACTGGGTGTCTTTACCACAGCGTAAGTTCCATGAGGGCAGGGACCATGTCAGCTTTGTGCACAACTGTATATCCACCATGGTGTCTGGCCCTTAGCATATGCTTGGTAAATATTTGTTGAATGAAAACCTTACCACTTCAACCAGGGATTCCCTTATCTTTCCAATACTAATCCACACTGTATCCATAATCACTTAAAAAGTTTTCCTTAACTTCTCATACCCATCGAGACATACCCATTTCTCTGTTATTCAAAGACAAAGCCAAACTTCTTTTTATTTTGAGACAGGGTCTCACTCTGTCACCCAGACTAGAGTGCAGTGACGCGATCTTGGCTCACCACAACTTCCACCTGTAGGTTCAAGCGATTCTCCTGCCTCAGCCTCCTGAGTAGCTGGGATTACAGGCGCGGCACTATTGCCCGGCTAATTTTTGTATTTTTAGAAGAGATGGGGTTTCACCATGTTGGCCAGGCTGGTCTCAAACTCCTGATCTCAAATGATCCACCTGTCTCGGCCTCCCAAAGTGCTGGGATTACAGGCATGAGCCACTGCGCCCAACCTTCAAAGCCAGACTTCTTAAAAGCATCTTTTCTGTACATACGGCCTCCTCCTCTGCCTCTAAAGTCATTTTTTAACCTCCTCTGTTTCACCTCTACCCCCATCATTCAACTGAAACTTAGGGCCACCAATGACTTCCATGATGCCAAATCCAAAGGATCCTTTTCTCTTTTCATCTTACCCCACTTACAGCAGACTTCAACCCAGCTGACTATTTCCTCCTCCTGGAAATATCCTTTTCTCTTGGCTTGCGTGACACCATACCTCCCTACCTATCTCTGGACCCTTTTCTCTTCTCTTCTACACGTGCTCTCCTGAGATCAGCAGATCACAACCTTCATTGTACAATAGGACCTCGTAGGGAGCTTTCAAAGATTACTGCTTTGTCTCCTCCCTCCCAAGATTCTTATTTAATAGATCTAGGGTTATAGCCTGGGCATCAGGATTTTTTTTTAAGATCACTGGGTGGTTCTTACGTACAGACAGAGTTGAGAACCATTGCCTTAGGAGAATCTCATCCACCCCCATAGCTTATACTATCATCACTGTGCTGACAATACACTGTAATTTCCAAATGTGTTTCCCAGCCTAGACCTCTCTTCCAAACTCTGGACTTACATATCCGCCTGCCCTTTCAGCATCTCCATGTGGCTGTCTGATAGCATCTTGGAATCTATCTTGATTTCTCCAGCTCTGTCCCCTCATTCACTCAATTTATCAACAAGTCCTATCTGCCCTTCTTCCAAAACTGATCTTGAATCCAATTACTCCTTTTCATCACCACTGCCCCCACCCTAGTCAGTCCAAGTCACAGCACCTTATGCCTGATTAACTATATAACAGTATCTTCCTTGACACTTCCTCACTGTCACTCCAATCCCTTCAGCCCAACTGGTCTTCTAAAAATGTAAATCAGATCTTGTCCCTCCACTGTTTAAATCTTTCAGGGGCTTCCTCTCAACACAGAATGAAATCCAGAGTCCTTACTGTGGCCTACAAGTTGGCACAATTTGGCTACACCTACTTCTCTGAACAGACAGCTCCTTCTTACTTCAGACCTTTTCAGGAACTTTTTCTCCTGCTTGGAATTTCAAGCCCCTTGCTCTTTGCACATCTGGCACCTTCCTATTCTTTAAGTCTCTGTTTAAGTATTGCCACCCTCAAAGAGATCTGTTTTGTGCATTCCACCTAAATTAAGTTCCCACCCCTCCACCCTCCAATTTTCTCTATCCTCATAGTAATTTGTGTCCTTAAAAAATATTGAATGATGAATAAACTTATGCATAGTAAATGCATATTTGTTATAGTATATACAAGCTCATTTATTCAACAAATATTGATTGATTGTCTGAGGCTGGGAGCAGATAAGTTTTATTCTGTTTTGTCTTAAGGGAGCCCAAACTGGACATCTCCTTAAAAGTGTTGGCAGTTAGAAGAAGAAAGAATCACTAGCCATAGAATTCTACTGGAGGAAGCCACATCCATTTCTTTGTCTCTGCTTAGTTGAAATATAGTCCTACATGAGAAGATAAGTCTGTCTTAGCCTTGAAAAAACCATTGAGCATATTTTGCCATTGATACTCTCTCAGATGTGCATAAATTATTTGAACATACTAGAAATTTTTTTTATTGACCAATAGGACAATCATCTATAAAGTTTATTTTATTATTGAGTCCTTTTTCATTCAGGCGAAAACACCCTATCCAAAGCAACCAGAAATGGTTGTACTTTCAGTACATAAAGCAAAATAAATAAGAATTGTATTTAGAAGAATAGGAGGCTCATTAGTGATAGTAAAGACATTTGAGAAATCAACTAGCGATTTCATCAAGTTTTTGGGGATATTCCTTTAGAAATAGGAGTAATTTAATTATTCCAGAAGCTGAATGTATTATATAATGCTTCTTGTTTTCAGCAAGTTGTGTCAGAGGAGTAAGCCATTTATAGATTGTGTGTGTGTGAAAGTCTAGGTGTTACAGAACTTCATGACCATATATTCACTTTCTTCCCCAAAGGAATTATTGGGCCATTTGAATAAGATAACCAGTAGCTTAAGAGATAAATACCAAATGCACATCCACCCAGTGTATGTTGGCTGTTGGTGACCTGGAAACATAGCCTAAGTCGAAAGCATAGAATTGTCATATGACAGTGTTTCCTCGTGCATGGATTGAATCATAAATTGCAAACTGTACCCATAGCCCTAGAGGTGTTTTGTTTGTCCAGCCAGATGGTTTTTTAAATTTGAATTTGCATGTCTTTTGGCAAGGCTTGTACTCCTCAATTTGCCAGATTCTCCACTGTCCCTTGTTATCTTTAGCCCAACCCTTCTACTCATTAGTGTTAACTTCATGGCCCCTCAAGACATTTGAGTTTGAGGACTCTTCTTCAGACTTTTTTTTTTTTTTTTTTTTTGAGACGGAGTCTCGCTCTGTCACCCAGGCTGAGTGCAATGGCACGATCTCAGCTCACTGCAACCTCTGCCTCCCAGGTTCAGGCGATTCTCCTGCCTCAGCCTCCCTAGTAGCTGAGATTACAGGCGCCCGCCACTACACCCGGCAAATTTTTGTATTTTTAGTAGAGACAGGGTTTCACTGTGTTAATCATCCTAGTCTCGAACACCTGACCTCGATCTTCCACCTGCCTTGGTCTCCCAAAGTGCTGGGATTACAGGCATGAGCCACCTCACCTGGCCCTGCTTCAGACTTTTAGGTTATAGGAATTGGCTATGGTAGGTCCCCCCAAAAAAAAATCTAAAATGAGATTACCACCATTTTGATTTTTTTTTCTTTTTCTGTATTAATAGGGCCATTCACATGTTAAACTGCAGCTTGCAGCCATGTTTTGTATATCAAACCTCATATGGAATGAAGAGGAAGGTAAGAGATTGGTGAGATTTGTTTTGAAAAAAATTATGGGAAGAGTGTCTTGCACAGGGAAGCTAGCAGGTGCCCCTGAGATCCTGGGCAGAGGCTCTGTTCTTGGACCATCTGGCCCAAGCACCCTCTAGAGTTGCCCTGGTATGAGAATCAGTGGAACTAGCCCAAGTCAGCTGGTCAGTCAACACTGAGTGCCCCGTTGGAGCCAACTCTATACCAGATTCAAGGAGGGAGAGTGAGAAGTAAGTGACAGTCCCTGCCAGGAGAGAGCTGATGAGGAGGATGGTGAGATGCACTTGAAGAAGGTGAGAGGAGAGAGTGGGTGGGAGGATGAGCCTTTCGTTTTGAGCAGAGGAAGCACATATGAGGACTACAGGCAGATAAGCATGATGGAGAAGAAGGTGCATTTGTGAGAAATGAGAAGTGCAATGTGACCAGTGAAGCAGCTAGTCTGTAAGGAGGCCTGTATAGATCAGAGGTTCTTTACTTTGGCTGCATATTAGAATCACCTGGGAATTTTTACACCAGGCCAATTAAATCAGAATCTCTCGGGGTGGGCTCCAGGCATAAGTGGTTCTTAAAGCTCCCCAGATGATTCCAATATATAGCCAAGGTAGCAAATACAGGAGAGCAGTGGGTCTCAAGGCTGGGTTGGCTGCATTAGAATCACCTGGGGAAGTTTTTAAAGTGCAGATTTCTGGGCCCCATCCCTAGAAATTCTGATTCACTGAGTCTAGAGAGAGCCAGTATATGAGTGGTCACTGTGGGCTCTTCAGTGGGGAAGACTCCAGGGGATTACTCAGCAGCAGCGCCCAAAACAAAGTGCAAGAAGGGAAACTGGATTCCGCCCACAGACCTAGATACCACGTACCACTTGTGTACTGGGGAGACAAAGCCACCCTCAAGGAGATGTTAGTCTAGTTGGAAGATAGAACAGAATGATATGAAATTGGAAGTGCCAGCTGTGCTGAGAGGCAACAAAAAGTGCTGGGAGGACAGAGGAGGGTAGAAGACAATAGAAAGGGGAAGATAAGACCTGCTTAGAGTAGTAAGAGCCTGGCCTGGTCTGGCCAGGGCCATGGGTATGTCCTGAAAGAAGTGGTGAAGCTGGGAGTCAGTGGCAGAGGGCCTTGTACCAGGCTGAAGAATCTCACCTTGACCCTGTAGTCCATGGAGAAATCAGTCCAACTGCAGAACCCAGGATAGACTGCAGGCAGGATGATCAGGAGGCAGAGAGACGAGTTAGAAGACTGTCAGAGAGTCCAAGCATGAGCGGGTCCAACTACATTGGGAGAGGGTAGAGGACAAGGGGTACAGGAGGAGTAGGGAGTGAAGGACACTGGTAAGGCTCTAGATTGTTAATTGTACATCAAAGAGAGCATTTGCCTGGGTCATGTTCCCAGTAACCTGGCTTTAATCGTTTAGGTTCACAAGAACGCCAGGATAAATTACGAGACATGGGCATCGTAGATATTCTACACAAACTGAGTCAGTCACCAGATTCAAACCTTTGTGACAAGTGAGTATGAATGTGAAAAGGCCTTGCTTTGGGCTGTGTTGGATTCTTTCGTGAAAGGGTTTGAATTGCTTGGTAATTAATGGCCATACTTTTTAAAATCTTTTAGATTCTTAGATTTTCTTCATAATTTTCTATGAGCCACTGTACGACATTTGAGTGAGCTGTAAACTAATAATTACCAAATTATTAAAGACTCTCATCTTATTGTGAATTCACGTGAGTCTGGGCCATCTTAGTGGATTGGATCCAGAGGCCATTTGCGTACATTCGCCTGATCATTAGAATAGACATGCATGTGGCATTTTGGAAAGCAGAAAAACCAGTAATGCAAACATTCATTAGCTCAAAACCTCACTGAACACCCGTTTTGTGCCAGGCTGGCCCAGCTCCTGGGGATACAAAAGCTACCACTAAGGAATCACTGTCCTCAAAGAGCTCATCATTTCCTGGTAGAGTCAAGAGTTATAATCAGATACTCAGCTAACCTCAAAATAGCCATAAATGCTCTTCCTAGCTGTGTGTTCTCCCTTGTAACAGCCTTCACTTTCCATTTCACCTTTGTATAATAACAAATCAGGGAACATCAGTACTTTTGAGTCTCTAGACTCTTGAGCATGGCTTAGAAGCCCTTCAGCCCTTAATGGTCTGGCTCTGCCTTTCTCATCTTCTCTGCACCCACCATGTACACCCCATACTGCAGCCATACCTGTCCGCTTACAGTAGCACACCTTCGTGCATTTACACATTCTGTTCCATCTACTTTGCTATCCCAGTCTCCTCTCCTCTGAGTCCCCATTCATTCATCAGATATCTCTTTTGAATACCTGCCTTCTGCCAGGCATTGTTTTAGGCACTGGAGATATAATGGTGAATAAAATTGATGAAGTCTTTGCCCTCGTGTAACTTACATTCTAGTATAGAAGATAGATGATAAGCAAATGAATACGTAACACAGTATCAGGTGATGAGAGGTACCATGAAGAAAAATAAAGCAAGGTGAAGGAATGGAGAATCAAGAAAATTTATTTTAGGTTAGCTAGTAAAGATCTCTCTGAGGATGACATGATCAGAGACCTGAATGAAATAAGGAAGATTTCATCTGGGCAAATGCATAGAGGAAGAGTATTACAGACAGGGGTGATAGTGGGTTCAAAGGCCCTGAAGCAGGAGTGAACTTGGTATGTTCAAGAAACAGCAAGAAGAACAGAGGGCTAATGAAAAATATGGAGAGGGAGAATGCTAATAGGTGGAAGAATCCAGACCATGAAGAGCCTTGTAGGTAAGGTAAGGACTTTGGCTTTTATTCAGAGTTTAATAGGAAATCATTGGAGACTGTTAAGGAGAGGAGACATTATCTGATTTGAATTCCTTTTTTCCTTTTCCTTTTTCTTTTTTTCTTTCTTTTCTTTTCTTTCGAGATGGAGTTTCACTCTTGTTGCCCAGGCTGGAGTGCAATGGCGTGATCTTGGCTCACTGAAACCTCTGCCTCCTGAGTTCAAGTGATTCTCCTGCCTCAGCCTCCCAGGTAGCTGGGATTACAGGCGCCTGCCACCACGCCCAGCTAATTTTTTTGTATTTTTAGTAGAGACAGGGTTTTACCATGTTGGCCAGGCTGGTCTCAAACTTCTGACCTCAGATCATCCACCCACCTCGGCTTCCCAAAGTGCTGGGATGACAGGCGTGAGCCACCACGCCGGGCCCTGATTTGAATTTTTAAAAGATCACTCTGGTGACTTACAGAGAACCATCTGTAGGAGGGCAAGAATGGAGGCACAGAGACCAGTTAAAGGCCATTGTAATAATGTCGGTAAGGGAGTGGGGGGATTAGTATTGGAAGTATTGAGAAGTGGTTGGATTCAGGATTTAATCTGAAGATAAGCACCAACGGGACTTACTCACAGATTCAGTACAGGATGTTAAAGAGAGGAAAGGAAAATGTCTAGGGTTTTAGCCTGAGCAACTGGACAGAGGGTGTTGCCATATACCAAGATGGTGAGGAATATAGAAGTGGGTTGCGGTAGGGAGCATCAAGAGTTCTTGTTTGGGTATGCCAGCGTTAAGATGCATATTAGATATCCAAGGGACTTGGAAGAGCAGGGCTATAAATCTGAATGGTATTTAAAGCCATGGAGCTGGATGAAGTCTCTTAGAGCAAGTAAAAAGAGAGAAAGGAGGACTAAGGACCAAGATCTAGAGTCCCTCCAGCATTTAGGCAGTGATGAGAAAGATGCAGCAAAGGAGCAGAAGGAACAGCTAGTGAGGCAGGCAGAGACTCAGGCGCATAAGGTGTCCAGAAAACAAAGGAAAAAGATGCCTGGACGGTGGCCGTTTATCCTTCAAAACTCATATCAGGTTGCTATGTCCTCCAAAAAGCCTTGCCTGACCCACTCTCCACCCTCCCCTCCAGGCTTTGCCAGGGATGCCTTTTGTGCTCCTGTAGCATCTGTAGAACACGTCACACTGTGTCTTGGCTGTCAGGTTGTCTGCTCCACTGAAGGGGAGAGGAACTTAACTAACTCCTCTGAAGTAAATGGCTCTTCCAGATTGTGAAGCACACAGGACAGGCTAGGCCTCTGCTTCCCCGAAGCTTACCATCCTGTAGGCTAAAGAAGAATAACTAGGCTGGGCGCGGTGGCTCACGCCTGTAATCCCAGCACTTTGGGAGGCCGAGGTAAGCGGATTATGAGGTCAGGAGTTCGAGACCAGCCTGGCCAACATAGTGAAACCCCGTCTCTACTAAACTCCAAAAATTAGCAGGGCATGGTAGTACGTGCCTGTAGTCCTAGCTACTGGGGAGGCTGAGGCAGGAGGATCACTTGAACCCAGGAGGCAGAGATCGTGGTGAGCCGAGATTGCACCAGTGCACTCCAGCCTAGGCAACAGAGCAAGACTGTCTCAAAAAAAAAAAGAAAAGAGGAAGAAGAACTAAAAAACTGCAGCCCAAGGCTGCTGGTCAGATGAGTGTACCATCAAAGTCAAGTCCATCCACATGCTGAAGGCTGGATCTGAGCTTGTACCTTGAGGACTGGAACCTCCACCTCCACAGCTGCTGGCATAAACAGTGGGCTCTGTCAGCCCATCTTTTCTACCTGAGAGCCAGGTTGTTCACTGGGGGTTTTATCTCATATTTATTCAGAAGTAAAAACAAATTTTACTTAAAATCATCTCAAGGATGACATAGGATGGTAGGATAGGCCTTACCAGCATCAAGTGGGATAGGTTTAGCCTGCTTGCTTAGACCACTCTGGTGCTGTTTTCACATAAGTTTTTAGCTCTTCTTAAACGTAAACCGTAAAATAATAGAATCAAGGTCTGAGCTACCCAACCTGAGTCCATCTAAGAAAGGGTGATCTTGCCTCCAAAACCATTCTTCTAAAAAGACTCCTTAGATAATGACAGTAGAAAGACAATAAAGGTACAGTCTCTGAGACCCAAAATAATCAAACCTAGCCAACCTCTGAATAAGATCCAGAAGGAGTTTGAATTTGGCAGATTTAAAGAGCAATACAGAATTTCAATCAAGACCCTCAGTTAAGTACAGTAAGGTCTATCACCTGAAGAATATATCTCTCAGGTTCCTTTTGTCGTTAAGACTTTGATCCTTTGACTTTCAGATGCTTACAGATGAGAAGCTATTGCTAACCAGCCCTCTCCACCCAGGCTTGGAGGGCTTCAGGGTTGCAGGGTCCCAGAGCTCCCGCCTCCATCAGAACTGTTCTTCTCAGCCTCTTTAAGTATTTGGGGAGTCAGGTGGATGGTCTGTGGCATCATTCATAAACTTGTTTCTGAAAATGTCCTTGTAGAACCCTACTTGCTCATAACTTGGAGATAATCTTTCTAGAGCTTTCTGTTCTGATGGATTGGACTATTCACAATATCATCTTTAGAGTCTTATATAATTGCAAGAATACACCTTAGTATACCACTTAAAAAACTGTTGTGTCCATTACTGCAGAAACTGCACTTGAATCCAGCTTATTGTATGCATAGTCTACTTGGTATTAGTTTGATCAGCTATTGTACCTGAACATTGTAGACTTTCTTTCCATAGCTTAGAAGAGACCATTGCTGAAACCTGACTTCCTAACTCCCACGATTACAGCCTCTTTAGAAACTTTACCATGTTTGTGATAGGAATAGTAAAGGAGGCCTCCTTGGGCCCACCTCAAAGGAGGCCACTTTTACAAGGATCAGGATAGATTAAGTCACTGTTCACATTATTTTTTGGTTTGTTTTTTGGGTTTTTTTGTTTGTTTTTTGTTCTTTTTTTTTTTTTGAGATGGAGTTTCACTCTTGTCGCACAGGCTGGAGTGCAATGGCACCATCTCAGCTCACTGCAACCTCCACCCACCAGGTTCAGGCCATTCTCCTGGCTCAGCCTCCGAAGTGGTTGGGATTACAGGTGCCCGCTGCCACACTCGGCTAATTTTTGTATTTTTGGTAGAAACAGGGTTTCACCGTGTTGGCCAGGCTGGTCTTGAATTCCTGACCTCAGGTGATCTGCCCTCCTCAGCCTCCCAAAGTGCTGGAATTACAGGTGTGAGCCACAGCACCCGGCCTACATTCTATCTTTTCCTTTCCACCTGGCCACCTTCTTCCCCCATCACCGTAACAACACACATCTCACATTGATCAGTTATGGTGTCATCAGGTGTGATGAGAAGAACAAGATGAAATTGTAGCCTTCTTCCACGGTTCTGAGGCATGTGAAGCATAAGACAGCCTCATCCCATGGGCTCTTGGCCCCTTCCATGCACCTTCTAATCACCTCAACACCATTTCCTCGGTCAGTTTTCTTATTTGCTTCCCAGAACCCTAAGTGTTCTCCCTAGTGTTGTGCCTCACTGCATAAAACCTACATGGCAGTAAGAAAAAGTAAAGAATGTAAGACCTATCACAACTATATGCCAGTGACAAAAGAAAACATAGAATGTCAGCACATACCAGGGACTGTGGAATGTCACTGAGCTGCAGCAGGTTTAAGTGCAGGAACAGCCCTCTGAGAGATCCACAGGAAGAAGAATATAGCCAGAGTAGATTTCAGGTGTCTACCCACTGCAGATCTCTTCCCCTTAAGGTAGGTGCCCACCTGGGCTCACCCCAATTCCCTCTGGAGATTTACTTTTTTAGACTTCCCCAGCTATCATCATTGAACCATAGGGTTTTTTACCCCAATTACAATTCTGAGATGATGGCTAACAGGAATTTTGTGATTTCAGGGCAAAGATGGCACTGCAGCAGTACCTGGCATGATGGGAGTGCCCCTGGGCACCTGCGAGCATCCCACCTCCTTGTTTAAGGAAGTACAGGAACCAGCCTCATTTGATTCCTTCTATTTGCACAAGTCACCTTGGACTGCAGGGAGCTGTTTTGCAAAAGCAGTTTAGTAGGCTTAGATCTCAAATTCATCTTGAGAACATTTTTTTGAGGTAGTAATTTCCTCAGAAGACTCTTGTGTTTTGTTTTGGTTTTTTTTTCTGAGCTACTCGGACTCTTTATTAGAACAATCAATCATTTTCCTTTGGACCTACAATTTTTGCCTATGCTGCAGCCACTTTGTGAGTGAGAATGAATATGTCTGTGTGAACACACAGGCATGCGTGTGTATGTGCACGTACATGGGCCAGAATGAATGGATGTGTGTGTGTGAGGGATACCTCAGATTTTTCTTTTCTTATTTTGTGTGAAAATCTCTTTTCTACAGATTTTCCAGGGTTTAAGCATTGCTTGCTGTATAAAAAACTTTACTGAATTATATACAGTTTGAATGAAATGTTATTTTAAAAACAAAACAATTGTTAAGTGTTCCATAAAGGTTATGTTGAATTTTGGTCAGATGAATATTTGTAAGTAAAAAATATATGCATTTCTGAACCTCAACTTACATAGATTTTCTTTATATAAAAAAAAAGAAAAAAAAAGAAAAAGTTGGCTATAGTTGGCCTGATTAACAGGCACTATACATGGTGCTGTGCAAAATAGTAAGCTAGCATCTTACTGCCGTCAATATTAGCAGGTACAGAGCCTTTTTTCATCCTAATTCAGTAAGTTCTCAGGCTTCCAAGTCAAATGGAGAAGTAAAGTGAGGCAACAGATTCACCATAGGCTTTTTGAAGCATCAAAGGGAAATATAACTACTGATAGTGAAAGCCCAGCCATGACCCAGATGGGCTTACCCTTGACAGGAACTGGGGACCAAGAGCCTCCCAATTGCCCTAACTCCTGTCATTGGTATTAGCAATATCTGGCCAGATTTAGAACCAGTCATGGAAACTTGTGCTCAAACTAAAAGTAGGTCATCACTTCCCAGAAACAGAATACCTTGTGCTTCCTGAAACAGCATATATCACTGTGAAACTAAAGAATATTCTACAGACACCCCTGTAGAAAGAAACAAAGAACAGGATAGTTTAGAAAGCTTTCTGTTAGCTGTATTCAGCAAATTTCATACTAGTTGCTCAGGACTGCTAGTTGGTATGCTTTTGTAAAACGAGATTGAAATTTAATAAAAGATGCAACTAAAATCTTTCCTGCATGAAGCTAAAAGCACTCAAGTTGAGAGAGGGGCAAGGGAATCTCCCCAGGATGACTGAAGATGACTTCTTTTTACAGCAAGTACTGTTAGCCTTTCTGCACCCCTTAGCTTGGCCCCTGCTCCAACTTCTGGGTCAGCAGCAAGGTGAACTCAACAGAAGTTGCTCTTGACTGTTTGAAGGTAGAAGCAGCCTACCTTTTCTCTTTGCTAAAAGAAGGTCAAAGGCTTCGCAACCAGGATGCAAGGTCTGCGGTCCAGAAGCTTGCGGTGAGTGTGTGCCACTGATGGAGCTCCAAGCCCACCCACCAGCCACTCCTGATGGGGTTGCTCACACTGCAGCTGCCCTATCACCACCCTGCACGTTCCTTGGAAGATTTAAATGTTTGGTTGCAAATGAATGTTTTAAAAATGTATTTAATGCAATTTTTCCTGCTCTCAACATGACCACCCAAGATTCAAACACAGAGACTTCCAAGTTACTATTTTTTCAGAACATCACCGATTTTAAAATCTGTCACAACAGGACTTGGTTTTGTGCAGATATCAGAGTGCTAATGTGAGAAACCCAGTTAAAAGAAAACTTAGTTTATTGGGAAGAAAGCCTCAGGCCCACTCGTTTCTAGAACTGTGAAAATATCCTTGGTTGGCATTTTTAACACAAAACACTATAGTGTTGGTATTAAATAGTACTAGGTAAATATAAAGAAACCAATAATGAATTGCTGAGACAATCTTGAACCCAAATAGCATTAGAAAGCTGAAGGCCCAATGAAATAACACTTTCACACTTAAACTCTGTGGATAAATTTTGCCTGTGGGTATAAACAGATGGTCAAATTAAAAATGCTTTACTATAATTAACTTTTCTGATTTGAATGAAGGGAAATGTATTTATTGAAACAAAGCTGTTTGCTGCTTTATGCAGGTGCAGTGTTCAGTCAGCAAGGAAGTGGGAAGAGTGGACATGGTATTGTGTCTACACCCAAGTTCTTAACTAAGCTTCTCGCTCTAATACTGCATTCTGTTTCTCCTTTTGTGCCCTGATTGTAATCCAAAATTTATGAACTAGAAAAGAATGTCCAATTTAATAAGTTGCATTTTTTTTTCTTTAAGCACTTTATTCAGAACAATACATGTTCTTCTGGTAGTGTTTGGATAATATGATTTTAACACATGCTAATAAAAGCCAAGAAAAATCATGGCAACTTCTAAAAAGGAGTCTGTTTTCCAAATGTCTAGAACATTAGGAAACATCAGAAGATAATGTGTACACGCTTTTGGAACCTGTGATTCTTGGTAAATGAAGGGCTGGGAAGTGGCTTTGCATTTCAGAGTGGGACCCAGTGCCTTAAGGTAAGTGTGGTTCCCAGAGGCATCTGCAGCAGTCTGGGGACCCCTCTCTTTTTGGCCTCCTTCTGAAGGCCAGCAGACCCTTCACAGGTGGCCACTCCCAGCCACAAGATATCCCATCCCCAATATCATGTCCACCCCCTCCATCCTCTTCTCCTTAGGTATGCCCCATCTCCACTACCACCAGCTTGCATCTCCACTACCACAGTATGCAAGAGCTTGCTATCCCTCTGCAAGGACACACAGGTGCTCTTCGTCTACTACGCACTGCCACCTTTTCCCATCTCTGAATTGTAGGCACATCTCCTATCTCAAGGCCTCACTGGAAACAAAGCCAAGGACACCTGCGCCAGAGTGGCGGGAGGATGATGAGGTGGCTAGCAAGAGAGGGAATAATCATGGTGGGAACCTCTGAGAGGACCCAAGGTAAGGCGAAGAGAGTAGGAGCAGGGCCAAGCAGGCCCCTGTTTCCCATAACTACCACAGGAAAACTTGGAAGTGAGGTCTAAGGAGGGAAGGGGGACTCCCACCCCAGATCTTGATGGAGGGCTGACAGAACGGTTCCAATTTCTTGCCACCTGGGGTAGGAACTGGTGCTGTCCCCATCCTGCCCCTTGCCTGTTTACTGGGCAGAGAGGCACATGTTTATTTCCAGCATGAGAGAAGGTCCAGGATCTGGCTTTAGGGAAGGCTGAGGGAACCCCCCAAGGGCCACTGAGTGGACTACTAAGCCACCTTTTCTCTATCTCTGCAGCCCCTGGCTCCTGGCTTTGGCAAGCAATCTGCCCTCAGGCTGAGTGGAGGTCCAGAGCCAGTCCTTAAAACCACCCTCCTTGACTTCATGGAGCCCAGCCTGCCCTCCTCGTCAGGCACTCACACCCAGGAGCCGAGGGATCTTAAAGCCAAAAACAGCACCCATCCTTTACTTCCATATTTGCTTCTGTTGTGTGAAACCAGGCCTAGGGTCTCCGCCAGTGAGTTCCATCCTCTGGGAGTGGGCTGATATTTGAGCCACTCTCGGGAACCCCCTTACACCCCATTCCCCTGTTCCTTATGCCATGAAACTTGTGGACTCTTAGAGATGCCCTGCAATGCTGAACCCACAGCATCCCTGAGTCACCAGTAATGGGAGGAAGGGGCATGTCACCATTCCTCCCACTCCTGCCCCATCACCTAGTGCCCCACTTTGCTTTACCACTGCCCTGCCCAGCTACTTCATCCATCACTGACACAAGAACACTCCCCGCCGACAGGCTCAGTTCCCCAACCTCATTTTCCCCTCTCTCCCCTGCTTTGGGAGGTCCTGGTGGCTCCATCTCTCATCTCACCAATGTTGGAAGATCCTTGGCTTCCCAGATTCTGGGGAGATCAGATGGCTGTCAGCTGGGTGCACCCCCTCCAAGTAGCTCATTCAGAGCCACACACACCTGTGGTGTGGAAGCCCAGGCATAGGGCTTCTCCAAGTCGTTTGCCACTCGTGAAGTGGGCACAGACCATATGGGCCCCACTCTTGAGCCCACTCCCAAAGGGAAGAGCACAGCCCCATGGTGGGCTGTGAGTCTGGGGATCTGGAATAGTGCATCCAGCTTCCTGACAGGTCCTGTCAGTGAGGGCTCTGTTGGGCACATTGAGATCCTGTACAGGTTCCGATGAGCACTGTGGACATGTGTGTTTCCATCCAGGGGTGGCACGAGGTCCTGGGAAGGACAGTGGCCTTAAACAGTAGGGCCTACTGAAGGTCACTGGCCTTGGTTCCCAACTGTGGGGACTGACTTATCCGTGTGTCCCCTGAGCACAGAGTGTGTTGTGGTAGGCTGACGAAGTGTGATGCACCCACGAAAATGTCCTCTGGGAGCTAACTGCCCATTTAAAGAACCTCAAGTCATGGACAAAACCAGCAAGGAGGAAGACGCTGGCATTTGCTTCGTGGTGTAGAAAATGGCCTTCTCCTCAGATAGGAAAAAGTATGCCGGCACTTGGCAAATTTACAAATAAAGTCGTTAGAGGGGGTGGCATTGTGTGCTAATAATTCCCAAGTGGTCATAATAGCTACTTTTTACTGAAATCCTGTGTCCCTCCAGGGAAGAACTGCAGAGGGATGGCTAAGCCAGGCAATTCAGTGGGAGCTGAAGGCAACCTGGCCCCACTAGGAGCTCTCAGCTTTTAAATTTAAGTGTCAGCCAGAATCAGAAGCCAGAGAAATGGGGGAGGGATGCGTCAAGAAAATTAGATGAACCCTGGTTCCAAATTTAATGTCTGAGCATTGCTTTATGAACATGCCCTGGTAATGGAGAACTGCAGATGGGGAAATCTGGCAGCATTAAATGACTGTTGGTGTGACTTGGGCAGGCAGTGTGAGGAAGCATTTGGAGCCTATTTATATCTGCCTCGGCATCAGTGTGCCTGGAAGTGTCATAGTCAATCTTGCTGCACTGTTTTCAAGCTCATGGTTACCAAATTAAGTTCTAAAATTGTTTAATTCATAAGGTAGATTTATTGTTGGGGAAACACCATCTCATATAACCCAGTATCCTCTGAGATGACACTTATATCTCACAACAGGATGTAATAACTGATGTTCAATTATTTTGTAAAATCCCAAAGACAGAGAAAAAAAACTGCGTTCTACATACTGTTTAATAAGGCAGAAAAGTATATACTATTCTCTTTCTTTACTTTTTTTTTTATTATTATTATTAAGATGGAGTCTCACTCTGTCACCCAGGCTGGAGTGCAGTGGCATGATCTCGGCTTACTGCAACCTTCACCTCCCGGGTTCAAGCGATTCTCATGCCTAAGCCACCCGAGTAGCTGGATGACAGGTGCACACCACCACGCCCGGCTAATTTTTTGTATTTTTAGTAGAGACAGGGTTTCACCATGTTGGCTAGGCTGGTGTCAAACTCCTAATCTCAGGTGATCCACCTGCCTCGGCCTCCCAAAGTGCTGGGATTACAGGTGTGAGTCACTGCGCCCAGCCATATTATTTTCATTGTCTACAAAAGACAGCTAAACCAAAAAGTATTGGTACTCAAAAGAGTAAGTTCCGATTCCGGAGGTCTGTTTTGTGCAGTAGACCCCTGGTCACGTGCTCTGGAAGAGCAGCACAGCCATCTCAATCCACATCCTCAGGAAAGCAAAGCGCCTCAGTGGGCCCCGCTGTTGCTTCAGCCTCACCGCCTGTGGGATGACAGATGTTTGGTAGGACTCCTGAAACAGCCCTGTCCCAGACCTTCTGTCCCACCCACCATCCACAAAGAAATAGGAAGTTAAAGGTCAGAGCAGGAGGGTCAGCAAAGAAGTCCTGATACGTGTTAGGGACCAGGAATTAAATAAATTAGAATGGATAACATTGAGCATTTAATTTGTGTCAGATGCCAGACCAAGAGCTTTACATCCTGTCTTTCATCTTCACAACAGCTCTATGATGAAGATTTTTATTATGAAGCTATTTGTGGTTATGACGAGTCTATCATTATCTCCATTTCACAGATGAGGAAACTGAGGCCCAGAAAATGTAAGTAACTTTTCAGAGGCTCTTCAGCTGGGGAATAGTGGAGCCAGGATTCAAACCCGGGATTGTCTATCACCTTGACTCCTGCCTTTTTTTAGCAGGAATAGTGCTAACTACAGTGGAGGCATATGCTGCTCCCCAAAGCTGAGAGACAGTGACATATCAGAATAAATGGGCAGAACAGCACCCCAGCCAGGCTGCCAGTGTCCAAAGGAGGCTGTGCACTTATTCCCAGGATGTGGTCTGCAGATAGCCCCTTTTCTTATCACCTGAGGCCAAAAAGTCAGTCTCATGATCTTCCAGCACTCCCAACAGCCCAGTGAGAACTTCCCAGCCACCTGCCACAGACTTGGCTCTGAGTTACAGCCATTTGCTTCCAATCACCACCCCCCATTCCCAAAAGCTTGAAGGTGCCCCACAACCCTGGACACATAAGGAAATGCATCATGGACTCTCTGAGGGCAGGTCCCAGAGGAAAGCTGGCCTGGAGTGTCAGTGGGTCTCTGATCCACATAGAGCCACACTTCCCAAGAGTTCCTGGCTCCCCAGCCTCTGTGGCACGCTCAGCTTGTTCCTCAGCTGGCAGTGGGAATAATTCTACTTCATAGAGCAGTGGCAAGTCCACCTATTTTGACTTGGCTGCATTTCAGATCTTGAGACCATGAGCATATCAAACATTTAGGCAAATATATTGATTAAAACCCAAACATTTAGACACACATTTCAGATGTGAATGTGACCTCCCGAGAATCCAACCCTCACATCCTTTGGGTTTTCCCAAAATAATCATCTCCCAGCCTCTTCCACTCATTTCATGCTCAAACCAGAGACATGTAATGCAGCAGTTCCACTGGTTGTGGGGTAGACTGAGTCACATGGGCTCCGGACCCCTTGGGGTTCTCACCCAGATTTGGAGGTGGCATTGCCACCTGGCATGCCTTTCCCAGAGGCTGTCCGAATGCTTCCCATGAAGGGAAGGTCCTAAACAACGGTCATGCATTGAAATGTGGTGTTGAGGGAGATGAAGTCACAGCAGGCTCCAGGTTGAGGGCCCTTCCGTATAGCTGCGTTTCTCAGTGAGCCCTTAGGGGCTTAACATGGAGTGTGTGGAGCAGGTCTGGCCTCTGACTGGCTTTGAGGTAGGCTTTCAGAAAGTTAATGAAATTTTCCCAATGGTTTCCACAGGGAAATGCAAATAAAGTACTTTTTGTAACAAAAATATGACTCCAAGATAAGCAGCAAAAAATTTAATGAGGTATTAAAAAGCAACACTGTTGCTCTATGAGAACACAAAACAGTTTAGTATTGATAATCAAGTTATATAATGACCTGTATTTTCAGAACAGGACTGTATTAGGTTGAAGACTTAGTTACCAAAAATTATCAATCCCCCACACACTCAAGCACATAGTTACAAATTCCTTGTATCTATGATTTAATAAAGACCAAGTCTGCCTTGATGACTTACCCTGAGGGGCTTCTGTATCTTTGTCTGAAAATTTCAAACTGGGGAAGAGCAATGCCAGTTCTCTGTCAGCATCTTCTCTGTCCCGGCTTCCATGGACGGCATTGAAGGGCATTTCTGTGCCGTACTGAGCTCGGAGACTGGGAACATTGGCAAAATGTAAAAGAAACAATTGTTTCATTTGAAAAGAAATGTTTTGCTTTCTGGCAACATGATCACCGACTACCAATCAGCACCCTGCATTCCTGTGAAATTGATTTCTCTGCAGGAAATACCAAGAACAGCAGCAATGATAATAGCAGCTGGCATTTATTTGGTCATGGCAGTGTGCTGGGCACATAGCTGGGTACTTTACCTACACGATCCCATTACATTTTCGCCACAGCTCTATGAGGGAGTCTACTGTTACCCCCATTTTAAAGATGCATGATTAATGGTGTAAGCACAGGAGCTGCCATTTTTTCGATATTACTACCAAAGGCTAGCACCATACCAAGTGCTTGATAAAGTTGTGCATAGTTATCCTTGCAATAACCTCGTAAGATAATATTGCTATGATTTCCTGTGTGTCAAGCACTACTCGGTGAGATATATACATGTATGTATACACAATCCTGATGGATGCTCATATCCCCGTTTTACAGTTGAGAGAACTCAGGCTGAGAAGAGACTTGCAGTGACCTAAGATCTGAATCCTGAGCTGGCTTTCACTAGCCCAGCCTGCCTCATATATAAATGTTCCTGGTCCCCTACACCTACAAAGTACAACTGCAGTTCCTTGGCTTCTCTAATTTCTTTCCTGTTGTCTGGGCCTGTCAGCTTCAAAGGCCAAGGTAAAGTGGATTTGGATTGCTGGCGCCAAGCTAAATACTCCCAAGTCCAAGGAGCAGGCCAAGCAAGCCCAGTGCAATGTGCAGAACAAGGTACTCAGACTCCCGAGGGCCTCAGACACCCTGATGGGGAGTAGGTTTGGATGGCATTGAGACTACAGTGCAGATTCTCAGGCCCTGGCCCAGAGTCTCTGATTGACAGGCTTGAATGGGGCCCTAGAATCTGTATGTTCCTGGGAGTACCCTGTGGAATCCTCTGGCCGAAAAGAGAAAACAGCGACTGAGGAATGAATCCAGAAGCAGCCTTCAGAAGAGGACAGAGCAGGAAGAGGAAGCAGCTTACAGGAGGCCCTCAGCAAAGGCTGAGGACTGGAACAGAGCGGGAAGATGTCAGGGTCTCCCCAAATATATAATAGAGAGCCTGGCCATCAGAGAGTCCTCTGTGTTACCCATGATTCTAGGCTGAACACTGAGTGGGACTCAGCCTCCTGGGATGCAGGTTTTAAGATGGATGAAAGGACCACAGCTGGTGACATCACCTTTCTGGCTGCTCCCTCCTGGCCACATTGGGGTCACGGGGGCCCATGACGGTTCGCCAGGTAGTGACCACGTCCTCGAAGCCCTCAGTCCTGGTGAGGATCAGGAGGTGGCTTGGTCCACTGCACATGTGATGTACCAGCTTCTCAAATGCCTCCTAGGCACAGGGAGGGAAAACAGTGACCAGGGCAGGAGCTGCTAGGGCCTGCAGAGGATCAGCGAGCCCATCTCACCCACGGAATGGGAGGGAGTTAGTGAGCAGCCTTGCTACCAGCCAGCATGCCCGTGGCCACTCAGCCACTGCACCCTGTCTCTGCCTGGCCACCTCTGCCTGCTGTGGAGGGTGTCAGGGATGGGTGGTAGTGATGACCTACCACACTCAGAACTCAGAATGACGAGACTTTTAAGTTGACTCATTTGGGAATAAACGTGAGATTATATAAATTAGGCAGAGACATTTAAAAGACCATATCTATGGAAATCGTGTGATGCTGGATAACCAAGGGCTGAAATATAGTTGGTACTTTTTTTCTTTTCCATGCAATGCCTCACAACCCTTCCTCCCTCTTCAAGTAACAGTACTCTGGTTTTCCTTTGGGGAACAGCCCTTACCCATTTCATTTGGTCCAAGTTTGACTGACAACCATGGGATGCCTATTCCCCAACACACACACACACCCCTGACCTGAGAGGAAGGGTTCTGACCCAAGCTAAGCCAAGAAGACTCCCAAGCAGGTGGGTTATCAGCAGAAGCAAATGGAAGGTAGTTAGATCTGAGTTATCCAATGGCAGTATCTAAAGTGATATGCTCGAGGCTTTGCTTCGAGATCCCTAGCTTCCTTTTGTCTCCAAGCCCTTCTCATTAAACTCTCCCTTCAATTCTGTGAGTTATGGACTTTCCTTCTAATAAATTCCTTAATTCATTTCTTAGAGAGAAAACCTTTTCTTTGCAACCAAAAAACTTTACCTGATACAGCCTATTGTCATTCTGAGAATAAATTCATGACCCACTTGCTGTTCCTATTTTGGTTCTTCATAATTTCTTCTGTCACAAACTGATATCAATCTATAAGCATAATGTTGGAGGAAGAGAAACGACAGTGTGTTGAACTTGTGGAAGTAGATGAGCTGACCTCTCCAGCTTTGTGTTGGTAGAAAAGTCGCACTTCTGCCTCTGTCATGGTTCTCTCTTCATTTGTTAGAATTTCAAACCCAGCTTCCTGAATCTGTAGAATATATATAAATATTCTAAAAGGGTAAATCAAGCCCAAATTCACATTGATTAATTAATTTAGTTGAAAGGTAAAAAATAAAGACAGGCAACATTAAAGGCTGTGGAGACACTGATCCCCACATTATCTGTCCCAATCAGATTTAACATTTTCATTTACTTGAATGGAACTTGAGCTACAACCCCTTAGAATTCATCTTTCTGCACTAAGATATCACTGCCCAGTGCCCCATCCCTGTTTATCCACAAAAGAGGACACAAGGACAGTGGTGCATGGTAAGTGTTGTCTCTCTTACCTTCATGATAATCTCATCAGTCTTTCCATGGGCCACTGCATCTGGTTTAATGATGGCCAAGGTACAGGTCCTCTCTGATGAAACTAAGCCAAAAAATGGTGCTGTCAGATGCTGATGTTTGAGGCTCCTGAGAGGCCATCCACAAAAAACAATGCAACCTCTACACAAGGCTCCATTGCACCAAGTGCCAGGCACAGGCTTGGGCTCTCAGAGTTCCCTTCCCTGGCCTCTTAGTTTTGCCCCTGCAAACCTGGACTCTGGTGGATGCACCAGTCTGACTCCAGACCTGAGGCCAGACCTCAACCTCCATCTTGCTGCAAGGAACAGAGACTCAGAGACTGGCTCAATGAACCTGGGCAGGTGGCAGAGGAGGAACATGGGAGAAGGGATTGCTCAAAGACTGCTTGGGACCAGAAATCCAGAAACAACTGAATTGAGTTGGCCTGGGGAGTGGGAAGAAGAGGAGGTATAGGAGAAAGTGAGAGGGGGGCCTGGAGCATGGGCAATACAGGCCTGGCTGCCCTCACCCTCTCATGATTCCCAGCACTCTACCTGCTGTCTGCCACGTGCTCTCCTTTCACTCTACTGGCTCCTGTGCCTCTGATACTTTTTCCCTTTCCTGCCATGTGGCTAAAAATGGCTCCTCCAGGCCCTGAGTCTGCATGATGTTCCATGACTTCTCAGCTCCAGCACATACTACCAGATTGCAGTTTCAGTAGTCTGTCTCCGTTCAAGTTCTCCTGAGAGAAGCCAGATTGCCCCACTCATTGGTTTTAGCCAAGGTACCAGCCCTAGCTCACTGGCCAGTCTGCTGATTGACTGCCCTTGAATAAGCATCCACCAGTCCAATTAGCTATGACAATGAGGGAGGTGCCACAGGATCAGAGTCCACTGCTTAGTCCCACAGGAGCTGTAGGGAGGTCTGTGTCTAGTCCATGAGCCCATCTCCATTGTCCTCCTGCTTATATTATATAAACTTGTCTTGGATGAGTTATCTACACTCTCCACAGAATCATCATTCTCCCATCACCTATTTTGTTTCTCAGCTTTTACATTGGTTGTGTTGAAATGAAACAAGACAATATCTACATTTAACGAGGGCTTCTACTCTGAAAAATCTCAAAAACATGTACTGCAAATGTATAAATCATTTCAAGCAACAAATCTGTTATTTCTTTCTGACATTACTATTTCTAACGTGTTATGAATATTTAGATTTTAAGAGAGTTTTACAATAAATTCCATTATAAATTGATTAGTGAGATCACCTAGAGGTAGAGGAAGAAGAAAAGAGACCAAAGCAGGGGCCTGGGGTGCTCCAGGTTAAAAGGGCAGCACAAGAAAAGAAGCCAATGAAGGAGAAACTGAGGAGAGGCCAGAGACATAGAAGGAAAACAAGAAAAGTTGTGACATCTCAGAAACCGGAAGAGAAGGTTTTGAGAAGGAAGACATTGTGAACATCATCCCATTCTGCAGAAAAATCCCATAAGATATGAACTGGTAACTACCTGTTGGTGCCACCAATGAGCACCATTTCAGGGAGTAGTGAGCGCAGAGGCCAGATTGCTGCAGGTCGGGGCATGAATGGAAAGTGAAGGTGGCCTAGAGTGTGGACAAAGGAAGCTTGGCTGTGAATAAGAGGAAGGCTAAGGAAGGGTAAGGGCGGTATCTTAGATGGTTTTCTACGTGGGAGAGACTTGATTTGGGAGGAAATCATGGAGGAGGGAAGAAAGAGGAGATGATGCAACAGGGGAGCAACAAATGTCTCCTGCAGAATCACAATCACTGATTTTCTCTTCACCCTTGAAGTTTTGCTGTCCTAAACTGTGCCTTCTCCGTTGTTAGAATCCAACTCAAACAATTCTTATTCTCCACACATGTAAAAACAGCCTATTTCAAGCAATAATTTAAAAAATCTTCCTCCTCTTATCAACACAGTTCCTGAGCCTAATTCTGGTTTTCCCTCATGTCTCAGTTACCACCAAGAGACACCGTCCCAGCAACAGCCTTCCTAACTGTTAGCTTTTCTTCATTCTGTCAGGTCAAGTTGTTCTCATATGAAGGGTTCAAGAAGTACTGTGATACCCAGGAGTGTAAAATCTGCAAGTTAATATTTGGGGAACACAGGAAAGAGGTTGTAGGGCTCTGGGAAGGAAAGGTTTTCTAACATTTAAGAAAGAGGTGAAAAAAGAAGCTTGAGCTTTTTTAAAAAGTTCAAATAAGAACTAAGGAAATAACAGCATCATTGCTTTCGATTATTGGTGTTGCTACCCTCCATTTTATTACATGCAGCTTTTTTGATGCCTGGTAATTGCGATGAAAGTCACACGTGTTATATTTGAACATAAAATGCTGTGAAATGTGCCCAAAATGCTGATAAAGATCCAAAAAGATATTTGACACAGTATGTTTGAAGTCAAGTGACTGGAGACAAAATATTTTATGGTTAAGCTTCCCAGAGTCTTTCCAATTTATCTAGCAACAGGCTTCTCAATAGAAACTATATAGGCCAGGAGGCAGTGGAATGACATTTCCAAAATACTGAAAGAAAAAAAAAAAAAAAAAAAAAAAACTGTCATCCAAGAATACTGTACCCAGCAAAGCTATCCTTCAAATATGAAGGCAGGCCAGGCATGGTGGCCCAGCACTTTGGGAGGCTGAGGTGGGCAGATCACCTGACATCAGGGGTTCAAGACCAGCCTGACCAACAGGGCAAAACCCTGTTTCTACTAAAAATACAAAAAAAAAATTAGCTAGGTGTGGTGGCACATGCCTGTAATCCCAGCTACTGGGGAGGCTGAGGCAGCAGGAGAATCACTTGAACCCAGGAGGCAGAGGTTGCAGTGAGCCAAGATTGTGCCACTGCACTTCAGCCTGGTTGACAGAGTGAGACTTCATCTCAAACAAAAAAAAAAAAAGAAGGAATGCCTAAGGAAATCTTTAATCTGAAAGAAAAAAATACTAATATGCAAAAAGAAGACATTTGAGGTATAAAACCCACTGTTGGCTGGGCACAGTGGCTCACGCCTATAATCCCAGCATTTTGGGAGGCCAAGGCAAGTGGATCACTCGAGGCTAGGAGATCAAGACCAACCTGGCCAACATGGTGAAACCCTGTCTCTACTAAAAATACAAAAATTAGTTGGGCATGGTGGCACACGCCTGTAATCCCAGCTACCCAGGAGGCTGAGGCATGAGAATCACCTGAGCCCAGGAGGCGGAGGTTGCAGTAAGCTAAAATCGCACCATTGCACTCCAGCCTGGGTGACAGAACTAGAGTGAGCCAAGATCATGCCACTGCACTCCAGCCTGGGTGACAGAGCTAGACTGTCTCAAAAGAAAAAAAAAAGCCAGATGCAGTGGCTCATGCCTGTAATCCCAAGACTTTGGGAGGCCAAGGCAGGCAGATCACCTGAGGTCGGGAGTTCCAGACCAGCCTGACCAACATGGAGAAACCCCATCTCTACTAAAAATACAAAATTAGCCAGGTGTGGTGGTCCATGCCTGTAATCCCAGCTAATTGGGAGGCTGAGGCAGGAGAATCGCTTGAACCCAGGAGGTGGAGGTTGCAGTGAGCCAAGATCATGCTAGCCTGGGCGACGAGTGAAACTCCATCTCAAAAAAAAAAAAGAAAAGAAACCAAGACCCAACTATATGCTGCCTACAAGAAACCCACTTTACCTATAAAGACACATAGACTGAAAGTGAAGGCATGGAAAAAGATATTCATTGCAAGTGGAAACCAAAAGAGAGCAAGAGAAAATATACTTAGAGAAGGTCACTATATAATGATAAAGGAGTCAGTTCATCAAGAGTAACAATTATAAATATCTACCCAACACCAGAACACTCAAGTATATAAAACAAACATTAATAGATCTAAAGGGAAAGATAGACTGCAATACAGTAATACAATACTACAATACATAGGGGACTTCAACACCCTACTGTTAGTGATGGACAGATCATTCAGGCAGAAGACAAACGTCATAGTCAAACTGCATACTAGACCAAACAGACCTAACTGATATTTACAGAAGATTTCACCCAACTGCTACAGAAAAGACATTATTTTCATCAGCATGTGGAATATTCTCCAGAATAGAGCAAATTATAAGCCACAAAACTAGTCACAACAAATTTAAAAAAGCAGAAATCATATATATCTTTTCTGACCACAGTGAAATAAAATTAGAAATCAATAGTAAGAGGAACCTCAGAAACTACACAAACACATGAAAATTAGACAACATACTCATGAACAACAAATGCATCAGAGAATAAATTAAAAAGGGAAATTTTTAATTTCTTGAAACAAATGAAAACGGAAATACACATCCAAAATCTACAGGATACAGTAAAAGGAGTAATACAGTAAAGGGGAAGTTTGTAGCAATAAATGCTTACATCAAAAAACGTAGGAAGACTTCAAATAACCGAATGGATGCACCCAAATGCGCTAAAAAAGCAATAACCAAACCCCCAATTAGTACTAGGAAGCAAATAATAAAGATCAGAGCAGAAATAAATGAAATTGAGCCTAAAAAATACAGAAGATCAATGAAGCAAAAAGTTGATTTTTTGAAAAGATAAAATCAACGAAACTTTAGCTAGACTAAGAAAAAGAGATGACCCAAATAAAATCAGAAAGAAAATGGAGACATAACAACTGGAAACCACAGAAATATAAAGAATCATTAGACACTGTTATGAACAACTATACACCAACAAATTTGAAAACCTAAAAGAAATAGATAAATTCCTGGATATATGCAGTCTACCAAGATTGAACCATGAAGAAATAGAAAACCTCAACAAACCAATAACAAATAACAAGATCACAACTGTAATAAAAAGTCTTCTGCCAAAGAAAATCTCAGGACCTGATGGCTTCAATTCTAAATTCTACCAAACATTTAAAGAATAACTAATACCAATTATACTCAAACTCTTCAAAAAAATTTGAAGAGGAGGGGAAACTTCCAAACTCATTCTGTGAGGCCAGAATTGCCCTGATAGCAAAACCAGACAAGGACACAACAAAACGAGAAAACCAGGCCAATATCCTTGAAGAACATAGATGAAAAAGTCCTAAACAAAATACTAACAAACCAACTTCAACAACACATCAAAAAGATCATTCACTATGTGGGATTCATCCCAGGGATGTAAAAAGGGTTCATCATATGTAAATCAATAAATGTGATTCATCAAATCATTAACAGAACCAAGAACAAAAACCATATAATCATTCCAATAGATGCTGAAAAACCATTCAATAAAATTTGAATTCCCTTTATGATAAAAAACCTTCAAAACACTGGGTATAGAAGGAACATACCTCAAAACAATAAAAGCCATGTATAACAAACCCACAGCCAGCATCATAGTGAATGGGGAAAATTTCAAAGCCTTCCCTCAAAAATCTCGAATAAGACAAGGATGCCTGCTTTTACCACTTTAATTCAAAGACCCCACCAAAAAACTGTTAGAACTGATAAACGAAATCAGTGAAGTTGCAGGATACAAAATCAACATACAAAAACCCGTAGCATATGTATATACCAACAGCAAACAATCTGAAAAAGAAACCAAGAAAGCAATCACATTTACAATAGCTACAAAGAATATAAAAATGTAGACTTCAATTTAACCAAAAGATGTGAAAGCTCTCTACAAGGAAAACTATGATACACTGATGAAAGAAATTGAAGAGGACACACACACACACAAATGGAAAGATATTCCATGCTGATGGATTGGGAGAATTAATATTGTTAAAATGTTAATAGTGCCCAAGGCAATTTACAGATTCAATGCAATCCCTATCAAAATACCAAAGACATTCTTCTCAGAAATAGAAAATACAATCCTAAAATTTATATGGAACCACAAAAGACCCCAAATAACCAAAGCCATCCTGAGCAAAAATAACAAACCTGGAGGCATCACACTACCTGACTTCAGATTATACTACAAAGCTATAGTGACCAAAACAGCAAAATACTAGCATAAAAACAGACACAGAATAGCGAACCCAGATGTAAATCCACACATTTATAGCCAGCTCATTTTCAACAAAGGTGCCAAGAACATACAATGGTGAAAAGGACATTCTCTTCAATAAATGGTGCTGGTTAAACTGAATAACCATATGCAGAAGAATGAAATTACACCCCTATTTCTCACCATATACAAATACAAAATCAAAATAGATTAAAGGCATAATTCTAAGACCTGATACTATGAAACTATCAAAAGACAACATTGGGGAAATGCTCCAGGATATTGGTCTGAACAAAGATTTTTTGTGTAAGACCTCAAAAGCATAGGCAACAAAAGCAAAAATAGATAAATGAGATCACATCAAGCAAAGAAGCTTCTGCAAAGCAAAGGACACAATCAACAAAGTGAAGAGACAACCCACAGAGTGGGAGAAAATATTTGCAAACTATCCCTCCGACAAGGGATTAATAACCAGAATATATAAGGAGCTCAAACAACTTAAAAGCAAAAAGAAAAATAATCTGATTTTTAAATGGGCAAAAGAGCTGAGTAGACATTTCTCCAAAAAAAGACATAAAAATGGCCAGTGGGTATATGAAAAAGGTGCTCAATATCACTAATCATCAGGGAAATGCAAATCATAAAATCACAATAAGATGTCATCTCACCCCAGTTAGAATGGGGACTATTAAGAAAAAAAAGGGAGGCCAGGTGTGGTGGCTCACGCCTGTAATCCCAGCACTTTGGGAGGCCAAGGCGGGTGGATCACCTGATGTCAGGAGTTCAAAACCAGCCTGGCCAACATGGCGAAATCCAGTCTCTACTAAAAATGTAAAAATTAGCCAGGTGTGGTGGCGGGTGCTTGTAATCCCAGCTACTCAGGGAGGCTGAGGCACGAGAATTGCTTGAACCTGGGAGGCAGAGGTTGCAGTGAGCCAAGATCACACCACTGCACTCCAACCTGGGCGACAGAGGGAGACTCTGTCTCAAAACAAAACAAAGCAAAACAAAAAAAAGAATAATGAGGTGAGGATGTAGAGAAAGGGGAATGTTCATATACTGCTGGTATGAATGTAAATTAGCACAGCCACTATAGAAAACAGTATGGAGGTCCCTGAAAAAACAAAACTAGAGCTACCATATGATCCAACAATCCCACTACTATGTATATATCCAAAAGAGAGGAAATCAAGAGATATCTGCACTCCCGTGTTTATTGCAGCAGTATTCACGGTAGCCAAAATATGGAATCAACCTAAGTGCCCATCAATGGATGAATAAAGAAAATGTGGTGTATATACACAAGGGAATATTATTCATTAATTTAAAAGATTAAAATCCTGTCATTTGTGGCAACATGGATAGAACTGGAGATCATTATGTTAAGTGAAATAAGCCCCCAAGCAAAGAACAACAAATAGCACATGTTCTTACTCATATGTGGGAACTTAAAAAATGGATCTCATGAAGATAGAGAGTAGATTGGTGATTACCAGAGGCCAGGAAGTGGAGAGAGAGGAATGAAGAGAGGTTGATTAATAGGTACAATCTACAGATAGACAGAAGAAATCAGACCTGGTATTCAAGAAATCAGTAGGGTGAATATAGTTAACATTAATCTTTTGTACATTTCAAAATAGCTAGAAGAAAATAATTTGGATATCCATAGCATAAAGAAAAGATAAATATTTAAGGTGATGGATATCCCAATTACCCTGATTTAATTATATGAGTGTATCAAATTATCTTATGTACTCTGAAAATATGCACATCTATTATATATCAATTTTTAAAAGAAAATTATGAACCATTAAAAAATCTTCTCATAGTTCAGATTGCTCAGTAAACTGAATACTCATCTATTTTAAACATATATAAAATCTGAGTCTGCTTTGCTTTTTTCCCTTGCTCATTGGTTCTGCACTCACCCATGTCCTCATCTTCACCATTATTCTTTCCATGGGAAACACATTCATCTTCATCAGAAAGAGCCTCATCTTTAATCTAGTACAAATTGGTCATTAAAAGAAAGTAGTTAGCTAATTAACATTACCACTAAGACCTTCAAAAACCTGTAGAAACTAAAAAAAGCAAAGCTCCAAAACACAGAGAAAAAAATGTCAAAATTATCAGTCTTGGAAACTTTACAGGACCCTTTTTGGTAGTTGGGTGATGGTGTGGGACTGACAGAATTAGAATACAAGAAAATCCACGCTTAAGTTTTAGAGTCTGCCTCTTTTCATAAGCATTAAGTAGAGATAGTTGATAAGAAGACAAAGAATTGAAATGTAAGTAAATATTAAGAGATTGACTATGCAGTACAGAGAAGCCGCCAAGAGATAATATTCCCTTGGAGGAGGCACATGAAAATGTTAGCATTTGCAGTTTTCTTTTGTGAGGGAAAATGGCCAGTTTTCTTGGGAAAAATATGATTTGATTCTAATCCATTCTATAAAAATGGAGCTTTGCTATTTGGAATTTAATAAGAAAACTTGAACAATGAACATGGAATGGTGTTGAGTCACATTTGCCAGATGCTCAAAGCACCAGGAAATACCTCTCTACCTACGGTATGTTGATTTTCAAAGGCAGCCAATTATTTGAAGAACTGGCAGTCAATGTTATCATGGAAATAATGTATCAAAATCACAAGCTTTGCTGATTCTATTTCTCATGATAATGACAGACCTTAATTTCTAGGTTAAAGAAATGAGCCCTCTGAGTTCACAAGTAAAACCTTCAGGAATATGAGCCAGTGGGTCACTAGGAGAGATTTCACCTCAAGGCTGAGAGGAGCCCAGGATAGCTGACTTCTCCTACCCACCACTCCATTCTGTAACTTGATTTTCATTTCTGAATTCATTGTTAAGAGTTGAGGTGGGAGACGAAAGGGAAATGGATAAAATAAAGCACTCTGGATGAAAGAGATGGCTTTTATAAGAAGGTTTCAAAATGCACACATATCACCAGGGCACAGTGCATGAGGAACAGACCCAGGTGAAACTTTTATGAAGCTGTCCACCGACAGCTCCAGGAAAGTCAGGTGAAGGAGATGGGGACTGCTGATCTCGCCCTACTAGCGCACTTGTGAGTTAGCTGCTTATAGAAGTGACCTCCAGTTACCACTTTCCGTTCTCTGCCTTCAGCCAGCACTTTCTTTTCGGCCTCCAGCTGGTCTAGGATGGTTTTCTGCAGCAGTGGGGCATTTGCTCCTCTAACCACAGCCACCAGTTCTCCTCCCTAGAATACGTTACAAACAGCATGAAATACTCTTGGCAAATATTAATCTCTTGTAAGAGATGGCAAGAGTGTCTAGGAGTGTCCCCAAGTTCAAGGTCCCTCAACCCCAGGCCTGTAGCAGCGTGCTCACTTCTGCTGCCCTCCCTTGGCAGGACACCCTCAGGTCTGCTCCTAGGTTTTTTGTTTGTTTGTTTGTTTGTTTGTTCGAGACGGAGTCTTGCTCTGTCGCCCAGGCTGGAGTGCAGTGGCGTGACCTCGGCTCACTACAAGCTCCACCTCCCAGGTTCACACCATTCTCCTGCCTCAGTCTCCTGAATAGCTGGAACTACAGGTGCCCGCCACCATGCCCGGCTAATTTTTTTGTATTTTTAGTAGAGACGGGGTTTCACCATGTTAGGCAGGATGGTCTCGATCTCCTGACCTCGTGATCTGCCTGTCTCGGCCTCCCAAAGCGTTGGGATTACAGGCGTGAGCCACCGCACCTGGCCAGTCTGCTCCTAGTTTTAAATGATTTCTCTTTTTCTGATATCTACCTTCTAGGCCATGCCACTCCTTTCAAAGCTTCCTTCAGGGTAACCAGCAGTTCATTAAGGGAGGAACAATACATAGTAAGTTATGAGTGACTAAGTGTGGCTTACACATGATTTATTCATTCAACAAATATTATTGAGCACTTACTATACCAAGCACTAAGGCAGAGGCAAAGAATATAAACATTAAACATGAAAAAACATAGCTGCAGCCTTCATGAATGGGTAGTAGAGTGGGGAGAGGGATGGCTGGCCAAGCTGAAGAAACAATTACAATACTATGAAATAATTGCTGTAATAGGGAAACTTATAAGGTGCTTGGAACTTGGGGCAAGAATTGCCAGCATCATCTGAGATGGTCAGGGAAGCCTTCACAGTCCAGGTGGTATTTGGGATGAACCTGAGTTTCTGCTTTAACTCTTTCAAAAGTCTATTTATTTATTTATTTATTTATTTATGAGATGGAGTTTCACTCTTGTTGCCCAGGCTGGAGTTCAATGGTGTGGTCTCGGCTCACTGCAACCTCCGCCTCCTGGGTTCAAGTGATTCTCCTGCCTCAGCCTCCTAAGTAGCTGGGATTACAGACACCCGCCACCAGGCCTGGCTAATTTTTGTATTTTTAGCAGAGACGGCGTTTCACCATGTTGGCCAGGCTGGTCTCAAACTCCTGACCTCAGGTGATCTGCCTACCTTGGCCTCCCAAAGTGCTGGGATTACAGGTGTGAGCCACTGCACCCGGCCAAAAGTCTCTACGTTTGTACTCACAAAGAAATGGATCTGGAGAGGGAGAAGTTCACATAGAGTGGGTCCTCCTTCCATTTCCATCCCATTCCTCAGTGGGCCACCATAGGGTTGAAGATTGTGGCCCATGTTTCCATACAGCCAATTAGGATTTATGCTTTAATTGCTATGGGCTCAAGCAATTAAGCCATTGTGGTAATGATCCCATTTCTGCAACTGAGCTCTGATGTCAAGTGTGTCTGGGGCATGCTCATCTCTGAGCTCCTTCCTACTTCTCCCTCCTTTCCTCCCAACCATGTTATCTCATGTAAATTCAGTCTCCCTACTAAAATCCAAAGCTCAAATAATGTTTTATCATAAGTTTCCAATTTGTAATACTTGCAGTGCTGAGGCCAGGAGGCTGAAGTTTTCCAAATTAAACAACCCTAGCCTGGTGTTTGGAGACCTGGTTGAGTAGATCCCAGTATTCCTGACTCTACAATGAGGGGCTGGTCTCAGTGAGGAGGTATATCGATCCATTGCCATCCGAGCCTGGCAGGTGGCCTAAACCTAGGAAGCCAAGTGTGAAACAGTGGGCCCTAAGGGGCATAGAGCTGGACCATGGATGTCACACCCAAGGACATCCAAATTATATTTTCAAAACACTGGGCCACTTGGTTTTCCTCAATAGTCCCTCTCATTTCTAACTTTCTATAAACATATCTTCACATTTTCTGATTAAATAAAAGTGAATGAAGAGCTTGTCTGCCCCATAAAGGAGTATCTATTTTTACTAAAAATTCCCCTTTACGGAGCAAAGGATAGAAATCTTGAAACCCTGTGCTCTGAGAGTGAAGCCTCAGTCTAGAGTATTCATGAGCCAAAAAGGAGCATGTACATTTGAGTGACTGGTACTCTCTCCCTGTGTACAGCAAGTCAGGAAGGTTGCCCCAGCACAGTGACCACTAGGGTGCTGTGTCATCCACCTCCTTGGGCACAGGGCCCTCAGGCTGCCATCCTAGTCAGCAGCTTGTATCACCAGTTAGACTTGGGGGTGGGGGTGTCATGTAGCCAACATCATAAAAATAGACTGGGAGGCATCAGAGAAAACAGCATCACTTGTTTGAATCTGTGAGGCCTCTTGGTGGTTCCCATTAATTCTCCAAGAGTGAATTAATGTCAGTGAGATGCTTCTATTTTGAACTCTAATGATTTGCAATCGTCAAATAGTTCTGATTCTGAAAATGTACTTACTGCATAAAACAGAAAGGTTGGCTCGCACTTCCCTCTGTACTTTTCGAGGACATCAAGACGATCTGCCTCTGCCTAAAGAAAGCCACTATCAGCAGGTACCCTGGATGCAGGGGGTGCAGGGCCCAATTGATTGGTGGGAAACCACACAGGGAACTGAACACCCCCAGGACTGACTTCCCCAGGTAGAGCCCCGATTTGCTCTCATGCTGTTCCTGCTAATCAGAGCTGTCCTATAAAATTGCGGACATGTACTCTCTTGAAGAATCAAATGAGGAAGCAAGAGTATCTCCTACCCGCCCCCCAGCTACTGCACCAGTCCAAGGGAGCGTTACTGGCTAATGTCCTTCTGCAGCCATGACTGACAACCGAGGTGAAGGTCCTCAGGCACCACCTTCATTGTCTGAGAAACCTGCCGCACATGGGCATAAGAGATCCCCCACGCAAGCCCTTCTACAGCACACTCCTTATGGAAGCACCAAGACTGACTGCCAAAGGAGGAACTGCAGAGTCCTTGAAGTCCAACTTCTTGAGTGATTATTGTAAGTTATATTTTCTCCTGTCTTCACTGCCTATGAACCTCAAACCCATGCAGCATATCAACAGTGTCTCTTGCACACTTCTCTGGAATTTATTCCCATTTCCATACATTCATCCAAATAAATATTTGCTAAAAGTTCCCCTTTATGGTGCAGAGGATGGAAATCTTAAAACCCTTTGCTCTGAAAATGACATTTCAGTCAACAGTGTTCATGAGCCAAGAAGGAGATGTGGCTGGGGTGGTGGCTCATGCCTGTAATCCCAACACTTTGGGACGCTGTGGTGGGAGGATTGCTTGAGCCTGGGAGTTCTAGACCAGCCTGGGCAATATAATTATACCTTGTCTCTACAAAAAGTTAAAAAATTAGTCAAGCATGGTGGCATGTGCCTATATAGTCCCAGCTAGTTGGGCAGCTGAGGTGGTAGGATCACTTGAGGCTGGGAGGCAAAGGCTGCAATAAGCCGTGATACCACCACTGCACTCCAGCCTGGGTGACAGGAAAAAGAAAAAAGAAGAGGGAGAATATGCATTTGAGTGACATATATTTCTTCTCTTCATACAGCACCAAGAACTGCTCAAGCCAAGAGGGACACAGGGAGGTGGGGTGGGGAATAGGAACCTTCATAACTAGAGAAATTAGAAAGTATCATGACAGTATCAACAAAAAGTCCACACTGATTCCTTTTTAATGACCTGAGAAAGGTCACTCTCACACTTCTCCTTCCTGACTCTTTTAAATTTTTAAATTCTTTTTACAATGTTGTATGACTGTTGGCTGAGAGAGAATCTTACTAATGCAAAGTGCAGAAGGTCCAGGCCGACCTCGATCCTCATCTTCTGGAAGAGGCTCACCACAGGTTTGCAGGGGCCACACCAGCCTTGATAGACATCAACAACTGTGTGGAACCAAGAAGCAGGAACATTCAGTAGACGCCAGTGCCCACCACACCATGCATAATTTATACCTGTACATTCTAACCCCCCTCAAATGGACATTCATTTGCCGGGATATCTAATGGTTAAAGGGATTTACTATCCCATGAGATTATAAGCCAGGGTGGAAACACAGCTAGTCCTCATTCTTATGAACTTGGTATACTGAATTCTAAATACAGTATAAGCATAGCAGAAAATAATTTTCTTAACATGGCTCCTTTATCTTAAGGGTTCTTCAGGCTACATTCAGGGTTAGGCCTAACACAGGGTGGCCCTCAATTATATTGGAATTAGACTGAAACTGTCTATTCTAAAAAGGAGAGGTCACTGTAGGTGACCCAGCAGCACACAATTGACTTTTATGTAATCCTTTGATAACAAACACAGGTTTGACCTTTTCCTCTGATGAATTAAAAGCCACTTTCTTTGGGTGGAGCAGAGTTTTATCTACTTTAGAAAAATCAACATTTTTCTCCCAGAAAGTGAGCCTGATAGAGAGCTAGAGAGAAACTTGGATACCTTTTTCTTCTTTAATCCCAATCTATAGTACATGTCAGGGCTGGATGTAAGGGAACCCTCTCATCTGAGTGTTGTGAACCATGTGATCAACAGGAAGCTAAGCAAACCAAGCCAACTCCTGTCTACTGGATCTGTGCAGGACCTGCCCCACGCGACCATGAAGCAGCAGCAAGGGCTAGATGGTGACATACCAGTGGCCATATTTTAGAAGAGGGATATCTGCCAAAATGCCTCAACACTCCCAGAGTTCATGCCTGTTCCACACAGGTGAGCATTTCTGTTCAACCGCCAGAGTAGTATAGTCACAGGGAGATAGTGTCAAAATTGCTAATAATTGATTAGCTCTGCCAATTTTAATAGTGTGCAATTTGTGATTTTACTTATTGCAGATTCACATTTCAAAATTTTCCCATCAAGTGAGAACTATTAATATAACACAATATAAACTGTCATCACTAAAGTTAGTATAGAAACTGGTGGCACTGTTCTAACACTGTTCTATAGTAACCAGGGAAGGAAGGCTTCCCATGAAGAGATGACCTGCACTGGGCATTGTAGAGAGCCCAGGCTTGAATGGGTAGAGAGGGAGACTGTGGTGCAAAGGATGGGCAGCCAGGCACAGGTGGCAGACTCAGGGATTCCTGGGCAGCCTGCTGGACCAGACCTGCCCGAGATGGTGTGGTAGGAAGTGGTGGCAGGGATCACTGGAGGAATCTGGAATGTGGGGCTTGAGAAGCTCTATCCTGAATCACTAGGCAATGAGGATTCACAGTAAGTATTAGAAGAGGGAGCTAATATCTTGGACTTGCCTGCATCCAGAATTGTAAGAAATAAATTTCTGTTCTTTATGTACTACCTATCTGTGGTGTCCTGTTACAGCAGCATAAACAGACTAAGCTATTCTGCTTTAGCTGCAAGAGGGCAGGTGCACTTTGCTTTTCTCTGAAAAGCCCAGTGAGATGGATATCATTATTGCACTATACAGATGAGGAAACTGAAGTTCAAAGAGGTGAAGTCATGGACCTAAGGTAAGAAAGCAAATTTTCAAGCAGTATAGCTTAGTCCATTTATGCTGCTATAATGGGACACTACAGACTGGGCAGTTTATAATGAACAGAAACTTATTTATCACAGTTCTGGAGGCTAGCAAGTCCAAGATCAAGGTGCCAGCAGGTTTGGTGGTCAGGTAAGGGCTGCATCCTCTGGAGGAGAATTATACTGTGTCCTCACATGACGGAAGTCAAGGGCAAAAGGAATAAACTCCTTCCATCAAACCCTTTTATAAGGGCACTTAATGCCACTCATGAAGGGCACTACTCCCCTTTTAAAGGCCCCACCTCTTAAAACCATTACTTTGGCCATTCAGTTTCAACACCTGAATTTTGAAGGGGGACACATTTAAACCACAGTACAGCAGAATCAAATTTTAAATCCTGTGTTGCCTGATGCCATAGCCCATGCTCTTTCAGCTGCTCCAGGGAAGAAGCAAGACGCATGAATTCAGCAGTGTTCATTGGTTTAGCCATGTAGCACAATTTTGCAGAATGTGAGAACCAAGCTGGGTATAGGAGGAATGAGGAAGCCAGACACAGGGGTGGCAGAGGGGATAGAATGAAAAGAATGTAGGCAAAATACTAGGGATGAAAATGAAGATGGTGTGAAAAGGACTTCACCTTTGAGCCTGGCAGAGAAAAAGAACTAGCGAGGGGTGGGGAGAGATTGTTGAAGGGGAAAGGAGAACAAACTCAACTCTAAACAGGCTGGGTTTTCAGTACCAACCAGAAAATCAAAGACAAGTGATCACAAAGGCAACCAGACATCCAAGCAGGAGAGGAGGGGCAGGAGAGTGGGATTTGGGTTCCACAGCATCCACGTAGAGGATAAAGTTCTGGGCTTTTCTGAAGACAAGAGTTTCACAATTGACAGATTTTGTTTTTTTTAATTTCAACCTACTACAGTTATTTGGGTGAAGGCCAAAAAGGGCATTCGGGTCAAGCCAGGAAAATGTCCCTGAAGACTTAGAGGGCCCTGTACACAGGCCCGCTGAAAAGGGCAGGTTTAAATCCCAAAGGAAAAAAGCTGGGGCTCAATTAGCCTAAACTCTCTGTGCTGTATTTGTATTGATAGTGCACCTGCCATTTCTACTAGCTTTTCCCTCCCTCTTGGACGCCCTGGCTCTGTGAGGAGTGGTAGGCACAAAGGCACCTTCACAAAGTTATGGAGGAAGCGGGGGTGGGGGGTAGGGGGTGGGAGGGACCAGAGAGGAAGTGTTTGATTTGACTCCGAGTGAGAGGAAGCAAAACAGAGAAGCCACATGGAAGGAATGGCAGAGACAAGAAAAAGGGGTGTGTGTGTGTGTGTGTGTGTGTGTGTGTGTGTGTCTGTGCATGCACGTGTAGGTCTGAAGGGACTTTGGCATGTTGAAAGCAGGTGAAAATGAGCCAGCAGAAGGCAAGATTTCCAAGATACTGGTGGTTCACTTTGGAAGAAAATTTCTGCCGGCTGCAGAGAGAAAAAACACATATCTATGTATTTATATGCTCCATATCTATATATTCCTCTAGACTGCCTGATGAGAAGGAGCAAAGAGGAGGCCTTGCTGCCTTCATTTAACAGAGGCCCTTGAACCATTTAGACCAGGCTTGGCAGAGGGTCAGTGCTCACTGGATGTTAGCTACTATCACATAGGGTGCTTAGCAAGGTGGCTGGCACATGATACATTCTCAAAAAATTAAGGCATGGTGGTTTATTCACAGTTGTTAAAGAAATAGAAATAATGATTTTTTTCACCTGGAGCCATGTTCCAGTTGCCCAGACAAGACACATGGACAAAATGGTTAAGCCTTGGCACCATCAAAAAGGCTTTATAATCCCCCAAACAGTAGAGTGTGGCAATACTGACACCCACACAACTGGATCAGCATTTATCTAGTACCCTCTTGGCCTCAGTCCCAGGCAAGTCTACTACAGATGTGAGATTAAAAAGCCAATGCTGGCCGGGTGTGCTGGCTTACGCCTTAATCCCAGCACTTTGGGAGGCCCGGGTGGGCGGATCATTTGAGGTCAGGAGTTTGAGATCAGCCTGGCCAAGACAGTGAAACCCCATCTCTACTGAAAATACAAAAATTAGCTGGGTGTGATAGAATGTGCCTGTAATCCCAGCTACTTGGGAGGCTGAGGCAGGAGAATCGCTTGAACCCCAGAGACAGAGGTTGTAGTGAGCCAAGATTGCATCACTGCACTCCAGCCTGGGTGACTCCGTCTCAAAAAAAAGAAGAAGAAGAAAAAGCATGCTGTTGTGTTTAGAGTCTAGGAGAAAAGCTGTGATGGTCTTTCCCTACAGGGGCCGCAGCAAGTGGGGTGTGTGCTGGAGGGATTGAGACAGAGTCTCACCCCAAGTGCCCTAAGAGCTCCCAGGAGGGACATGACCACACAGAGGTTCCAGAAGGATTTCATATGAGGAGGCTAATTTTGCACTGGGTCTGGGAATAAGAAAGATTTCTACAGTTGGTGATGGGCCATGATATCCCATCTGGCTTGAATGGGCTTGAATGCTGAAGTCATTTGGTGGAGGGGGTGGTAATGGGCAAGGCTAAGATCAGATACAAGCACACTGAGCAGGTATATTCACAGAGAGAAAAATTGAGCAGGCACACAGAGTAACAGAGCACAGAGATATCTACAGTGAATGAGAAAGAGAAGTAAAGAGTGGGTGACAGTAGGTGGTAGGCAGCCTCTCAGATGTCTCTAATGATCCCCACCTCTTGGTCCTCATGTACTTGTGTAATCCCCTGCCCTGGAGTGTGGGCTGGACCTAGTGACCAGCTTCTGATGAGCAGAGTATGGCAAAAGCAATGGGATATCACTTTCAAGATTAGGCTAACAAAAGGCTGTGACTTCCAACTTGTGCCCTCTCTTAGAGCCCTGTCCTAGGGGAAGCAAGTTACCAGGTTGTGAGTAGCCTCATGGAGAAACCAATGGCAAGAAGTTAACGTCTCTGGCCAACAGCCAATGAGGACTTAAATCCTTCCTACCCACAGCCTCATGAGTGAGCTTGGAAGTGGATCTTCTTAGGTCTGCCAACAGCCACACAAAAGAACTTGGAAGCAAATCTGCTCCTCGTTGAGCCTTGAGATCCCGTCTGATACCTTAACTACCGTGGTGAGACACTCTGAGCCAGAGGTATCCAACTAAGCTATACCTGGACTCCTGACCCACAGAAACTGGGATAATCAATGTTTGTTGTTGTAAAGCACTAAGTTTCTGGGTAAATTGCTAAGTGCAACAAATAACTGATGCCAGGAGGATAGGGATGAGGAGGCCCATAGACAGTGGCCTGCTGTTTCCTAATGACTGCAGTCCCAGGTTCAAGTCCCAGTGATGCCTGGCTCTCCTTCCATCCTTTGAGTTCCAAGAGATCCCTGTATTCCTTCCAATGCATTCTCCTTTAGTGCCTGAAGTAATTAGAAGAGGTTTTCTGTTACTTTTAACACCAAACAACCCTAAGTACTGACTCATTTCCTGAACTGAATTTACTGATATTCAAGCCAGATACACACACACACACACACACACACACACACACACACACACACACACATCACCTGGTTTTTTATGAGGCTCAAGGTAATAGGAAAGTGGTGTTCATTGCAGCCCTTCTCTTCATGGTTCATCACACCATTTAATAATTTAGAAAAGAATGGATCTAAAAAGTTATTTTACTTTGAATTACCAGTTAGTCCTTTGGAACTGAGCATTTCCTCCCAAAGCTCTTGGGTGCTGATGTTGACCTAAAGCCAAAGAGGATCAAATGCCGTATTACTGAGGGCTCAGGCAGGGAAACAATTCAATCTATTTGCTCTAGATTTCTCTCTTCTATCTCTGAAATACTTACAAGTACAGTTCAAGTTATCCTCTCCCCCATCTTCTTTTCTCCTTCCTTCTCTCCCTTCTTCCCTACCCAGAAAAAAACACTATCCTAAGAATGATGTATACTAGTCTCAGGCATTTAAAAAATACTTTTACATGTTATTTGTCCAGGAACAATATATAAATTGTTTTTGTGTCCTTAAAATGTACATAAATACATCAAACTGTAGGTTTCATTTTGAAATTTGTGTTTTCACTCAGTATCAGAATTAAGTTGAATTTATTGCCATTCACTCACATTTTTTTCTTATCCACACAGTTCTGGTTTTATAAATATGAAATACAAGGAGAAATACATATTGTCCCTCTTTATTAACAGTAAAAATTTCTTTTTTTTTTTTTGTTTTTTTTTGAGATGGAGTCTTGCTCTGTCACCCAGGCTGGAGTGCAGAAGCGCAATCTCAGCTCACTGCAACCTCTGCTCTGCCTCCCAGGTTCAAGCGATTCTTATGCTTCAGCCTCCTGAGGAGCTGGGATTACAGGCACATGCCACTACACCTGGCCATTTTTGTATTTTTAGTTGAGACGGGGTTCCACCATGTTGGCCAGGCTGGTCTCGAACTCCTGACCTCAAGTGATCTGCCCACCTCGGCCTCCCAAAGTGCTGGGATTACAGGCATGAGCCACCACATCTGGCCAATAGTAAACATTTCTGTATAATGTTTTTTACTTTGAAATAATTTCAAACTTAGAGAAAGTGTGCAAGTACAGTATAAAGATTTAGGGATTTTTTTTTTTTTTTTTTTAGGTATTTGGAAGCAAATTACAGCTTGTTATCTTATTACTCCTGAATATATTATTCCTATATAACACATTACGATAATCAAAATCAGGGGAAAAAAACACTGACATATTGTGAACATTTAATCCTTAGATAGAGTGCAAGTTTTCCTATTTATCCCATAATGTCCTGAGTATCAAAGGAGCTAATCAGAAATGTGTGCTAGATTTATTTGTCAAGTCTTTTTAGTCTGGAATAGTTCTTTAGTCTTTCTCTTCTTTTCACAATGTTGACACTTTGGAAAACTACATGCCAGGTATTTTGTAGAATGTCCCTCAGTTGGGGCATATCTGATGTTTCCTCCTGATTGGATTCAGACTGTGCATGTTTGGACTGGTTGAAATTGGCTGGACTGGTTGGAGTGTTGGAGAAGCTGAAGATCATTCCTCTCACTACTCCCTAGCAGATGAGACACAATTTCCATCTGCCTGTTACTGATGTTCACTTTGATCACTGGATTAACATGGTCTGTCAGGTCTGTTGTCTGTAAAATTATTCTCTTTTCCTTTGTAATTAACATATTTTTGTGGTGAGCTACTTTGAAACTATATACATTAAAAGACCACAAAAATTACTACTGGGTTTTTTGTTTGTCTTTTTTGAGACACAGTCTCACTCTGTCACCCAGTCTGGAGTGCAGTGGCATGATCATGGCTCACTGCAACCTCTGCCTCCTGGGTTCAAGAGATTCTCCTGCCTCAGCCTCCCAAGTAGCTGGGATTACAAGTGCCCGCTACCACACCCGGGTAATTTTTTGTATTTTTAGTAGAGACAGGGTTTCACCATGTTGGCCAGGCTGGTCGTGAACTCCTGACCTCAAGTAATCTGCCTGCCTCGGCCTTCCAAAGTGCTGGGATTACAGGCATGAGCCAGCACGCCTGGCCTACTATTGTTCTTAATACAGGTATGCTAAGGTCTGTGTCCCTCTAAAAAAGATAGGATGCATTATTGGCAATAAGGGCAAGAAACATGTAACAACTGCTAATCCTCTATTAAAAGTTCCTTTTTTGGCCGAACGTGGTTGCTCATGCCTGTAATCCCAACACTTTTGGAGGCCAGGGCGGGCAGATCACTTGAGGCCAGAAGTTTCAGACCTGCCTGGCCAACATGGTGAAACCCTGCCTCTACTAAAAAAAAAAAAAAAAAAAAAAAAAAGTTAGCCGGGCGTGGTGGCGCATACCTGTTTTACCAGCTACTCGGGAGGCTGAGACATGAGAACTGCTTGAACGTGAGAGGTGGAGGTTGCACTGAGATGAGATCATGCCGCTGCATTCCAGCCTGGGCGACAGGACAGAATGAAACTGTCTCAAAAAAAAAAAAAAAAAAGTCTCTCTTTTAAGGAAGCATAGTCCTTACTTTTTTTGTTTCAATGAAAAGTAGAAGAAAAAGAAACCCAGAAAAGTCTTCTTGATGTCTTAAATGAAATAAGAGAGTTGGACTGACATAACCCTGGGCCCACAACTACAGTCCTGAGGAAGGTGATAGAAGCGTTCGGAAGGGCCCCACACCCCTACCCAGAGGCTCAGACTTAAGTCACCAGCAGCTCTCTGTGGCCCACCCCTGTCATGGAGTGAGTCCCACCAGCTCTGGGGCCAGGACTCTGGGCAGTTGAAGAATCTCAGCCCTGGGAGCCAGGCAAGAGTGGAACAGTGTGGGAACTATCCGGACTTCACTAAGCCTGCATTTGGTAGGGAATGAATAGGGAATGTGTGGCACCTTTTACCCAGACTGTCCCTTGATGTCCTGTGATTTCTGCCTGTCTCAGTTATAAAGGGAACCCTGAATAACCTTGCTGAGAGAGAGGACAAGGTTCCTGGGTTGGCCAACTTTAGGCATTGCTTTCAAGGGGTTTACCTTATAGAGAGGTGACCTTTACACAGATGCCTCAGTAGAAGACGGGAGGGGAGGCTGCTCGCTCTCCTCCTTTCAGCAGGAGGGAGCACTTAGTTTGAGTACTGCATTGTACTCAGAGCTCTGAGTAATACACATGAAAAAATAACAACATTGCTAACAAAAGTTATTACCCCCATAGGAGCTCTAGGGCATCAACACATGAAATGACCATAATATGGGGCAATAACATTAGAGACACCACAGACAACATCAGACCAGCCAGGAAGTGTCTAAAGGAGTCTCATCACAGCTCTGCAGGCGTTACAGGACAGGTATCATCCCTCCTGTCTACGTAAAGGATACGGAGGCCAGAGAGTTGAGGAAATGAGTCACACAGCAATGAATGGTAGGACCAGTTGATCAGAATTTACTTCAACCAGAACATTCACGTATGAAGTGGCTTCTGACTCTAGAATCCTAGAATATCAAGGCTGGAAGAAGGCCCTTAGGGATAATTCACACAACATCCTCATTCCATAGATGGGCAAGCTATAGCCTGGAGAGGTTATGTGATGTAGTCAAAGACACAGTTGGCTATAGAGGACACAAGAACTACATCAGGTCTTCTGACTTCCAGTCTAAAAATCCCACCCCACCCCACCCCACACCCCTCCCACCCCCAGCATGGGGTACCCTTAGAATGATGCTGCTTTCCCCTTTCCTCTTTTTTAAACCACTAGGCTTTTGAAATCCACATGCAAACTGCTGGTCCTGCTGAGGACAATAAGAGAGAAACCAGATGTCTCAAAACCACTAATGCTCTATTATCTAGGAGGCGCTGTAGCCTTGGTATGCATCTTACTGGGGCCAGCTGATGATGAGGCATTTTAAGTTCGTTTTAAAATGTTCCCATGTTGCAGATCATCCAGCTGATCTCCTTATGACCAAGCACTCTCTCCTAATTCCAGGGTCTATGCCTGCATGTTTTTACCATCACTTCAGAATCAACCACTATCTATTGTCCAGGACCAAGAAGAAGAGCAGCTGCTGGCTTCTGAATTCACTTGTCCCACATGCAAATGAAGTAAGACACTCTATATAACATATGTCCAGCACATAATATATCTCAAAACATATTTGTTAATAAGTGAAATTTGATGAGAACAGTGGTGGGAAAACTGGGTCTCCACAGAGCACACAGTTACAGACTCATGCCCAAAGTCAAAAGAACCTATACTGTATTCTCTGTGCAAGCTGCAGTTGTATTTCAACAAGAACAAAATAACGGTCACATCGAGTTATGTTGATTCGTATTTTCTTAGTTTATAGTTTTATTTAATGCATGTTTAGGTTTTATGGTTGTATAAGCACTATAAATGTAAACAGCTTCTACTCAGTTTTGTTTGCATTAATTTTGTTTGCGTAAAATTTGTCATCACTGGGGTTCCAAGATAAGTTTTGTCCCTTTAAGACGGAAGGGTACATCACTCAAGTTTGAGAACACTGTCACGTACTGCTGGCAAACAGAATGTCACTTTTATACTGCAACCCCGCTCTAATCACCCTCCTCTTCCCCGAGCCCAACCCAGAGCTGGAAGCTAGCGCCCCTTGAGGCTTACCTGCAGGGCAATTTCCTTCTTCCTGCTGCCCATGGCTCTGCAAAGAAGACGAAGCCCTGTTACCGCGGCCGTGGGCCGTTCCCCCGCAGCCTCGCGACAAACCGCTGCGTGGATCAGCAAGCCCAGAGCCTCCTTCAGACAAGCCCCCCTCCTACGGCCCCCGGCCCCTTTTTAAGGTGCTTCTAACTGGCGGCAAATCAGCACACTGATACAAAGTGAACACCCCGCGAGGAAGCGGAGCCTGCAGTCCACGGGCTCGTGGCTCGCCGGGCGGTTTTCTGGGGATCTGCGAAGCCCCCTCCCCACCCCGGAGCCGGCCAGGGGGCGCGCGCAGAGGCCGGAGTCAGTGCGCCGGGCGCGGTGCAGCCTGTCGGGCACAGGGTCGCCAGTCGAGGAATTCTGACAAAAAAACGACATGGGACCCTGTTATCCCTGCTGTTCTTATGGATTACTGGGAAAGTGAGCCACTGCGAACGACAGGTACAAGATCTTCGACGCGCCCGGAGTCACCAACCGAGTCTGCCGCGACCTAGCCGCGGTCGTCATGGCAACCTGGCCCCCCCGCCAGGCCTGCCAGGAAAGCCGGCGGACACGTAAGCCACGCCCACTCTGGGCCCAACGCAGTCTCTCCGCGGAGGCTCTGAACCCAGCCAGGGAGAGGCAGGAGGGAGTCCCGCCCCTTGCCCTCCATATCGGACCATAGGAACCCACTCATTGGCTGCAGTGTTTGTCAGCGTCTGGAGGCTTCGAACCCACCAAGCAAAGACCCAGTGCATCTGTGCGTTGCACAGTCGCATCTGTGAATCCCTGCATCCCTCCTGCCCTGCCTGCCAAGACTGATGTGCAGCTTTTCTACCATCACATACCGGTATAATGTGTGCAAGGTGGGGGGTGTCTCCAGGTTTTGAGGGATCTGCAAGCGTTCTCTTTAAGGCAAAGAATATGAAATTACAAATTCAAAATTAGATATGAAAGTCAAGTGAGACACATACAAAACAGTTACAGACATTGTAGATATTAATCCAACTGTATCAATAACCACTTTAAATGTGAATAATCTGATTACACCAATTAAAAAAGAGATTGTCAGAATGGATTTCAAAAACAAACAAAGCCCAATCGTGTGTTATCCACAAGAAAATACATTAAAAGCAAAAGGATAGAGAAAGCTATACCAGGCTGACACTAATTAAAAAAATAGCTGAAGTAGGTATGTTAATTTCAAGAAAAGCAGACTTCAGAACAAGGAAATTTATCAGGTATAAACAGGGACATTACATAAAGTTAAAGGGATCAGTTATTTGGGAAGACATAACAATACTTAATATGTATGTACTTAAAAACAGAGCACCGAAATATGTGAGGCAAAAGAAGATAAAACTGCAAGGAAAAATAGGTAAACTCAGTATTATAATAGAATGCTTTCATACCATTTTTAAAAAGTAATTAATACATCCAGCAGAAGCAAATGAGCAAGGATATAGTTGAACTGAAAAATATCAAATTGATCTAATTGACATTTATGCAATATTTAGTTCAACAACAGCGGAATATAGATTCTTTCTCAAGCTCACATGGGACATTCACTGAGATAGACCACAATCTAGGCCATAAAACATAGCTTAACAAATTTAAAAGGATAGAACAAAGTATGTTCTCTGACTGCAATAGAATTAAACTAGGAATCAATCACAGCTGATGAAAGAGATCTCACAGATTTAAATAAATGAAGAAATATTCCGTGTTCATGGATAGGAAGAATTAATATTGTTAAGATATCAATTCTTCCTAAGTGAAGCATACACCAAATGATTTCCATCCAGGGAGTGCTGATACCCTGTTTGGCCATGAGGTACCCAGCAACCCTCTGTGAAGTACAGGGCGATGGGTATACTGGAGACCGAACATCTTCCTACCTGTCATCCTGCCTTCTCCCACTTCAGCTCCGAATCCACCTACTCTTTTCTTGCATTCAGTCCCATGGCAATATTCAGTTCCATGATAATATTACGCAGAGCCACAGGCAGTCCTTAAGACACCACATTGCAAACTGAGTTGACTAGATGCAAATCATGTTCATTGCCACAAGGTGGTGGTTGCTGAAGCTCTTGAATGGTGTGGAATCTCCCTTAGAATTTAGTTTCCAAAATAAAATTCAAATCAGATGCTAAATTCCTCTTGCCAGCACATGGAAAGATAGTGACATTTATTCTTTCTGAAAGGGTTAAATTTCTTACCATGTGGTCTCTATTACAAAATGTACTCACATCTTTGCCAGGCTAAACCTCAGAAACAAATTTAGGTAAACCACATGTCCCAGTTTGCCTGGGACACCCCCACTTTTCACCTGTTGTCCCATGCAATTATTAATAGCAACCCCTCTCACTTTCAAAAGTGTACAGTTTGGGTAGGGTGCAGTAGCTCACGCCTGTAATCCCAGCACTCTGGGAGGCCGAGGCAGGTGGATCACTTGAGGGCAGGAGCCTGGCCAACATGGTGAAACCCTGTCTCTACTAAAAAAAAGTATCAAATAACTGGGCCTGGTGGTGCATGCCTATAATCCCAGCTACTTGGGAGGCTGAGGCAGGAGAATCACTTGAACCCAGAAGACGGAGGTTGCAGTGAGCCAAGATCGTGCCACTGCACTCCAGCCTGGGTGACAGAACAAGACTCCATCTCAAAGAAAAAAAAAATTACAGTTTGGACAACATGGAACCTCATCAGTTTTTTCCCAGATGAATCACCTTGGGCCACTCCTGCTTTTTAATAAAACTTCCATCTTTTACATGTTTTGTGACACAGGTGAATGGTTTTTTTTGTTGTTGTTGTTTTTGTTTTTTTGGTTTTTTTTTGAGACAGAGTCTTGCTCTGTCACCTGGGCTGGAGTGCAGTGGCGTGATCTCAGCTCACTGCAACCTCCGCCTCCCGCGTTCAAGCAATTCTCCTGCCTCAGCCTCCCGAGTAGCTGGGACTACAGGCATGTGGCACTATGCCCAGCTAATTTTTGTATTTTTAGTAGAGATGGGGTTTTACCCCGTTGGTTGGCCAGGATGGTCTAGATCTCTTGACCTTATGATCCGCCTGCCTCAGCCTCCCAAAGTGCTGGGATTACAGGCATGAGCCACTGCTCCCCGCTGGGTCAGTGTTTTTATTTATTATCCAAAAGTCAGATTTTTTCAAATGTATCTATTTTTAATCAGCCCTTCCCTCAGTGATGTACTTTTTTGTTTGTTTTATTTTAATGCAAAACCTGCTAACTAAATTTAAGGGCTACTGAGGTGTTTTAGAGTTCAAAAGATTAAAAACCAAACTCTTCCTCCTGCAACTCATGTTTATTGCCACAAGGTGGTGGTTTACTCAAAATAAACCCTTCTGAGACCCAAATTGGACACTAGGAGCATTTTCTTTATCAAAATGCTTCAGAACTGATGTGACTCTGTAAAACAAGAATGACCCTCCTCACTTTAAGAGGAAATCATAGACCAAAGCAGGCTGTGCTTCCTCGGATGCCTTCCCGTTTTTCATCGTAGAAGATAAGAATGTATATACACATCTTCGTCTAACCTAACTCCTCTCTCCTTCCAGGTGTAATGTCTTCTTTTTTCCACAAGTAACAGCAGGTCCCTCCTGTGCCTTGCTCTGAGGAAGGCAGCTGGGAGTGGTAGAACTGGGAACTTTAGGGTCAGACAGATGTGGGCTGGATCACAGATACACCTACTACCTGTCTAAGCTTGGGTGAAGCTACTTCAGCTTATTCAGTCAGTCTTAGTTTCCTCATCTTTAAATTTTTTTTTTTTTAAAGAAATGGGGTCTTGTTATGTTGCGAGGTGCCTGGAACACCTAGGCTCAAGCAATCCTCCCACTTCAGCCTCCCAGGCAGCTGGGACTGCAGGTGTCCACCACCATGCCCGGCTTGTTTCCTCATCTTTAAACAGGGAAATAAGACCTACCTTTCAGGAATGTTGTGGAGAGAGGTAATGCGTTTCAAAGTTTCTTGACATTAAAACCAGTATTACTGTTGGCCGGGTGCAGTGGCTTACGCCTGTAATCAGTCCCAGCACTTTGGGATGCCAAGGCGGGTGGATCACGAGGTCAGGAGATCGAGACCCTCCTGGCTAACGTGGTGAAACCCCGTCTCTACTAAAAATACAAAAAAAAATTAGCTGGGCGTGGTGGCGGGCGCCTGTAGTCCCAGCTACTCGGGAGGCTGAGGCAGGAGAATGGCGTGAACCCGGGAGGCAGAGCTTGCAGTGAGCCGAGATTGCACCACTGCACTCCAGCCTGGGCAACTGAGCAAGACTCCATCTCAAAAAACAACAACAACAACAAAAAACCCAAAAAACAGTATTATTGTTGTTGTTGTGAAGGTATCATGCCCCCTTTCCACAGTATAGATACGTTGGGCAGCAGCTTCCCAGCCAAGGATTGCAAGCCATAACTCCCCAGGAGGTTCATCCAAGTTGTTGTGTGGATCAATATTTTAATTCCTTTTTATTACTTCGTATTCCATGGTCTCAGTATATCACCATTTGTTTCAAATTAATATTTGAGTGGGATATGAGGTTTTTTATTTCCCCATATGGATTTCTGGTTGCATAAGCACCATTTGCTGAGAAGACTTTCCTTTACTTCACTGGATTGATTTGGTGTCTTTGTCAAAAACCAACTGGCCATGTAAGTGTGAGTTTCCTTCAGGATTCTCTAGTCTATTCCGCTGATCTAGTTGACCATCCTTATACCAGTACTTGATTACTAGTTGTATAGTAAGTCTTAAAATCAGGTAATCTAAGTCATCCAACCTTGTTTTTCTTTTTCAAAATTATTTGTCTATTTTAAGTTCTTTTACTTTCATACAAATCCTAGAGTCAATCTGTTAATATGTCTGTCTTTAAAAATCCTCTTGAAAATTTGATTAAATTGCATTAAACCTAAAGATTGACTTGGGAAGAATTGACATCTTAATAATGCGGAGTCCTCCAGTCCATAAATAGGATGTGTGTTCCATTTATTCTTTAACTTCAGCAATGTTTTATAGTTGTTAAACCAATCTTGCAAGTCATTTGTATTCATTATGCTATTATTAATGAAATTGACTTTCAAAATTTATTGCCAATTTTGTGCTGCCAGTACATAGAAATACAACTGATTTTTTGTATATTGACTTTGTATTCTGAGATCTTGCTAAACTCACTTATTAGTGCTGGTAGTTTCTTTGTTGATTGTGAGGGTAACTTTGAAAACACAAGATAGTGAGCCATAAAATGGAAGCAGCTAGTCTGAGCCTAACAACCTGCCTTGGACTGTGTTGCATTTTCTTCGTGTCGTAGTAGTCATTGGGGGTTACAATCAAACTGCTCATCTGTATTGTGAGTCCCTGTAGGGCAGGTTGTCCCAGCTACTTCCTAGTGAATCTTTTTTAATGAACCTCAGGTTTCCATCATGACCTGAACGAATGAGCCCTATGCTGCCCACCATTCATGCTTACTGAGAAGTCAGAGGAGATGACAAGGAGACTTCTACATGTTGTAGAGGAAGCTGACCATAGGTCCCTCCTGTTGACCGATGTTTCTCCATGGGTCTCTCATGCATCTGCATATTTTTCAAGCAGAGGCACTGACTGCTTTATTCCCAACAGCCTTTCCAGGAATGTTTATATAGTGAACAACCTTGAAAGATAGAGGTAGTATCTCCTTCTAAAGCAAAGGAAAGGTTTGTTTACAGCCTTGGAAGTTAGAGATAATGTCTCCTTCTGTAGAAAGCATACTTAACTCTTCAGTGTAAAAGCTTTGGTTTCTTGAAGCTAGGATTCTTCTCCTATAACACAACCTGCTGCATGTGCAGGTGTCACCTGGCCCTCTCTGCATTGTCCTATGGGAATCAGTTCAGGAAACCTATGCAAAAATGCTAATACTTTGGTTATTGCTATTGCTTTGAATAATAAACTATCCTTCATCTCTGACCCAGGAGCGACTTATATGTTCTTTCAGCATCCATGATTATGGAAGAATAACTTGTAAGCTTGCAAGGAGGGTAAAATCTCAGATGATTTACAGTTCTTGACACCTCCCTAGAGGTAATGAACTTTGCCCTTGATTGTTGAGCCTCCTAGAGAGCATGCTCTTCCAACCTCCCATTAGAACTCCTTGCCCATACACTTGAAACTTTTGAGGCAGAGCTAGATTTCAGTCAAGCTACAAAGACCTCATTATCGAGGACCACACTCCTCCAGTGTTTCACCCAAAGTTTCCTGAATGGCTGCCCTGGAGATTTGAGGGCTTAATGCTAAAAGGCCTTAAGCATTTAGAGATCTCTAAACATCACTAATATTTAACTCAAAGATTTGTGTGCATTTTATGGAATACAACATACCACATCCGTATTTGTTTTAATGTAAAAATAACACTTTAAAATTCTAGCCATCAGGGATTTTAAAAGTGTTTTCTAACTGTCTTGTTTGTCAAGACATTTGACGTGATGCTACTGGATGATGCTACTGGATTTCAGAAAATTGGGCTAAATTAGAGCAAGCAAGCCCTGCATTTCAAATTCAGCATCCAGGCAATTTTTTTCTTTGACTTGGTATTACAATATTTCAAGTACTAAAACTCATGAAAACATGTGACCACAAATGAAGATCATTTTTCCATTGTTTTACAAACTGGGGCTCGGTTACTGAGAGATGCTCAGGAAGCTGGCCCCAGGCTATGGGTGGCAGAATGTCATTGTGACTATCTCCTGTTGAGAGGCCACATTGTTCATGTGGCAGGGAATGGCTCTTACCTAAGCTGCTGCTGCTTTTTTTTTTTTTTTTTTTGAGGTCTCACTCTGTCACCCAGGCTGGAGTGCAGTGGCCCAATCATCATTGCTCACTGAGCCTCAAACTCCAGGACTCAAGCAATCCTTTCACCTCAGCCTCCCAAGTAGCTGAGACTACAGGCAAATGACACCATTCCCAGCTAATTTTTAAATTTTTTGTAGAGACAGGGTCTTGCTGTGTTGTCCAGGCTAGTCTCAAACTCCTGGGCTCAAGCAATCCTCCCACCTTGGCCTCCCAAAGTGCTGGTGAAACAGCTCCGTTGTCTCAGGATTTACCTGTGGTTCTTTGTCTCACGCCAAGAAAGAGTTCAGGACACCGACACTCATGAGAAGTGGGTTTAGGAGTGGAAAGTTTAATAGACAAAGAAGAGGAGAAAGAGAACTTCCTCATACTGAGAAAGCGGGTCACCCAAGAGGGGGTCTTTGGTTTGGGGTGGAATGCGATCAGTTTTGTAAAGAGGATTGAGGAGGCAGTAATTGATTTACATAGGGCCTAGGGGATTGGTTTGACCAGGTATGACATTTTACAGAGCTCACGAAAAGACTGACTCTTCTGCCATAGTCTTTTATTATGCAAATGCAGCTTCTACCTGGGGGTCACCATGACACTTGGTTTTACCTGGATGGTGCTGTGACACCCGCACATGTGGTGGCAAGGAAAAGGGAGTGAGAACCACAATATTGGGTGGACCTGGCTCTTAGCCACCTGCATTTACATATGCATATCTATGCTTGCAGTCTGAGCTTCCAGGATGTTTTTTGCTAGATATGGTTTGGGGACTGCTTTTCATTAAAGGAAAATTCCACCAAGCCTTTCTAGCTGCCTAAAAATAATTTCTTAATAACTCCTATATTACTGGGATTATAGGTGTGAGCCACAATGCCTAGCCGAAGGTCAGCTTTTTATCAGCTTTCAGGAAATGTTATTAAAGGATTTTTTTTCAGTGAAGAAAGATGTCTGATGCTTTAAAAATGATTTTTTACCCTCCACACTGTCATTTTTATCAAATGTAAGTTTCTGAAAAATTTAAGTTTTTTTTTTTTTTTTTTTTCAAGACAGAGTCTTGCTCTGTGGCCCAGGCTGGAGTGCAGTGGTGTGATCTCGGCTCACTGCAGCCTCCACTCCTGGGAGATTCTCCTGCCTCACCTTCCCAAGTAGCTGGGACTACAGGTGTATGCCACCACACCCAGCTAATTTTTGTGTTTTTTTTTAGTATAGAATGGGTTTCACTATGTTGGCCAGGCTGTCCTGAACTCTTGACCTCAAGTGATGCATCCACCTCGGCCTCCCAGAGTGCTGGGATTACAGGCATGAGCCACCACGCCTAGCCTGAAAATGTAAGATTTTGAGTAAATGTAAGTTACTTAAAAGACCCATAGTCCTTTTCACCCAGCTCCCCCAAAATTGGGGAATTGACCAGAATAGTTTCGTTATTTTAGTTCAGATGACCATAGATTTGCTATCCAAAAAGCTAGCCGCCTCCCACCCCCAGCCAGGTACAGTACTAGTTGTGCGGGCCAGAGACAACAGCAGTAACTCATTCTCCAGCAGTCACCCACCCTATACGTGTCTTTTTACTTGAGCGTGCTCACAGAACCAATACCAGCAAGTGCTCAGAAGTCTTAGTCCATTTTGTGTTGCTCATACCTGAGGCCAAGTCATTGATAAAGAAAGGAGGTTTATTTGGCTCACAATTCTGCAGACTCTACAAGGAGAATGGTGCCAGCATCTGCATCTAATGAGGGCCTGAGGCTGCTTCCATTCATGGCAGAAGGCAAAATGAAGCTGGTATGTGCAGATCACATGGTGAGAAAGAAAGCAAGAGAGAGCACAGAGGAGGTACTGGGCTCTTTCCAACAACCAATTCTCATGGGAACTAAGAGTGAAAATTCACTCATTCCCTTGAGGATGGCATTAGGCCATTCACAGGAATCTGCCCCTATGATCCAAACACCTCTCACCTGGCCTCACCTTCAACATTGGGGATCAAATTTCAACATGAGACTTGGTGGAGCCAAACAAACCACATCCAAACCATAGCATCAGGGCACTCCAAATTACCAAGTCTTTACGTCACTCACTGAATGTGAATTCTGGGATTTCATGAAAAAAACATGGGAATGATTGAGAGAAAAACAGGAGGTGCTTGATTTGGTTTGTATCTGCATGTAACAAAACCACTGAAAAGAATAAAATTTCAAAACTTTATTCTTTTAATTCATTGAGTAAAAACAACACTCCGGGAAAATGAGCCAAGTAATAAATAGCCTGTGACGCCCCAAAGGCTCACACACGTGCCTGGATGTGACAAGCTCAGGCTCTGGGAGGTCTGCCCTGGTCTGGACATGTGCAGTGTGCTTAAGACCATGGAGGAGGCGTGGGGGCTCTTTGCTCCACTGCAGCTCCTGCCTCTCCAGGTCATTTAGTTACCAGAAAAAATGACCAGTTTATTAATACTCCAAACATAGTAGCCATAATTGGAAAATGCGTCCACTGCAGTGGCTGGGCCTGGGTCCTCTTCCCTTTTCAGCTTTATTTCCCAGCATGAAGGGAGAAGTTGTACAATCCTAGAGAAGACTTGCTCCTGAGAACAGGCATGGGGGGAAAAACCGAGCCCAGTCATGAGTAGGATCTGGACAAAGATGTCTAAGAATTAGGACCTCAGTCCACATGCAGGTTTAGCCTACGGCTTCAGGGGAATGAACATACTGTACTGGAAGTCTGCCCTGATCACTCTGTGTCCTTGAGCAGAATTATGCATGGAATCCATGCAAAGGCATTGTATCAGACCCAATTTATTGGGCCCATCTGCTCCCCAGGCCTTGAGCCACTTATGCAATTGAGCCACAGCTGCTACTACCAACACCTCATCTCCTAACACCACCAGCTGTCCCAGCCTTCACTAGGATGAGATCCCAGCCCTGGCAAGGCCTCCATTGTTCTTGCTGAAGCCAGAGTCGCAGCAGGTCTGGCCACAAGCCTTGGCGGATCAGACCCACGAACCTCTGGGCATTCCCACCACCCCCTAAGGCGGGCGAAGCACCACCACACAGGATCTGGGTCCCTCTGTGGCTGCCTGGAGAAGCTGATGATACAGCCTGGAAGTGGAATGAGTGCATCCTGGGAAGGACTTTGAGCCATGAGAGACATAAGACAGGAAAGAGATAAACTCTTCTCCCTAATGAAACTACTCCAGTGCTCAGTGGTTCCAGATGTCTTGCATTTTTGGATGAGGTTATGGTCAGCCTAGTTAGTGCGCCATCTTTCATTTGCTTCCCCACCTTTCCTGCCTCACCTCCCTTTTCCTCTCACTTTTGCTGCCCTGGGATTGTACCTTCCTCCAATAAAGTGTTAGTAAATGCACTTTACACAGTCCGTTTTCTAAGGAACCCAAGCTAAGACAATCTCCTTTCCTACTCTTATTCTGCACTAATCCCCCACAGGAAAACCTTCTAATGTTTCTAATAAGTATTTCCTTTTTTGTATATATATTTGCAGAACATTTTTTGTTGTATGTGCATATGTTTTAAATTTACATAGGGATTATTGTGTTATACACTTTATTTCTCATTCTCTTTCTTTTTCAACCATCCAGTGTTTTTAAGATCCATACATGTTGCTATGTGTGAACATTTGGTCCAGGTGCTGCCTGGTACTTCATGGCAAGCACTCACCACATCTTCCCTATCCACTCCCCAGTGATAAGCATCAAGATTGTTTCTTTTGTTTTTTTTTCTTTTGAGATGGAGTCTCGCTCTGTCGCCCAGGCTGGAGTGCAGTGGCACGATCTCGGCTTACAGAAAGCTCCGCCTCCCGGGTTCACACCATTCTCCTGCCTCAGCCTCACGAGTAGCTGGAACTACAGGCGCCCGCCACCATGCCCGGCTAATTTTGTTTGTATTTTTAGTAGAGACGGGGTTTCGCTGTGTTAGCCAGGATGGTCTTGATCTCCTGACCTCGTGATCCGCCCACCTCGGCCTCCCAAAGTGCTGGGATTACAGGCATGAGCCACCGCGCCCAGCCAGCATCAAGATTGTTTCTAAATCCACCACCTCAAACAATGCTATTCACTTAAACATTATTTGAAACTCTCAGCTATGCGCTGTGGCTCACACCCGTAATCCCAGCACTTTGGGAGGCCGAGGCGGGTGGATAGCTTGAGGCTAGGAGTTCAAGACCAGCCTGGCTAACATGGTGAAAACCTGTCTCTACTAAAAATACAAAAATTAGCCAGGCGTTGTGGCATGTGCCTACTTGGGAAGCTGAGGCAGGAGAACCTCTTGAACCCGGGAGATGGAGGCTGCAGTGAGCTGAGATCACGCCACTGCACTCCAGCCTGGGTGACAGGAAAAAAACAAACAAAAAAAAAAACAAAAAAAAAACCCCAAAAAGCTCTCATCCCACCTGCTTTCCCAAATTAAGCCATGGCCAGTTCCATTTCCTATCAGTAAATTCAGAAATTTCTCGGTTAATTACTGTTTCTCACCACCCATCCCCAACACACCCCTTTGTTGGAGTTACCTTGCAGTTATAAGGGACTTACCTAATGCCAGTGCACAGTGGGTGGATTACCTGTCTACTCTGGCATCTGCAGGGATGTACACGTATGGTGGTATCAGGCTGATATTACCTGCAGATATTCTACATTTTTTCCAGGCTAACTGCAAGGTCCATAGGATCTTCTGGCTTTTTTTTTTTTTTCCTTTCCTTTTTTTTTTTTGAGACAGAGTTTCGTTTTGTCACCCAGGCTGGAGTACAGTGGCGTGATCTCGGCTCACTGCAACCTCCACCTCCCGGGTTCAAGTGATTCTCCTGCCTCAGCCTCCCGAGTAGCTGGGATTATAGGCATGCGCCACCACACCCAGCTAATTTTTTTTGTATTTTTAGTAGAGACGGTGTTTCACCATGTTGGCCTGGCTAGTCTAGAACTCCTGACCTCAGGTGATCCACTCATCTTGGCCTCCCAAAGGGCTGGGATTACAGGCATGAACCACCATGCCCAGCCTTTTTTTTTTTTTTTTTTTTTAATTTTTAAGAGCAGTTTTAAGTTCAGAGCAAAATTGAGAGGAAGGTGCAGAGATTTTCTATATACCTCCTACCCACATACAGGCATAGCCTCCTGGATTATCAACATCTTCCTTCAGAGTGTTATATTTGAGTTTACATTGACACATCATAATCACCCAAAGTCAATAATTTATATTAAGGTTCACTCTTGGTATTGTACAATTCTATGGGTTTTGACAAATGTATAATGACATGTACCTACCATTGTAGATTCATACAGAATCACATCTGCATAGAACTGCAATGAACTTCTCCGTCATCCATTACCATCTTCAGCAAGGTATGGATCTTAGCCTGGTGGTAGAATGTGAAGATGAGGACCTCATCCAGGTTTCTTCCTTCCTTGGGTGCTCTGCCTCAGCCCTAGAGGCTGCCCCTTATATCTGCTGTAATTGTATTCTTTAGAGTTTTCTTTTCCCTTTACTAGGTAATCCCCTCTTACACATAGTATTTTTTTATATTAAAATATCCTTGTCCAAATTATTGTGTGGTTTCTGTATCCTGAGTAAACTCTGACCAATAATACATGGCTATACCAATTTATACTTCTACTTGCAATGTGTGAGAGTTCCAGTTCCTCCACAGTCAATTATTTTAAAGCCTTTGTCTACCAATCACAACATCTGGATGATCTGTGTGTCTTCTTCTATTGTCTGTTTTTTTCTCTTGCTTATCAATGATATTTTCATGCCTTTTCACAAGTCTATTTTTTACTATATGTAGACATTATATGTAAGAGGCATAGAGACTCCAGATGATATAATTTGCCACACAGTGTTCTCTCTTTCTTCTGTTAAGCAGATGGGGGTAAGGAATGATCACATCAGTCCAGTGAAGGATTGAAGTGGGTTGGGACTGGGTTTTGGTTTTTGGAATCTATCTATCTCAAGTCTATCTCTGGTTTGCCCCTATACCTGACATGTGGATTTTGGGTGAGTGCCTTGCCAGGTTTCTGGATCCTCAGCCATGAAAGACTATGGAGATTCAGCTCTGCTTTTCAGAGGTTCCCGGTCCAGCTTCCAGACTCTGTCTCCATGGAGCTTCAAGATCTGGCCAATGTCTTGAGGTGGGAGTTGGCTCTGTGTTTGGGGAAGGCCCTTCCTTCTTGGGAAACTTTCGTTTTCTAAGCACTGTGGGACCGTAGAATATTTCAACCTTTTTTTTTTTTTTTTGAAACAGGGTCTTGCTCTGTTGCCCAGGCTGGAGTGCAGTTGGTGCAATCAGAGCTCACTGCAGTCTTGACCTCCCCAGCCCAAGTGATTCTTTCATGTCAGCCTCCTGAGTAGCTAGGACCACAGGTGCACACCACCACATCTGGCTAAGTTTTATTTTTTCTTTGTAGACATGGAGTATCCCTGTGTTGCCCAGGTTGGTCTTGAACTCCTGGGCACAAGTGATCCTCCTGCCTCGGCCTCCCAAAGTGCTGGGATTACAGGTATGGTCCACTGCATCCGGCCCTATTCTGCTTTTAGATGCATTCCTAGGTGCAGAACTCAGCAAATGTCAGGTGCAGAAAATTGGTTTTGTGTTTAAAGCTCCCGTGTTCTAATTTGTCATTCTAGCACCTGTGGTCACTGAACGCTTTGCTGGTTTCCCTTTCCTCCATTACAGGTCCTCCTGCTAGGCAAACTTGATCATCAGCAAGTGCCCCAAACTCACAAATGTCCTGGGGATGAGGGAACAGCTGGGGAGCCTCATCTCATTTTGTTGCCTGCTAAATCCTACCTAGAAGAGGAAATCGCCTAGGCTTTTGAAACTCAAAACTTTTCTTTTTAAACAGTTGTCTCTAGCATGTGTTTCAGTATTTTAGAGTTGACTTTTTTTTTTTCCTTGACAAATTTCTGCTGCATTATCACTACCCTGAGGCTCTGGGTGTCAAAAAATGGAACAATGTTTTTCAAACTGTAGGTTACAATCCATTAATGGGGCACAAAATTGATTTAGTAGGTCATGCTAGCGTTAAATTTTGTTTCGTGTATGTGCATTTGTGTGTGTGTGTGTTCTGGTTTGCAGTGTAAAACCTATTTCTTCCTATGGATTACAGCCCACAGTGTTTAAAAGCTGCTGAACTTTAGTTTAACGGAGTAAGAGTTAAGGGAAGAAAAACAAACATTATCAGAAACCAACACATTAGCTGAGTATGGACAACTTTTGGAGAAGTTTAGCCGTTAATGGGAAGGAGATTGATTGGAAGCTTCTCTTCTAGCCCCAGATAGCAAGAGCGAGCCCATGTAAGGAATGAACTATAAGTATCAGAGAAGAAAACCTTATGAGGCCTAGCTCCTAATGAAGCTGGAGGAGGTGGTAGGTGTGGAGGGCTGTGTTTTAGTCCATACCCCTCTGCTGCTATAACACACAATAACATAGACAGAGTAATTTACAAAGAAAAGAGATTTATTTGGCTCACAGTTCTGGAGGCTGGGGAGTTGAAGAGCATGGCACTGGCATCTGGTGAGGGCCCTCCCATGGCAGAAGGCAGGCAGAAGCTAGCATGAGACAGAGAGAAAATTGGACCAAACTTGTCTTTTCTATTAGGAACCCACTCCCTGTAATACTAACCCATTCCCACAGCAATGGCATTAATCAGCTGTGAAAGGCCCCACCTCTAGCAATTAATTTCAACGTGAGTTTTGGAGGAGACATTCAAGCCACAGCAGGGTAGCAGGGAGGAGTAAAGATGAGAAGTGATTGGGCCTGGATTGGTAAAGTCCATGAAAACTCTGAAAGCAGAGTATAAGTTTTTGGCATTACATCATGGGCAGCCCAGGGGAAGAAAGGCCTTGTACTTGGCACAGAAGAAGGGTCAGCTTGAGGAATGAATAAGCATAGGTCGTGGGGGCAAGGTTCTTTTGCTAGCCCATGGTTGGTGCTTCAGGGTCACCAAAAGATCTAATTCCAGCCGCAGGCCCAGTGACTAGAATGAGCACTCGTCTCCTATTCACCTTATCCCTGCTCCGCCAACACCAAACACACACTTGTCCATCAAGGCCACTTGGCATGGGAGAAGAGTATAGGCTTTGTGGTCAGAAGAGCCTGATTCTTAGTCTACCAGCTGTGTAGGATTGGGCTCACAGTCTCCTTATATCTAAGACAGGGCTCAGATGACCTACAGCACAGGGTCAGACCCATCACTATGTCTGGTGTCAGGCACGCTGTGAGTGCTCAGAAACTCACGGCTTCTTTTACCCTTAGGGAATACACTGAAGTTGGGAGGTTTTTTGTTTGTTTGTTTGTTTGTTTGTTTTTGAGACAGAGTTTCACCCTTGTTGCCCAGGCTGGAGTGCAATGGTGCGATCTCGGCCCACTGCAACCTCCACCTTCTGGGTTCAAGTGATTCTCCTGCCTCAGCCTCCCAAGTAGATGGCATTACAGGCATGCGCCACCATGTTTGGCTAATTTTGTGTTTTTAGTAGAGGTGGGGTTTCACCATGTTGGTCAGGCTGGTCTCAAACTCCTGACCTGAGGTGATCCACCTGACTCGGCCTCCCAAAGTGCTGGGATTACAGATGTGAGCCACCGCGTCTGGCCTGAAGCTGGGAGTTCTAGAGGAAGGCTGGGCCACAATGACCTGGTTGACTTCCAGCCCCAAGGTCCCAAGCCCCCACGTTTGCTGCTGAACTAGGCACCAGTTTGGATTGGCTCTGAGGCATGGCACTCAGCAAGCCTCAGGGCAGAGAGGCAAGTGTAGGACATGTTGCAGTGGATGAAGTATGTTTGTTTTGTCCTGCTCTGGGTCAGTTCAGTGGCTCTGACTTTAGCCAGAAATTGGCTCCTGGCCCTGTGTCTGACCTTGGACCTCTGTGGATTAAATTTGGGCCTGAGCCTTGCCTGGGTTTTTGGCTAGGTGTCTGGCCTTCTGCCATGCCTCAAACACACCTGATCAGCCAGGCACATCTGCCAGAGACTTTGGAAAGACTTCTGCTCAATCATCCTTCAGCATATAAGGTTTTCTCCTTCCCTTCTCAGCCTAGCTAATTTTTGTTTTTTGAGATGGAGTTTCACTCTGTCCCCCAGGCTGGAGTGCAGTGGCAGGATCTCAGCTCACTGCAACTTTCGCCTCCCGGGTTCAAGCAATTCTCCTGCCTCAGCCTCTCTAGTAGCTGGGACTACAGGCACCCGCCACCACACCTGGCTAATTTTTGTTTTTTTTTTAGTAGAGACGGGGTTTCACCATATTGGCCAGGTTGGTCTTGAACTCCTGACCTTGTGATCTGCCTGCCTTGGCCTCTCAAAGTGCTGGGATTACAGGCATGAGCCACCACACCCGGCCCTAGCTAATTGTTATTTGTCCTTCCAGATGTGGCTCAGTCATCAGCTCTCACAGAAGTCCTTCCCTTGGCACTTGCCTCCTCGCCATATTGGATTAGGTGCCCTTCCTCTGGTCTTCCACAGTCCCTGTGCTTCTCTGTTCCACACCACTTGCTCCTCAGTTGGCACTCAGCTTGCTTGAAGGCAGGTCTCTGCCCCAGTGCCCGGTACTCAGTAGATGCTCTGGCAGTGTTTACTGGATGAATGAAGCTTTTCTGCTCAGTGGCTCTGTTCTCTAAGCCCCCATTTGCCAGCAACTGAGCCACAACTTGTATTTCAAGGTTCAAAGAGCAGAGGAGGCAGCTCAAATGGAACAGCCCATCCGCAATCGCAATCTGCAAGATTTACTCTCACCATTAGGCAATCTTAGGTAGGTCAAGCACAGTGTCTCACACTTGTAATCCCAGCACTTTGGGAGACCCAGATAGGTGGATTGCTTGAGTCCCAGGAGTTCGAGATCAGCCTCGGGAACATCTCTACAAAAAGTACAAGAAGTAGCCAGGCATGGTGGTGCACACCTATAGTCCCAGCTACTCAGGATGCTGAGGTAAGAAGATGTCTTGAGTCCGGGAGGTCGAGGCTGCAGTGAGCTATGATGCTATGATCATGCGACTGCATTATAGCCTGGGTGACAGAGCGAGACTCTGTCTCAAAAAAAAAAAAAAAAAAAAAAAAAAAAAAGGAGAATCCCAGGTACCTGGGTATGACTATTAGCTGTTTAAGTTCCATTTCTGAGAAGAGGTATTATTACAGATATGTGTATAAAAGCAGTATAAAGACATCTCTTTGACTCTTGCATAGATGTTGGCTCAGCTCAAGCTGAGGGCATGGTCAGGGTCTTGTGCCAGTCAGGGCCCAAGAGAGGACATCTCTTACATGGGGAGCCCACGAGGGGCTGACAGGCCACCAGGATGTACAGATCCCTGCCCGCCTTCCCAAGTTCTGTGGTAAATAGAGGGGGTTGAGGGAGTCAGGTTCCAGGGCAAACCTAGACAGTCGAGGTAAACTACTGTCCCTCAAGCCTTCTCCCCAACCAGGTCTTTTACTCCCTACTGCCAAGGAGAGATACTCTTGATGGCACCCAACCTGCTGTCCCCTTCCTGGGGGACACTTGGGGTCTACAGGGTCTTTGGAGCAGCAGGTGGGAGTGGAGGCACAGGGGGTGCACAGCAGCTCCCACCAAATGGCTGCATGGGTGGCTGGGATGCCAAAGGAAGCCTGCATGGGATTAAGAGCCTCAGCATGGCAGGCAGAGCCAGCAGCACTGTGAGGCTCCCTTAGGCCTGGGGCAAACCTGAGAAGGGAGTGGGTTCCCTGGACATGTAAAGCTGGTTCTAAGTCATTGAGGTCCACCCAGAAAAAGAATGTCCTCAGAAATGATGCTGACAATCAAAACCACAATGAAATGCCATTTCGCCCCCAATAGGATGACTAGAATAAAAAAAGACACACAATTACAAGTGTTTGCAAAGATGTGGAGATATTGGAACCCTCATATGTTGTTGGTGGGAATGTAAAATGGTGCAGCTGCTTTGGAAAACAGTTTGGCAGTTCCCCCAAAAGTTAAACATGGAGTTAACATATGATCCAGGAATTCCACTCTTAGGTATATACCCAAGAGAAAGAAAAGCATATGTTCATACAAAGACTTGTACATGAATATTCATAGCAGCTTTATTCACAGTAGCCCCAAAGCAGAAAACTAAATATCCATCAAGTGATGCAGGGATAAACAAAACGTATAGACATACAGTGAAATATTACTCAGTCATGAAAAGGAATGAAGTACTGCTACATGTTACAACATGAATAGATCATTAAACATTGGTTACTGAAAGAAGCTAGTCATAGTCACAAAAGGCCACATGTTGTATGATTCCGTTTATAGAAAATGTCCTGAATAGGGAAATCCATAGAGATTGAAAGTAGATTAGTGGTTCCCAGAGGCGGAGGAAAGGGGTGAATGAGGAGTGACTGCTAACGGGTAGTTCTTTTTGTGAGGGGCAGGGGAGGGGAGTGGGAAGTGGTGAAAATGTTCTGGAATTAGCTCATGGTGATGGTTGCAAAACTTTGTGAATATGCTAAACACCACTGAATCGTACACTTTTTTTTTTTTGAGACAGCGTCTCACTCTGTTGCCCAGGCTAGAGTGCAGTAGCGCAATCTCGGCTCACTACAACCTCTGCCTCCCGGGTTCACGTGATTCTCCTGCCTCAGCCTCCCGAGTAGATGAGATCACAGGCACGTGCCGCCATGCCGGGTTGACTTTTGTATTTTTAGTAGAGACGGGGTTTCACCATGTTGCCTAGGCTGGTCTTGAACTCCTGACCTCAGGCGATTCACCCGCCTCGGCCTCCCAAAGTGTTAGGATTACAGGCGTGAGCCACCGCGCCCGGCTTGAATTGTACACTTCAAAAGGTGGAATTTTATGGTGTTGAATTATATCTTTATTTTTTTAACGGGGGGAAAATGACGCCGCTGGAGAGGAGTTAGCGGAACTGAAACAATGAAATGGTGCGCGAGTGTCGCCTGTCCCCGTCGCATCCATCCCAACGAAGTTTGGGCCCTGGAACGGTGCACCCAGAAGGCCTGCGGGGAGAGACGCTGGGGCATGATCTGGAAGAAAGACGTCTCAGGATTCGAAGGGAATGCAGCTAAGGTGGCGGCGGAGGTTCGCCTAGGACTGGGGAGGCGTCCCTAGGCTCAGAAGTTGGCCCGGCCGGAGCGGAGATTTAAAGGTTGGAGCGCAGAGGCTCTTAAAGAGGCCGAGTCGAATTCCCACTCGGCGTCCACCTTAAAGCCAGCTCCCCGGCACCACGGATCTGACCCGGGTAAGTGCTGGGCCGCGGGAGAGGCTGCGGCGCCGACCCCAGCCCCTGGCGCTCTAGCGCGCCCTGCCGGGCCCAGGGGACTCGGCGCGGGTGGGCTGGACTTCGTAGGCGCGCGTCCTGGGGGCCGGGGTGCACGCGGGGGCGACAGGGTCGAGGCACCCGGCCCGGGCTCCCCACTGGCGCGCCCGCAGCGGCGCTCTATTTTTAGCAGGCGCTGTGGCAATATAAGGAATGCGCGGCGCGCTAGGCGCTCGGGGCGCACGCTGGCGGCGCGGTCGCTTTAAGGAGGCGCCGGGGCGGGGACGGACCGGAGTGGCCGGCTGGCGGGGAGCCGTCAGTCCGGCGGCCGCGGGGCCCGGCGGGCGCGACGCTGCCTCCTCACCGGCGCAGGCTAGGAGGGGGCGGCCTGAGTGCCGTAGCCGAGCCGGGGCTGGAGCGCGCGGTGAGTGGTCGGGCGGCCTTGGAGGGGAGGGGGCCCGGCCGCGCCGCCTCTCGCCCCGGCCGTCGCTTTGTTCCGGGGCGGGAGGTGTGGCCGCCCTCCGGGCTCGGCCGCGCTCTCCGCTTGCGGGGTGCGCCCTGGGACCGGCTGTGCGTGGCGTTTTGCCCCCATCGCGGGCTCCCGCGTAACGGTGTGCGTTCGTGAAATCGGCCACGACCAAGACCCCAGTGGGGAGGGCCTGCGCGCCGCTCAGAGAGACCCTTTCATGGTAATTACAGTTCCTTGGCTGCCTGGGCGAGAACCCGGTGGATAGATGGGCGGCAGGACGGGGCGGCGGGGGATGGGTGGGTGGGTGGGGGACTCTTTACCCCCCCGCCTTAAGATGGCGTTAACGAGGGGAGGGATCCGCCAGGGAGTTGACAAATTCATCTGAATAATAAAACGCAGCCTGCTTCATAAACAACCCTTCACTGCCCCCGGAGGTTTGGGGAGCTGGAGCTGTGGTCACAACTAGGGCCTGGGCTCATGCATTGAACTGATCTGGCTGAGGCATCAGACACGGTGCCAGTCCTGCCCTGCGGGGAAGACAAGAGCACAAAGTGACAAGCCAGTGTGGTAAGTGCTGAGATTCGGTAAGCCCAGGGGTTGTGGGAGCCCCTAGGGGTCCCTACTGCAGAGTGGGAGGTGAGAGAAGGCCGCCTAGAGGAGTTAATGTCTGGCTGGCCGCAGCGTATACACTGGACACCCAGTTAGACTCTGGCTAGAGCTGAGGTCTGTTCTGGCCTGGGGCAAAGTGGAGTCTGGAGAGGTGGACAGAGTCCATCAAGGCCACTGGGGCCTTGATCATAGAGCTCTGCCATTGCCCCTACTCCCCAATGGCCCCTGATGGTGTGGAACCTCCCTGGCCTTGCTCCTCTAGGACTCACTCTGTCCTGGACCTGACCAGAGAGGGTGGCTGACAAGGCTCGGAATCGTGGCCTCCAGAGGTTTGTCTGGCAGCAGAAGTAAGATGGAGATATGACTTTAAGAGCTCTGAAACTCCACTGTAATAACAGCAACCAACAGGGCTTCCAAAGACCAGGCACTTGAAGTGGATTTGCTCATCATTTGACAAGACACCTCTTGACAAGACACCTCCAGAAGGATTTTGTTTATTGTAAAGGATGGAGGAACTGGGGTGAAAAAGAGCCAACAGCTTGCCCAAGATCATATCTGAAGTCCATGCTTTTGGCCACGTGGCTGTCCTGGGCTTCGGAAGGCTCTGGTGCAGCCTGTGTTAGAGTTTTGTAATATATTGTTTTATAATTATTCACTATAGACATTCACTGGTGGGTTGAAGTGTGAGGCAGTGAGCTGTGGGTATTAATAACTGACTCGTGTCAGAAGCTTAGCAGTGAACAAAGCACTTTCTCGGATACGGTTCTTAGAGCTTCTCCTGCTTCTTTTCCCGGGGAAGAAACTTGAGCTGCTAACATTTTGTAAACCTCCTAATTTCCTGTAAATCACATGTCCCTGCTGAGTGGGGCTGAAAATGTTTCGGGCAATGGTTTTCACCCTTAGGTCTGTTCACACTGCCCAGCAGCCAGTTAGCTTCTCTCTGTAGTTTATGGTGTAGTTTGTCCTTTTTCTGCCGGGGTGGGAGGCATGGGGCTTTCATGCTCTGGGGTTTTTGAGGTCTGCCAGCCTCTGGGGAGGGAGGTGTTGGGCAAGCCTCGTGCTCTGGTGGAAACTGACCCCCTAGATGTGACCTCGGCATTTCCTAAAGCTGGGGGCGGGACTGGGGTAGGCGGTAGTCAAGGCCCTTTGGTGAAGCAAGCGATTGTCTCCAGCGTTGTCAGCTTCGCTCCTCCATAAGACAGTTGCTAATTTCCACCTCTGTTTTCACCTACATAAGACACTTTATGACAGGTTTAACTTTTATGTTATTATTAGCTCTAGCCACTGGTATTTCATACTCAGTTCGTCTGAGCTACTTATAAAGTGACAAGTCCAGCCAGGGCAACATGGTGAAACTCCGTCTCTACAAAAATTAGCTGGGCCTGGTGGCATGCACCTGTAGTCTTAGCTACTTGGGAGGCTGAGGTGGGAGGATTGCTTAAGCCCAGAAGGCAGAGGTTGGAGTGAGCCATGATCACGCCACTGCACTCCAGCTTGGGTGACAGAGCAAGACCCTGTCTCAAAAAAAAAAAAAAAAAAAAAAGTGACAAGTCAGTTACCCTTGGGGTTGGTTTGGTTCCTAAGCTCTAGTGATCACCTGGAACCAGGAATGACTATTGGCCTCTGATAAATTAGGCTCCTGGGATGACTGGTCCTAACCTCAGTCAGAATCACATGTTGACCAGCCTCCTGGATCTAGTGAGTTCTCAGGGAAATGTGGCTTCCATAATATATTTCACATCAGATTTAACCATTGTAATCTGTTCTGCCAATGAAATGCCCCCAAACAGAGTGTGTCTCCCTGAAAGCAATTGAAAAACATACCTGCTCATGAGCATTGTGTAGTTTGTACAAGCATACTCATGTGAACTGAATGGGAATGCATTCTTGTGCAATGCTGGAATGTTCTTAAGTGTCCAGAGGATGTGCATTGAGTTCCAGAGGCTCTGTACCTGCCAGGCCCTGGGCAGGCATAGAAGGTACAGTCACCTTTATCTGGAGACAGGTAAAAAAGGAGCTGGAGGAGTTCCCTGAGACCTGGGACACCTGGCAGGTACCCATTGTCTAGGGACTCAGCAGAGAATTCAAGCTTTAAGAGGAATTTTCTTGCTGGACTCTGAGTCCCTGTCAGCCCTCCTAAGTCTTAGATCATGCCTCTGAGCCCTGTAGTACTGAATCAATGGGGATGCTTTGGCTGCAAGTAACAAAACCCAAATAACAGTAAGTAAGATTAAGCAGAGCTCAGATCTCCCAAAGATGCTCTCTGCTCTTGGAAGGTCTCTGTACACAGGAATGGGATATCAGTGCCACTTCCAGCAAGTTCCTGCATGGGACAGGTAGCCATAAAGGCTGAGTGTCTGGAGTTCAGAGTAATAGGTTTTGTCTTCTTGAGTCACAGCCTCTTTAATATGTTGATGAGAAGCCCAGGGAACGTTGATGTACAAAGTTGGACATATAATTCAGGGGATTCATGGATCTCTGAAAACCAGCCCTGGATCCCAGTTTAGCCATCTCTGATCTAAAGGCACGTGACTTCTCTAATGTTCATGGCAGACCTATTCTGTAAGCCCATTGTGCAGCCAAGTCAGCATGCCATTCCAGTGCAGTGTGAGAGGGCAGAGATGGGGGCCAAGAGTACAAATAGAGTGGGACAGTTGTCATTGCCCAGCCTGTGAGTTGAAGTCTGTGCAGTCAGCCAGTGGGTCTGACAAAGAGGGCAGTGCTGGCACTGCCTCATGCTTCCGCAGAGGTGATGAGGTTCAGGCTGAGGTGGAGACCACGCTGCACTCGCCATGCATTCAATGGTGCCCCATCTCTTGTTCTCTAGGAAGCATTCCCGCTACCTGTGTGATGCAGTTGGTTCCACCTATTCCCAGAGACTCCACCCTGGCCCTCCTTGCCCTGGCCCCCAGCACTGAGCCCCTAGGGCCATTTAGCTGGCCAGCATGATCTAAGACAGCTTTCTGCAGGCATTCCTCTTGTAGGAGTCATGAAGCAGCAATGTGTATTTTGCTTCTTTTTGTTGTTGTTATATTAAAAAATATTTTTATATTCTAGTCCAATCCTTATTATTTGATTTTTTTGGTTATATGTTATATATAAAAATGTATTTTTTGTATTTTGCTTCTTAATGTCCCTATCATTGTCTTTAATATTCTTGGTAGCTTCACTAGGTGGGGACTGCTGCATGACAATGTGGGTCATCACCGGTTGCTGAAGTGACCTTCTGAGTCTCAGAGGGGTATAGTCCTCGCATCAGGCTACCTTGACGGATAAAACAATATGATTTACATATGGGTTGTAGTGCTAGTAAGATTTTGGAGAGCACCAATAATGAATTCGGCTGTGCAGCTTGTAGTGGCCAAGCAAAGGAGGGTGGGTGGAGAGTTGGGAGCTCTGGTTCTGGCCTCTGTGACCATCTGTAGGGCCTTGTCTGGATCCTGTGCTGCCTGGGCCCAGGCTGCATCTGTGACTTCTCTGCCCAGCCCTCAGTGTCGTCATGGGGATTAGATAAAATATACACGTGAAAATACGCTTGGGAGGCCAGAAAGGGCTGGAAGAATGAAGACCACTACCAGTATTCAAGCAACCTTCGGAGGACAGAATCCTAGACCCAGAAGGAGCCCCCTGAGTGTATTAAGTCGAGTCACACCCCGTAGAGCACATTTCTCATAGTGGTGAGGAAGATGATTTTAGGTGGGACACAGCATCTTTCATTTTAATAGTTATATGCTGGTTTATTTGAATGTATTATAAAAATACAGGCATCAGAACAAACTGGGAGTTTTTTAATGGATATTTTGCCCAGATTAAGGCTAAAGAAGTATTTTAAGTAAAAAAAAAGAAAATTTTTAAAAGTATGGTGGTTTTCAGATTAAGCTAGTTATAGTACAATAGTAGACAAATATGGCCCAAATGGGAAAGTGAGCCCTTGAGGAAAGGCTGGGAAACTTTCCACAAGGGGAGTCCTTCCTTCCCTGACAGCCCATTAGGGGTGTGTCTTTGACTTCACCTGGACCCTTCTAGAGACACAGTGTCTCTACCCTTTGAGTCAGTCCACTGCATTTGCGGATTCTCTCATTGTTGGGAAGTTCTTTCCCTTCTTCCCTTAACCTGTCCCACATGAACCTTTGACAGTCCTGCTTTTCTCCACCATGAGCAGCTTTACTTTCTTCAACTGCTCTTCAAATGTCATAGTTTAAAAACAGCCCCTCTGTATGTCCGTCCTTTCTTCCATCCATCCTTGCAGCCACCCACCTACCCGTCCATTCATTGATCCATCTCTCCATCCATCTTTCCTTCAGCAAAGACTTGTGGGCTGGACCCTGTACTGTATACTTTATATTCGCTATCTCTAAGCCTCACAAAAATTGTGTTAGATGTAGTTAACCTTTTATAGATGTGGAAACCGAGGCTCAAGGAAGTTAAGTAGGTCACCTGCAGTCATAACCTGAGAGAAGCAGAGTCAGAAAGGAATCTGGCCATGGTCTGTCTCTTCCTGAAGTGCATGCTCCTTCCGTTAGACCGTGCTGTTCCCAGCACTGGGTGACCAAAAATGTCATGATCCCTTCTCTCCTGGTGCTTAGGGGACCTATCCCATGGAGGTGTGGCTCTACATAATCAGTGCAGTGGGCAAAGGCCTCATGAGGAGCAGGGATGGAGCAGCCTGTGCACAAAGATGTGGTGAGGCAGCAGAGGTGCAGAAGACGCTGGCTGGCAAAGAGAGGCAGCGAGTCCCTCGCTGGCAGGAGTCTTCCCTGACTGTCATTAATCTTACAGTCACAAATGAACCCCTAAATCATTTGTGCACTTTTTTTTTTAATTTTGAAAAAGAAAAGTGTAAAGGGTAGTATAACAAATACCATGTACCTATTACCCAAGATGAACAGATGTGACCATTTTGTCTGCACTTGATCCTTTTCACAGTAGGGCTGGACTTAAAACCAGACCACTCATCCTTTGCCCTGGCCAGTTTGGCCCATCCTCAGCCTGCAATGGGCTTTTGGGAGCCTTGCTCCTGAGTTTTCATGTATTGGCTCTCTCTTGGGGCTTCATGTCCTCAGTTAATGCCAGTGGGCCTCCCTAGAAGTTGTTGACTAAAGAGGCTTTTGCTGCTTCTGACCACATTGTGGAGAAGCCACTCTGGGGAGAGTGTGTGTTTTTGGCTATGATCTTTTTCAGAGAAGTTCATCTACCCTCACAAACACCTGCCTTGACCATTGTGGGTTTAGCCAAGCTGTAGAGCATGGTTTAGTCATAGCTGCCTAAACTGAACTGTAATATTAATGATAGGTTTGTATGTTTGGAAGACAGAGAAAACATATTCTCTTTTTATAATTATATGACAATGATAACAAAATGCTTTTTGTTGTTGTTAGCAGTGAAGTCTCACTCTGTTGCTTAGGTTGGAGTGTGGTGGAGCAATCATAGCTTATCACAGCCTCGAACTCCTGGGCTCAAGCCATCCTCCTGCCTCAGCCTCCTCAGTAGCTGAGACTATAGGCATGTGCCACCATGCCCATCTAATTTAAAAAAATTTTTTTTGTAGAGATGGGGTCTCCCTTTGTTGTTCAGGCTCATCTTGAACTCCTGGTGTCAAGCGATCCTCCCACCTCGACCTCCCAAAGTGCTGGGATTATAGGCATGAGCCCCCACACCTGGACACAAAATACATTATATACTCTAAAGTATAGGATTACTTTAAGAGAAGGAAACTAAAAGTATGATGGCTTACTTTGTAATCCATAACTTCACAGTTTTCCCTTCCTGCAGCTTTCACAGAAAAAACCAGGTGCCTGGTACTGGGTCCTTCTCTCTGCCAAGCAGGAGTAAGGCGGCAGAGCCAACCCTGCATCTGCAGTTAGAAGCTCTCCATGACGACAGGACGCAGCTTCTCACCCAACTGTTTGCAGCCTTCTCCTTTCCACCTACTGATTGACTCCTGAGCTGAAGCCTGGTGTTATCCTGTTTGCATGTAGTTTGCCATGAGTTAGAACAGTGAGTAAAGCTCTGCTTTTTAAAGCTGTGCAGAAAGATTCAAAAACTTCTGGAAAGGCTTTCTTATCCAGGGCAGATTCTTGTCAGTCCTTATTGGGGACCGAGATTTCATCTGGTTTCATAATAGATAGTGGGGACCTGCGGGAGACCCCAAGTCCTCTTCATTAAGTGCTGAGAATGTCTTGAAACATTTTCCTTCCCTGAGTTGCCCTTAAAGAATAACACCACCAGGCTGGATGCAGTGGCTCACGCCTGTAATTCCAACACTTTGGGAGATTGAGGCAGGAGGATCACTTGTGGTCAGGAGTTCAAGACCAACCTGGCCAACATGGTGAAACTCCGTCTCTACTAAAAATATAAAACTTAGCTGGGCGTGGTGGTGTGTGCCTGTAGTCTGAGCTACTCCAGAGGCCAAGGCAGGAGAATTGCTTGAACCCGGGAGGCAGAGGTTGCAGAGAGCTGAGATCGCGCCACTGTGCTTCAGCCTGGCGACAGAGAGACTCTGTCTCAAAGAATAAAAATAAAAAATAGCACCACCAGATCCTTTTCCCTCATTCTGATGGAGATGCTGCAAAAGCCAGCGAAGGCTGGGTGCTGAGAGACCTCAGAAGGCCCTGCTTTACTGGGGCTTATCTTGCAATGGAAGCCGTACCAGTGAAGGCAGTTGAACATATTATACAACCAGTGCCTATGAGATTATGTGGAAATCCACATATGTGTTATACTTACAGGCATACCTTTTTAAAGACAAGTTTGGGTTTAAAAAGAAACTACTTGGCATACTGTATATTAGGCTGGCCCTAGTATACCAAGTACACAGATTAAATGTAAAAGTATTTGTGGGCATGTGGATCTGTGGGGAGATTGCTGGAGTGTAGTGGATTCAGGAGACTCCCCCACCCCTTTAGGAGCTGACCATTTATGGGGGGTGTTGGCGGCAGATTCTTGCCTCTCAAAAGCATTATGTATTCATTTCAAAAGCAAAATTAATTTTGGTTCAGTTTAGCTTTTTTTCCTGATCCTTTAGAATTTCAACGTGCCTTCTTGAAAATTCTCCCTTTTTAGATAACCCACAAATTCATTTCTTTATATTTTCACTCCACTGGAAATGGAGGCTCAAGGAGGAGACAGGCAAAGCCGTCTTTCTTGGCCAACACTGCTCTCACCAGTCTATCATGGTCTTCTTTCAATGTCTGCTTTATTATAACCAGAGATGATAGAAGGAGGGTGGGATCACTGTCCCGAAGACTTGGGGGCGTATATTTTTAAAAACTTCTATGAGCTATGCCTCCTTAGCCTTCCCTCTCCACCCACATTCCTCAGGTTGAGGTTCCTGGGGCAGAGCTGGAAGGCCTAGTCTGTCTCATGCTCCTGCTGAGGAAGTCCAGCCCAGGAGAGGCCAGGTGCCCTGGCACTCCCAAGCAATTAAGGCCAGCTGGCATCATAGCCTTCCCATCCACCCCTACTCACTGACCCCGTCCCCCCGTCCCACCCACCGCAGTGGACAGCTGCCTGAATCCACTAATCTGGGGCTGGGTGGGTGTTTCCTGCATGTTTGAGATTTTAGGAGGAAATCAAAATAAAGAAACAAAGCCTTTGTTTTATTTCTGGACTCCCAACTGGGTATGGCTGGAGGGATGGAAAGCAGGGAACAGGAGGAGCAGGTCACTTGGCACTTCAACAAAATAACCATTCTAATAGAGCATTTAACAGGAACTTTTTCTATTTAGGGTTGGGGTGGGTAAATAGGAAAGACGGCAGGGCTGGGAGAGCCCCTTTGTGTGGAAGGAGAAGGTGGGGCCGCCCTTGCCCCAAGCGGGGCCTCTGGCAGTGCCTGGTGTTCAGGCAGGGAGGGGTCTGAGGCCACCCAGCCGGGCTGCAGAATTGGCAGCCTGGGGACTCAGGGACTTTCAGTCCTCCCTTCCTGAAGGAACCCTCTGCTCCAGTTCTGTCCCACTACTTGTCTGTGTGAATCTCCACCTCTATAGCCTCCTCTTCCATATCTGTAATGGGAGTATCCCAGCCACACTCTGGCCTTTCTTCTCTAGTCCAGTTATACTGGGTCAGGCTCTCACCTGACATGTGGAAATGAAGAGGTACATCCCCCAGTATTTCTTAATTCTTCCAAAGGATTTTCTCCTTGTAGAAATTCTCTGAGGGTTTCATTTATTTTCTTTAAAAATTGCCCAAGTATTGATGACAGCCCTCCCCATCTGCAGTATTTCTGAAGATTTCAGGGTATGGGCCATGCCCACTGGCCGCCTGGCCTCCACTCCACTTTGCCCCATGTGCATACAGTAAGGTTGGCTTCTTCATCTGCTAAGCCACTATTATTGCATGTAACAGGCATCCACCAAGGGCTTTTAAGAAAGGGAGTTGTCTGCAGCCCAGATCAGGGCAGAAGTTAAAAATGAATGTCAGACACCCTCCCCTTGCTTGCTCACACCCTTGGAGAATGTCTCTGTGGCTGTCTCCTCAAACCTAGTTTACTGCTATTTTCCAGGGACCAATTTTCCTGGATACTTTCCCCCAGACCTTCTGAAAACTCCAAATTTTCATTACTTTTGATTGCAGAACAAGGATAACAATCTGTCTTAGACTAGGCTGTGGGCTGCCCTTGTCAGATGTAAAGGGGTCTGGGCATGGTGGCTCACGCCTGTAATCCCAGCACTTTGGGAGGCTGAGGTGGGTGGATCACTTGAGGTCAGGAGTTCGAGACCAGCCTGGCCAACATGGTGAAACCCCATCTCTACTAAAAAAATACAAAAATTAGTGAGGCCTGGTGGCATGTTCCTGTAGTAACAGCTACTTGGAAGGCTGAGGCAGGAGAGTCGCTTGAATCCAGGAGGCAGAGTCTGCACTGAGCCAAGATTGTGCCATTGCACTCCAGCCTGGGCGACAGAACAAGACTCTCTCAAAAAAAAAAACAAAGATATAAAGGGGCCATTAAATAACTCATCTAAAAAAGAATTAGGCACTCTAGACCTTACCTTTACCTACAGTAAGAACCAGCAGAAGTGCTGGGATTATTAAGCTATCATTATTACTAGCCAGGTCAAATCAGTCCTCTCCTAATGACCAGGGCAAAGCCAGGTGTTATTTTTTCCCTTTCCTGTTAGAACATTTTGTAACATAAGGATTAGAGATGATGTAGATTGACAATATTTATTGAGTACCTTCTCTGTGCCAGATATGTGCTGGGCATTGGAGATACAGTGGAGAATAGAACAGAGGGTGGGCCCTGCCCACATGGAGGTGACGGTCTAGTGGGGAAGATGCATTACATGTTTACGTCTTGTAAACAACTAACTAGCAGTTAAGTGCCAGCATACAGGATGCTGTCAAGGCAGACAGCTGGGTGCTTTGGGAGACCCTGATAGTAATCTCATATAGTCTGGGGTGCAGTGGGGGTCAGAGAAGTATATTTAAGGTGCTTAGCATGTGGTCAGGGCTTAATAAACGGTCATTATAATGACCATCCCTGGCCACAGGGCCCAGCCTGGTTCCGCCTCCAGCTGGTGGCTGCTACCACCCACCAACAATAGTTTTACACAGAGAGGTTTTTCATTAGGCCAAGGTTATACAGCTAGCAGAGGGGCTTTGATTCATGACTTTTTATAAAAGTGCTGTATGTAGAAAGCAGAGGGGTGGGAAGCTTCCCTCGACCCCCCAGCCAATACTGACCTTTGGACAGGCCTTGCCTCGCAGGAATGGAGCAGCAAGCTGGTTACTGAGGAGAAAAAATGCAGCAGTCATTTAGGGCTTGGGGAGGGAGATGTGAAAAGTAGCCTTCTGCTGAGTGGGCTTAAAACCCTGGGATTGGAAGGGTCCCTGAGAAGCCGTCACACCCACCTCCAGCCTGGTTCACCACTCCAAAGCTAGGTGGCCAGTCCTTCTTCCTCCGCATCTGCTTCACAGACCTTTGCAGAGGAAAATCTCACACTCATTGCCATGCCTGCCTCGTTTTCAGGAAGTTTCCCTTTTATTTGGCTTCAGTCCGTCTCTCTGCAGTCTGGTTACTCTTTAAAAATGAAGGTTGAATTGCCTCTCCCCACCTCAAGGAAGAACCTAGACCCTATGTCTTTCTTATTTTTGGTCAAGCATAAACATTTTCACATTCTTCATTAATGGTGTCTAACATCTTAAATATAAATAATGAAAACACAGCAAAGCAGCAGCCTTTTTTGAATGTGCCTTTTTGGCCTCCACCTCTCTGGGCTCTGACATACTCCTGGGGTGGGCTGTGTGCCTGTCCCTGAAGAATGCCAGGCTGGCCCATGTCCTGCAGGCCAAGTAACCCCTGCTGCTGCTCTCTTCAGTGAGATCATTTCCTTTGATCTCACACCTCCTTGCACCAAAGCCAGGCCAAGCCAAGGCAGTGCGAAGAGTTGTCTGCCTTAGAACGGCCGTGCCACTCAGATGTGTGTGTGCTCAAGAAGGATGGGTACAGAGTGTTGATTTATTTGGGTTACACAATGTGTAAAACTTTTTCATTGGTGGCCAGTATTTAAAATAATAAAATAGCCAGAAATCTGAGTTTTTGCATAGACTCAGATTGCTGGCTATTCTTTAAAAATTTAGACTATCTGGCAAGCTCATTGCAGATATTATGTTGCAGCAGTCAGCTGGTGCGGGGTGTCAGTAATCTCCTGTTTGCACAGGCCCCACTGCTCCCTGTTGCCTGTACCTATCCCCTTCTATCACTTATTGACACAGCCTCTGCCGGCACGTGCACGTGACTTTGGGATGTCCGTTTTGTTCTTGATTCCCTCTTGCTGCTACTGCAGGGCAAAGCAGTTGAGATGGGGGGATCAGTCAGAAAGCATCCGTCTCTCAGGCAGGGGCCTGTGAGATGCAGAGGGATGCCTGGCCCTGGGATCCGGGCCTTCCGTTCCCTCTCTGTTGCCACCCTGCTCTTCTCCTGGGCTTACCAGATTGAACTGGCGGAACACCGTGATTCCATGAGATGAGCAGTTCTGGGCTGGGACAGCTAAGGAGTTAAGGGACAACCTTAGCTGTACTCTGGGGGCTGGGTGTGGCATCCCCAGCTCAGAAGGCAGGGCCAGTCAGGGGGCCATGCCCTGGGTGCTGGTGGGGTCTCAGTGCTTTGGGAATTTGGACAGCAAGGAAGGACCCCTCATCGCCACTCCTCCTGCTGGGCTGGTGCCCACGGGTGTCCAGTGGGACTCCTCACATGGTATGTCCTTCGTGAGGCCTGCCACTGCAGTCCTCTAGGTCCTGTGTGGCCCATGGCATAGTGCCCACATCACCTCTGTCCTACTGTCTACCCAAGCCAGACTCCCAGCCAGCTGCCAGTATCACTCCTGCATTTGGAAATGCAGACAGCAGACACGTTGGAGCGTCTCTGAGCAGAAAGCTGTGCCAGGGCTCTGGGATGCCCAGAGAAAAAGAAGACAAGGCCTGGCCCTTTGTCCACTGTCCCACTAGCAGAGGAATGTGACTGTGAAGTAACACCCAGCTCCTAGATTTGAGGGCAGATGAAGAGGGGCATGCCGAGCTTTCAGGTCAGAGATATGGCCTTGGACAAACCACAGAGCCTCTCTGACCTTCACGGTTCCTGAAGGGGCTAAACAATGCCTCTTGGTGAAGCGTCTTGAGTCATCACATGGAATAATGGCTGCGGAGCACTTGCGCTGCCACCTGCCACCTGGTTGGCATTCCATAGATGGAAGCAAGGTGGCTCAGTGGAAGGAGACCTTGGGGGATAGAAGAGGGCCTTAGAGGAAGGAATCGTTTCTGGGGGATAGGACCTGACACTTGGGTACCATCCCTGTCCTTGAGGACACCAGACCAGGAATCAGCAGAGCAGAGGCCATGCGAGGGGAAGGGGGCACTTGGGCAGCTCAAGAAAGGCCTAGAATGTTGTGGTCAGCGGGGAGAGCTTCATGGATGGCATTCCAGGAGACTCTGTGCTTGGGTTAGTTGGGGAGTGATAATGCTGGAGTGGTGGGTGGGACAATGCTAGTGGTGGTTGCTCAGGCCGGGGGCAGACATGGGCCACAGTGGTGGACAGCCTTGCTAGGCCTTGGCCTGGGATGTGGGTAAAGGGCTGTTTGCACTGCCAAGGGAGAAAAAGGAAGAGAATTTGGGGCAGAGAGGTGGGCAAAGGGGCCCACCCTTGGGCAGGTGAGGGAGGTGCTGGCTGAATCCAGTTTGTGCAGGGTTGAGCCTGAGCAGCGGAGCAGAACAGTGAGGAGGTGCGGGGCTCTGTGAGCAGAGGGCAAAGCGGAGTCAGAGCAGGGCTGGGAGGACAGCAGCCTGCCAGGCTCTGGGGAGGCCAAGGGCGCTCAGTCTGGGGAACCCCAGAGTGTGCAGAGGCTGGCCTTCCCTGGTTGAGTGACCACCAGCATGACGTTCCCAATTGCACGCAGATTCCTATGGAAGGCTGCAGGAGTCCTCCTCTTTCACTGCGGGTGAGACTGCCCCAGTGCTAGGAAAATATTAATAGACCCCCAGGGACTGAGAACAAGGATTGAAAAATAAAACCACTTCCTACTCTCTTTCCTCAGCTGCCACTCCAAGAAGTTGTGAGCTTGATGCAGCTCTGCCTTCACAGAGCCCACGCCCTGCCCCTCATCCCTGGACTGAGTTCTTTCCCACCCTCCCGGTTGTTGGTTGCTGGGCAGGGGGCACTGTGAGGGGCTGGGGTAGGACCCCAGAGGCCAGGTGGCCAAGTAGCAGGCATTCCTGTGAGCCAGGGATGCCAGCAGGGAATATTGCTCTGAAGGTTCTGTGGCCTCTTAGACACTGAGGCCCTTACCAACTCCTCGGTTCTGAGAGCCGCTTAGACCCACCAGGCTCAGTGGACAAGCTTGGGGGTGAGTGGGGCAGTGTTTTCATTTTGCAACTTGCCAGGCCTGGGTGCTGAATCCCAGCTTCTCTTTTCACTAGCCTGTGCCCTTGGTAGAATGCCTCTCTCCCCTTGGTAAAATGGGGATAATAACCCTCCCCCACAACTTTCTGCCTCAGGCCTTTGTGGCTGAACCTGGGTTACCTGTTCCTCCGTGACCCTATTCCCATCCCCTTTCCCATCCCCTTCCCCTCCTCTGAGATTCTGGAGCACTTCGAGTTTGTCCTATGTAATTCATCCACTCTGTCCTGGGCTTTTTCTGCTGGTTAACCTCAGTGTGGTCATCAAAAAGAGTTGCAGGGGCCCTGTTTGGTTAGGCAGCCATCTAGCAAGCCTACATTGTACTCCCGTATGGACTTGGGGCTAGGGCAGGGTCCGGGGGCCTCCAGCACATGTGAGGCCCATCACACCCAACGCTCTCCCCTGCCTAGCCCTGCAGCCTTGGGCACTTGTTTTTTCATCATGCAGTGCTTATTAAGCAGCCACTGTGTGGCAGGCACCGTGCGTGGTATAGGGATACAAAGATGAAGATCCCTTGTTTCCAGGGAGCCAACAGTAATCCCTTCCCCTGCCACTCTTACCCCCGACACCCATCGCCCCTGCCATGCACACATACACACTCCACATTCCAGTCACATCATGTTGCTCGCAGTACCGAGTGTCTCCTTGGCTTTTCATGCCTCCATGCATTACACTTTTGTCGCTTCTATTCTTTACCTGGGACATGCTTGTCCTTACTGTTTTTTGTTTTTTGTGTTTTTTTTTGAGACGGAGTCTTGCTCTGTTGCCCAGGCTTGAGTGCAGTGGCATGATCTCGGCCCACAGCAACCTCCGCCTCCCCAGTTCAAGTGATTCTTCCGCCTCCCCAGTTCAAGTGATTCTCCTCCCTCAGCCTCTTGAGTAGCTGGGATTACAGGTGCCTGCCACCATGCCTGGCTAATTTTTGTATTTTTATTAGAGACAAGGTTTCATCATCTTGGCCAGGCTGGTCTCGAACACCTGACCTCGTGATTCACCCACCTCGGCCTTCCAAAGTGCTGGGATTACAGGCATGAGCCACCATGCCTGACCGTCCTTACTGTTTACGTGGCTAATATCTACTTGGCCTTTAAGACCCCGTTCTGTGTCACTTCTACCAGGAAGCCTTCCGCAGCACCCCCAGGCTGGGTGAGATGCCTCCCACTCCTGTGCTCCTGCATTACTTACCCAGTGTACCATAATCCTCTGCCTGCCTCCCCCACAAAATACACACTGTGAGCCCCACAGGCTGGGGCTGGGCTCAGGCTCATTTATTTTGGTATCTCTAGTTCCCAGGACCAAGCACACAGGAGGTGCTCTGGGAGCATTGACTGGATGTGTGTGATCCCATGGAGCCTGAGCATGTGTGTGTCTTGAGAGGAGCATGTGTGTGTCTTGAGAGGAGGGTCAGTCCAACACTGACTCCTCACCCAGTTTACTCCTCCTCATTTTTCTCTGGGCTCAGGTAAAACAGGGACCTTTCTCATGTCATGTGACCTGTTAGAGGATTTACCCCCCCCCCCCCCCAAACCACAGGGTACCCAGAGGGTGGCTATGTTTTGTGATGGAGAGCTCTTCTGGATTTAGAAACCAGAGGGAGAAACTTTGTTTCATGCTGAACTTGCTGGCAGTTTGATATCTTCCACATTCTCTTTGGTGAACAAGCAACTCCTGAATACTGGAGAAATGCAAAAGAAGGCATCTGAGGAGCCGTCTTGAGGAGCTTACCTTTCATCCACGTTCATTCAGCAAGCCTTTGAGGGCTTGCTTTCCTGGGACATTGCTGTAGTGATTCGGTGGCCAGCTGAGACATGCCTGCTGCCCTCCAAGGCATAGTCGGGGAGCTGAGCCCCCACACACATATCGGCCTGCTAGCCTTCCGAGAAGGGAGAGGTAGGAGGCTGAGCTGTGTTGAACTGTCACCTGTGGAACCTGCCAGTTTGCAGGGCGCTCAAGGAACTCAGGAAAGGCTTTGGAGAAGCAGGAGGAGGGACTTGGGATGGACTTCAAAGAAGGATGTTGATGATGGTAACAACTTGATTTTTGTTGAACAGTCACTATGTGCCAGGTACTGGGCCAAGCAAATAAATGCAGCTTTTCACAGCCACCATGAGGCAGATTCTGCCACTGTCCCTACTTTTACAGAAAAGAAAACCAAAGTACAGAAAGTAACTTGCCTAGGGTTGCAGGCTGTCTGCATAGCTCAAGCTCTTTGGCAAGGATTTCCAGTTGAGGGGCCAGTCCTGAGCTGGGCAGGGAACAGCTCGAGTGTAGGACCACAGGGAAATGGGCTGAGGCTGGGGCACGGACCCATATAGGGGATAGGGTCCCAAACAGAGGTGCTAGAAAATAAGGGTTTCACAGCAGCTTGGTGCCCCCAGCTTCCTCACTGGTCCTCAGGGCGGAGGGCTACCTGCTGGTACCAGATCTATGCCCTGGTCAGCAAGCTGTCCCAGCCTGGATCTGGGGTGCTGGGGTGGGAAGTGTTTATTTTTGGTAACTAGCATTTGCCCTGGTTGCCCCTCAAGCTCTGACCTGCCCAGCTGTTTCACCCACATGGGCAGCAGTCTGACCTTGGGGGTGTCTTCTACTCTGACACCATCTCCCAGCTCACTGCTGACCTCTTTCCAGCACTCCTGGATCAGCTGCCTCTGCCCTGGCCTGACTGTACACACATACTCACCAGCCCCTAGCCAGCAGAGGATGCCTAGCACTACAGGCTGGCAGTGGCTCTGGAACCACACTGTGTTGTTTCAGATCCCGACACTGCCTCTTTCTAGTTTGGTGACCTTCAAAAAGTTATTTTACTACTCTGTGTCTCAGTTTCTTCAACTGTAAAATGGGGATAATCGGAATCTACCTTCTAGGGTTGTTGTGAGAATTAAAATATTCCAACAGCATCTGACACATTGTTTACCTTAAATGTTCCTATTGCTTTTAACGTGATCACTATTGAATTATAATTGTCATGGCAGGTGGTTTCTGCATACCTACTCTGAGACTCAGTGCTGGGTCGCAGATGGCTCCGCCCTGAGTCCTGTTTGGGAGGTGCCCGAATACTGATGGGAAAGACCCAGTTATTGACAGTTGCCATATGAGGAAGCATGTGGTACTTAGGGGTCACGAGTAAGCCCAACAACAGTGTCCCTCCCTGACTTACTTCAACCTTGGCCTTTGCTTGGATCTCTGGACTTCTGTCTGATCATTTCTGCTCTGCTGACAGCAGTCCAGGTGTGATCCTGGCAGAGGAGTTGAGATTAGAAGAAAAGCACGGATTGGTAGATTAACAGAAGACTTGGGTAATAGAGATCTCCAGACATCACCAGGCAGGCTACCCCTAAAGGTCCTGAGCCGTTCCTATGGAAAAGGATGGCCACTAAGTGGGATATTTTGGAGGGAACCAGAAAGGTAGTAGTTAGATCTGGGGCAGCAAACAGATTTTCTCTCTGGAGCAGTCACTGTGTTCTGCTGCCAAGAGTACTGTGTTGACAAGGAAGGGGACCATGATCCATCAGTGTTGTCTGCCGTGGCTCTGGGAATGGGGGGGAGCAGCACCCATGCCACCTACTTGCCCTTGAGACTTGATGTTTATGGCATGAAACCACATACATGGTTGGGTGGGTGGTTAGGGCTTAATAACGGAGTGAGCTGAAAAGCACTGGTGGCTTTCTAGAGTAGTTGAGAGGCCCAATGACAGTGCCACACTTGGCTTAGCAAAGATATGAAACAAGGGGCTGGAGCAAAGTCTCGGGGAGCGGAGAGTGAAGCCTTAAGGGATGCCAAGTGGCCTAGACCCCTCTGGGGTCACATGCCATTAACACACAGCTTGCAGGTCAGCGCTCTGGTGAAGCTGCCCATTTCTGGGAATTGTGCAGAAGGGAAGGGCAGCTCCTGGAATGCAGAGCCATTTCCTCCACATGGGTTGGGTCACTCTCCCCAGCGTGTCCTCATCCCCCTGGGTTGGGCACACCCAGACATCATAGAGATGAGATTAGCTTCCCAGGTCTAATTCAGCTCAACGTGAATGAAAGTCCATTCACTTTCCTAAGAGCTCCATTAATTATGAATGTGTCCTCCCTTCTAGCCTGATTTACCTAAAATACTTGCAATTCAATTGGTGGGGTTAAGGGGACTCTTTAAAATAATTAGTATAGAAATACAGAAGCAAAAAGCAGTAAATACCAAACCTTCAATAAAGTTGGCAGCATCTTTGGGAGAGCCTCTGGATTGGCCCTGGGCCAGCCTCTGAGAATCTGTGGTCCTAAGGTCAGGGCCAAGGGAAGCAGCAACAATGATGAAGAATGCCCTGTAGGATAGTGAATCGTGAAGACGCTACCCTAAGAAAAGCCATGTGATGCAGCAAAATGATTTGGCAAAAGAATTGGAGGCAGTGTGGCATGACAGTTCTAACATGACCCTCGGCATCTAACCAGTCCACAGCAGTTGTCCACTAAGGGTGGGCGTTGTTGCTGCTATGCAGCTCCTTCTGGGCACCATTTTTCCTGGCCAGTACATAGGACACTGCTTTGGAAGTGATGCTGGGTGGAGTGGGGTGCATGGAGAGGCTAGGGGACCTATGGACCCCTTGGCAACATCTGTAGCTGAAGCCATTCGTTTAACATGTGCTGCTCACTTAGAACAATGGGTGCAGTGGTTTTAGGCTATTGTTTTGGGAAACAAGCTCTGTAGAAGCCCTAGAACCTGGAAGCCTGAGGAGAAGTGGCAAATTTCGTGAGGGGTAAGACCCACTGAGCCCTGCCGTTTTGCCATTTTGTGGGGGCTGTTGGGGCCTGCTGCTGTCCTATGCAGTGTGGATGCCCTTCCCTAGGGCTGTGGATGGGGCAAGGAAATGGTTTAAATCACCGAAGTCTACCAGGTTGAAGGGAAAGCAGGGGCCCAACTACTTTGTCGATGCAAATATGCCCTTGCTGAGGGGCCCTCCAAGTTTTTCTCACTGAGGCCTTACACCTTCCTGGGGCCTTGTTCTCCTGTTTTATAGATGGGGAAACTGGGCACCAGGAAGTTAAGAAACTTGCCCCAGGTCACACAGGGAGTCTGTATTGGAGGCCACAGTGGAACTCCGGCTGCCTGGCTGTGGAGTTGAGGCTGTCCCTGACCTCCCAAGCTGTCCCACTGAGAACCGTTGGGCTTTTACAAAAGACTATTCCTGGGAGGTCTTAGACACACCCATGCTAACTTTGAAGACTGCTGGGTGAAAAGGTTATACTGGGGTGATCAGTCCACCCAGCCACCCACTTCCTAGGGGTATGAGCCAGCCCCTTTCAGAAGGATGGGTGTGACCCCCTGCTTCTTAGCACAAGGGAGGCCCGTGTGGGTAGAAGGCCGCACTGGGAAAGTGACGAGGGCAGTGTGAGTAGAGACTGAGCTTCCCATGTGTTGGGCTCTGCCTGGCCCCGTGAGAGGCAAAGGAATGAGAGGATGTGGCTCTTGTCCTCGTGGAGCTTACAATCTGTTTGACAAGGTAAATCTGGCATTCAGGGAAACAACTTCAAACCATGCAAGAAGGTTCTACCTATGGGGAAAGAAAGGGAGCAAGAGGCAGACAACAGCCAAAAGAGCTTATTTTTCCATTTACAGATGCCTGAGGTTTTTGTACACATGTTATTAAAATTATTGAGGAAGTGATATTGCCTTTTAGGCAGAAGTTTCCAGTATGAACAACGGGTTTGGGTTGCCATGCAGCCTGTGGCCTGGGCGGGGCCCTGGGAGCAGTGGTTGCCATGGGAACCAGTTCAGCCGCCCCCACGGCCAAGTGGCTGCTGTTCCCAAAGTTGGTTTCTGCGTGGATGGGGCTGCCTGGAACCTCAGAGCCATTTCCCATGGAAACAATGCTCTAAATGATGGGTGATGTTCCCACACAGGCCTATTTTGTCTGGCTGTTAACAGAGCAGAGATGGTGGTGAGGCTTCTCATGCTGAGAGGAGGCTGGGAATGAGAGAGAGTGTGTGTGTGTGTGAGTGTGTATGTGTGAGTGTGTATATGTGTGTGTGTGCTCCCTCTTCTTGGGAGTAAAGTAAACAAGGTGAGAAAGTGAGCATTTGGGCATCTTCTCAGAGCTCAGCATATCTCACACATTTTATTTCATGCTTAGAGCAATCCTACAAAGTATGAGTCTCCAACTAACCCACTTTACTAATAAGATACTGAGGCCATAGAAGGTAATTTGCCCAAGGTCACTCAACTGGTCAGTAGGAGGAGTATTCAGCACAGAAAATAGTGGGGAAACTTTAAGGAGAACCCCAAGTCTACCTTATACCACCTTCCCACCTCAAAGGGTCACATCCATCATCCTCAAAAGTGAAGACCTAACATCCTAGAATGATCTCCGAGGTGCTTTTTAGTTGAGAAGGCTGGAAAGGAGAGGGGTGTTGTGAATGTCAGCAGTTTGCTCCTTACCCACCAACCAACCAACTTTTCATTCTGCGGTGACTTTTCGTCGTAGCCTGTGAGTGGTTTTAAAAAAATCTTTCTCTGTACCGCATGAGACCAGCTTATTTTGTAGGAGTGTGGTTCATATCTCTTGGCGTCTTGACCTCCCCATCTGCAAAGACATCATTTGATCAGGGTTTTGGGGGGGGCCGGAGAAACATGCCTATCAAGATGAGATAGCACCTTTAGGAATTGGGGGGTTCTCTGGACTCATTCTCCAGCCTTGGAAACCCCTTCTTTGTTTCTAGCTCACACTTGATTCCAAGGGTCCTGTCTGTGCCATTAGTCTCATCTCTTAGTAGGAGAGAGACAGTCCCAAGCCCTGGCTGAGAGAGTTGTCCCTTAGCTCTCTCCATGAGGAAGCCAGCTCTGTGGTGTGTAGGTTGTCTGACCATTGTTCAGAAATGCGTGTTGAACCTCTAGTTCATTCAGTAAGTGTCTGCCCTGTGCCAATGCTGTGCCAGGCTCTGGGAGTACAGAGAAGAACAAGATGCTGTTCCTGCCCTTTTGTGCACAGTAAACACTTAGAAAATTCTAGGCATCATTGTGGCGTCTGTGGCAGGAACTTCAGGGCTCAAAGCGCAGGTGGAGGCAGTGCCTGGTGCTGACCCATGAGGAGGTTTGTGCTCTCCTGGGGGTCTTAGGTGTGCACAGAGGCTGCAGTGTGACCACAGGACACATTGGGGGACCACAAACCTGGTTGGGGGTGACAGTAGAGTATAAGGGGCTGCGGCACGGGTGTGGCTGGAGAGGTCAGCAGTGGCAGCCAGCGACAGGCATTGAATGTCCTGTGAGGGGGCCTGGACTTTCCTCCTCAGCATTGTGGGGCACTGAAAGGGTTTTCACAAGGGGCCCAGTCTGATGTTTGTGTGAAATGAGTAGTCTAGCCCTGTTCCATTGTGTCCTAATTAGAAGGAAACCCCAAGTGGGAAGGGAACCCCGGCTTGGCTCCCTGTGGTCTCTGAGGGTTCAACCTCTGAGAGCAGGGTGCTGTCAAAAGGAGGGGGCCCCCACTGGCCATTTCCTGCCAGCTGCCTTGGCAAGCAGAGGGCATTTTTTAAGGAGTCCCCAAGTGATTTGGCTGTGGGTGGTCTGAGTGCCGACTCAAAGGTTCATTCATGTACTCCAGCATATTTACTAGTGTATTTCTTATCTTGTTTTCTTTTGAGAAGAAAATAAAGACAAACGGTTTTCCTTTTCAATACCTTCCCACCCACTTAGTATTTTTTAGTTATGTCGCTGCCAGCAGAGAATGGGAGCTTTAAGAACAGCCAAACACCGACCGGGAACGGTGGCTCATGCCTGTAATCCCAGCACTTTGGGAGGCCAAGGCAGGCAGGTCACAAGGTCAGGAGAGCAAAATCATCCTGGCCAACATGGTGAAACCTGTCTCTATTGAAAATACAAAAAAATTAGCCAGGCATGGTGGTGGGCGCCTGTAATCCCAGCTACTCGGGAGGCTAAGGCAGGAGAATCTCTTGAACTTGGGAGGCGGAGGCTGCAGTGAGCTGAGACCACGCTACTGCACTCCCGTCTGGGTGACAGTAGCACCCAAAAACAAAACAAAAAGCCAAACACCAGCAAACACCTTTCACCCATAGCCCAGCGTCATTGCCCAGGACAGAGCAGCAGTTGCAGAGGGGCAGTGAGGAGTGAACCCCACGCTCTGCAGCTCTGAGAGGCAAAGGAGAGAGGCCACTGGGCCACCCCTCCCTCCCCATTTCTGTCACCCTGCAACTCCCCTCCGCCCTCTCTCCTTGGCCTGCCTTCACCGTCATGGATTTGGCCATGGAAGAGCTCAGTTAAGTGAAGCCTCAGCCCGTCCCGTGTTGTAGGGAGATGCTGGAACCAGATTCCGGGGCCACAGCTGGAACCTGGTCCTATACTGCCCCAAAGGAGCTGAAATCCCCACTCGAATGAGAGGAAATCAAACATTTTCAGGTGGCTTGAACATTTTATTTTCCTGGGAGCATTTTAATAGTGTTAAACTTTTCCAGTACACAAATATAATGCATGCTTGTTGTAGAAAATTGAAACATTAAGAAAATGAAAATGCCCTGAAATCTGCCTTAGAGACAACCATCTGCTAAAGTTCTTAATGCCTGGATCCACACCTGGCATTAGGATCAGGTGTACTTACTAGCTGTTTTGCAGCCTGTCTTTTTTTCATACATAACAACACACTTTTTCTAGGTTAGTGAATATCTTCCTTTTAAATGACTGCATAGTACTCCATTATATGGATAAACTTTAACTTTTCCCCCCAACATTAAGTTATTTCTATTTTCCCCCATTCTTAACATCTTTCTTCACTTCTCTGATTATCTCCTTAGAATAAATTCTCACATGGGGTAGAGCTGCAGGAGAGGGTATGAATATATTTACGCAAGTGTATTTTCAGTATAGCCTAGGCAGATTTGCACTTTCTCTGCAGTGTAGCAAAGCTTGTACTTCTCCGACACTTTGGGGAAGTCCTAAATGTCAACATCAGGCTTCAGTAACTACAAAGGGTTCTGCAATGACTCTCGACTGTAGCCCCATGCAAATCAGTGTGGCCACATAACCCACATTTGTGTCCAGCCCCCTTTCTGTCAAAATCTAGAACTGAAGACTATTTTAGAGCTGAAACTAATTATAAAAGTAATCTAATCCAGCCCTTTAAACTCATAGATAAGGAAACTATGGCTCAGAGAGATCAGTGGCCTTCCCAAGTAGCGGCGGAGCACACAGGGCACCCAGTTCTTTGTCCTCCCTGCCACACTGCCACCCTCCTCTCTGTGAGACCATCGGTTTCCCAGTCACACGTACACCATGCTTTTCCCATCCCAATTTGCACAGGGATTCTTTCTTTTCTTCTACACAGCCGTAGGATTAAGCTTTCCCTCCCTCGATTTTTGTGCTACCCAGGAATGCCCTACCAGGAGGTGGTATTGCTTCTTCCTGGCAGGGTCCACAGTTAGTTAGCAGTTTAGGTTCCTGGCTACAACCTCCAAATTGTTCTTTAGGGGATCCCCCTAGCTGCACCTGTGTTTAACATTTGGTGCTGTCAGCCTCCTTCTGGAAACTCTTGGCTTCCATCATGACCACAGATCCTGGTTTCCCTCCTTTTCTTCTGAGTGCCTCCAGGAGGCTCCCTCCTGCCTCTCCTCCTTGTCACTTTGTGACACTGTTTACAAAGGTCACTCTTCACTTCTGTTAAGGCCCAATTATTCTTTAGAATCCTGGTCCCACTTCCAGCTGCCTCCTGGTCACCTTAGCTCAGGGTTTCTCAACCTCAGCACTATTGACATTTTAGGATGGATAATTCTTCACTGGGGGGGACTGCCCTGCGCATTGTACAATCCCTGGTCTGTGCTGAACAGATGCCAGTGGTACCCACTCCATTTTGACAACAAAAAAAAATATCTCTAGACATTGCAAATATCCCTGGGGAGCAAAATTCCCCTGACTGAGAACCACTGCCTTAGCTGGCCTCAGCAGCATCAAAACAAAACTTCGACCTGCTCCTACCCCCTCCTCCCCAAATAAAATGATTCCCGCATGACTTTGTGTATAATACAGGGCAAGAAGCAGAGAGAAAGGAGCCACAATCATAGAATTCTGAAACTTGGAAGGGGCCTCAGAGTCCCAGAGCTCAGGTGTGCTAAGCTATCATGGCCCCCTTTCTAAGCTTAGACACAGCTTCAAATCCTTCTCAGCATAGCAGCCCAGTTAATAAGAGGGGATGTGAAAGATGAACCTCCATGCCAGCCCTGCTCAGACCACTGCCCTCGTGTTAACCTGTACAAGTAGAGTTTAGTGGCCAAAAAGCTTATTTGACATGGCTTTTGGCTATACTTGCTAAACAAGACCAGTGGTACTGTGTCCTCAACACCAGGCCTGGCACATAATTGGTGTTGAATAAATGATGGTTGAATAAATCACTTTAACAGTGGACTGTCTCTGGCTAGTGAGACCAGGGGTAATGCTTTTATTTTCTTTTGCATTTCTTCATTTTCAAACCTCTTTATAATTGAGAGTATTACTTTATAAAGGAGGAAAACATATGAATATTTTCCCCTAAGTTAAAAAAGCCCTCTGTCTCATTCCACATGTCTTGCTGCCGCAGGTCTGACCTACGAGAAACATGGCAACCAGCGCCGTCCCCAGTGACAACCTCCCCACATACAAGCTGGTGGTGGTGGGGGATGGGGGTGTGGGCAAAAGTGCCCTCACCATCCAGTTTTTCCAGAAGATCTTTGTGCCTGACTATGACCCCACCATTGAAGACTCCTACCTGAAACATACGGAGATTGACAATCAATGGGCCATCTTGGACGGTGAGACCTGGGTGGCAGCCCTGCATTGGGTGGGATAGTAGATGGGGAGGATCAGGGAAATTTGACAGGTTTCAGTGGGGCAAGATGGTTTCCTTAATGTTGCTGTTATGGGATGGTTGATATAAAGCCGTGTGTCGTTTTCAGGGTGAATTCTCAACAGGGAAGGCCTGCGTAGAGGGCTTGCAAGATTTCGTGGAAACCAAAATGTGCATTCAGCAAAGAGGGGAGGCTAGAATCATGCCAACTCAGTGATGTCATGTGTGTTTTTTCTTGCTGATCAGAATCTCTGATTAACAGTTATGGATGTCTTTAGCTAATAAAAAAGGGAAAAGCAAGTTGTTTCTTAATGAGCATAGTTTACTTGGTACTTGTCCTTTGAGGGGAATCTCTTGCATCTGACATTGTGTTTCTAGCTGAGTGTGAATTAGTCTGGATTACTAGTTCTAAGTGTGGCAGCCAGGCCAGCAGTAGCCGCAGCATCAGGAAACTAATTAGAAATGCACATCCTCAGGCCCATACTGATTTGGAAATTCTGAGGGTGGGCCCAACACCCTGTGTTTTAACACACCCTCGAGGAGATGCTTGAAATCAGGGAGTATTAAATCTTCAACTTCGTTATTTTTCAAAGTTGTTTTGACTGGTCTAGGTCCTAAGGTATTTCTATGTGAGTTTTAGCATCAGTTAAATTCTAAAATTCTAGATTTTGATTGGGATTGTGTTGAAACTGTAGATCTGTTTGAGGAGAGTTGATATTTTAACAATGTTGAGGCTTCCAACCCATGAACACAGTATCTCTTTCCATTTATTTATTTATTTATTTATTTATTTGTTTATTTGGGTCTTCTTTCTCTTGTCAGTTTTATTTGTAGGTTTTTTTGTTTGTTTGTTTGTTTTTGGGGGGACGGAGTCTCGCTCTGTCACCAGGTTGGTGGAGTGCAGTGGTGCAGTCTCAGCTCACCGCAACCTCCGCCTCTCGGGTTCAAGCAAATCTCTTGCCTCAGCCTCCCAAGTAGCTGGGATTACAGGCACGCACCACCACACCTAGCTAAATTTTTTTTGTATTTTTAGTAGAGACGGGGTTTCACCATGTTGGCCAGGATGGTCTCGATCTCCGGACCTCGTGATCCGCCTGCCTCAGCCTCAGCCTCTCAAACTGCTGGGATTACAGGCATGAACCACCACGCCTGGCTTATTTGTAGTTTTCAGTGCATAGGTCTTTTACATGTTTTGTCAGTTTTATACCTGTATCTGTATTGATGCTACCGTAAATTATTATTTTTGGTTTTTTATTTCAATTTTCAGTTGTTTGTTGCTAGTATATATAAAAACAATAGGTTTCTGTATATTAATCTTGTAACCTACAACTTTGCTAAACTCAGTTACTAGTTCTAGTATCTTTTTTGTAGATTCTGCTGGATTTTTCTGAATAGACCATAGTGACTGCAAGTAAAGACAGTTTTACTTCTTCTTTTCCAATCTGGATGGCTCTTATTTCTTTTTCTTGCCTTATCTCATTGATTAAAATCTCTGGCATCCTGTTGAAAAGAAGTAACAAGAACAGACATCCTTGTCTTGTTCTTGATCTTAAGGGGTAAGTGTTTGGTCTTTAGCATTAAGTATGATGTTAGTTGCAGGCCTTTTATGGATGGCCTTTATCAGGTCATGGAAGTTCCTTTCTATTTCTAGTTTGCTGAGAGTTTTTATCAGGCATGGATGTTGGATTTTGTCCAGTGCTTTTTCTGTGTCTACTGAGATAACCAAATGGTTTTCCTTTTTTAGTTTGTTAATGTGGTAAATTACATTGATTGTTTTGTTTTGTTTTTGTGACAGAGTCTTGCACTGTCACCCAGGCTGGAGCACAGTGGCATGATCTTAGCTCACTGCAACCACAAAATACTGGGCTCAAGAGATCTTCTTGCCTCAGCTTCCCCAGTAGCTAGGACTGTAGGCACACACCACTGTGCCCGGCTAATATTTTATTTTTTTGTGAAGATTGGGGGGAATCTCCCATTGTCGCCCAGGCTGGTCTTGAACTCTTGGCTTCAAGCAATCCTTCCATTTCAGCCTCCCAAAGTGCTGGGATTACAGGTGTGAGCCACCATCCCTGGTCCTTGATTTTTTTAATATTAAACCAAAATTGCATCCCTGGAATAAACCCCACTTGGTCATGATGTATTATCCTTTAATATTGTTGGCTTTGATTTGCTAAACTTTTGTTTACAATTCTTATGTCTGTGTTCTTGTGAAATATTGGTCTATAGTTTTCTTGTAATGTCTGTGTCTAATTTTGGTATCAGAGTAATGTTGGCCTCATAGAACGAGTTTTATTCAATTTTCTGGAAGAGTTTGAGTTAAATTGGTATTTCTTCCCTAACTGTTTAGTAGAATTCACAAACAAGGCCATCTGGCCCTGGAGTTTTCTTTGTGGGAAGATGTTTTTGTTTTTGTTTTGAGACAGGGTCTCGCTCTGTTACCCAGGCTGGAGTGCAGTGGCATGATCAAGGCTCACCACAGCCTAGACCTTCTGGGCTGAAGCAGTCCTCCCACATATTTTGTCTGTCTGTTGGTTGTTTCAGCTGAGAACGTAAATCTGGTCCCTGTCACTCCATCTTGGCCAGAAGCAGAACCAAATCATGACTTCAAAAAAATACAACTTTGTGGCTGGGCGCTGTGGCTTACAAGGCCTGTAAATCCCAACACTTTGGGAGGCTGAGGTGGGCAGATTGCTTGAGCTCAGGAGTTTGAGACTTGCCTGGGCAACGTGGTGAAACCCCATCTCAACTAAAAATATAAAAATTAGCCTCGGGTGGCTGAGGTGGGAGAATCACTTGAGCTCAGGAGGCAAAGATTGCAGTGAGCCGAGACTGCGCCACCTCACTCCAGCCTGGGCAACAGAGTGAGACTCCCTCTCAAAAAAACAAAACAAAACAAAAAAACTTTGTAAATATGTTTTAAAAGCACTGAATTATATACTTTTAAAGTATTAATATTATGGCATGTAGATTGTATCTCAATTTTAAAAAGCACCGTCCTCCAAGGGTTTGTCTGCAGCCCTGGGACTTTGAACAATTTGAACAGGTACCAAGCACCTTCCCATCTTGGGACTTTGCATTTTGTCTTCTCTCTGCCTAGAACATTGTTCCTGCAGAAACACTGATTTCATTTAGGTCTCAGCTCAAATGTCACTTTATCTAAGAGGTCTTCCCTGACCAAACCATTGACACTAGTATCCACCCCACCCCAGTCATTTCTATGCCCAACTCTGTTCTTCTTTATTCTGCCTTTTATGGTTGGACATATTTTATCTTTGTTTGTGTTTTTGTCTCTGCTGACTAAAATATAAATGTCTGAGAGCAGGGACTTTATTTACTGACTGCATTATTCCTAGCATCTAGAATACTGCTTGGCTCATAGTAGCTCCCCAGTAAACATTTGTGGAATGACCAAATGAAAGAATAAACCTTGAACAATATATGTGTAGTGAAAGGTTTGATGTGCTAGCTATATTATTTTTTTCTAACTCACATTACAATAATAAGTATATATAACTATTAAAATTAAAACTTACATCTGTGCACTTTCTAAAATCATTTCATGCATCACCTATTGGAATATATGGCACACTTTGGGATATACTGAGTTAAATAAATGTAAACAAGTTTCTTCACTGCAGGACTTACAAGAACTTTTAACATGCAAACACATATTAGAGGTGTAGTGATAGGATACATTGTCCTTAGAGCTTCCCACAGGGGTCATTTTTTGCACGTGATTCTGAACTATGTTCCATAGAGAACATTCTGAAACACATTGCATAATGCATGTAAGAAAGTAACACCATGCCTGGTACATCGTTGGAACTCAATCAGTATTTCTCTCTACAGCCATATAAACTTCTCTGACTTTTTCCTGAGTACCTTTGGATGTTAAATTGGTTTCTGAGGAAAAATGTTTTCCTCAAGATTGAATGTTTTCCTCAACATTTATAGCAGGAGCAGCAGGGAGAGGGGAAACATGGCCGCAGCATTATATTAGAAGTGTGCATTTGCAAAGCCTGTGTTCTGAATGCCTGGGCTCTCCATGGCATTACTTTAGAAGAATGAGTTTGTTAAGCTTCTAATTCTGCCACCAGAGTCAGGCCCGATTTAGGGCATTGCCCACCCAGGCCTTCCTCGGGAATAGACACCAGATTCCCAGATTAGATGCTTCTCCACTCCATTAGATCTGCTATTAAGAAAAGGAAGACTTGGCCGGGTGCGGTGGCTCACGCCTGTAATCCCACCACTTTGTGAGGCCGAGGTGGGTGGATCACGAGGTCAGGAGTTTGAGACCAGCCTGACCAACATAGTGAAACCCCGCTTCTACTAAAAATACAAAAAAAATTAGCCAGGCCTGGTGGCGCCTGTCATCTCAGCTACTCGGGAGCCTGAGGCAGGAGAATTGCCTGAACCCAGGAGGCGGAGGTTGCAGTGAGTAACTCTGAACCTTTCTGGGGCTGAACTTTTCTGGAGTGGTCTGCACCCCTCAGATGGCCAGGACTTCCCTGGGCATCTGGATCCCAGGGGTCCTGCTCCCCTGAGGCCATGCCATCTTCGGGGAGGTGCTAAGCCTGGAGGTGCCCTCAGTTGCCCTGTACCCCACTGAACTCCAGGGGATCTCAACTCTGCAGTTTCTCTTCTTCCAAACTCAGAAAGAATAAAAACGTGGCAGCACGATGATGAGGAGAAGGAAGAGAATGATAATTTTGATGACGGGGTATTGAATGGGCAGAAACTGTGTGGAAGGCCCGTGCTAAGCACATTGCATTTGCTGTCTTTGAATCCTTACAAATGCTATCGTGGTAGTTGCTGTTGTTATTTCTGTTTTATAGTTGAAGAAAATACAGCAAAAGTTTCACACAACCAGCAACAGTTTGAGCTACCTGTTGACTCCTACCCACTGTCAGTCTGGTTGTGTAGGAAAATCCTCCCCCACAGCACAGTGGATCCTTGTGCCTCTGGGAAGGGGAGCTGAAGTCCCAGGAAGAAGTGGGTGTGGCTGAACTATCATACCTCTTCTGCCCTTCTTACTCCTCACCCAGGGTCCTTCAGAGAACCAGGTGCTCCGGTTGTGATCTCAGTCTCACGTCAGAGATTTGCAAGCTGCTTAAGGAAGCCTTCTCTGTGACTTCCACACTGATTATTCTCACAGGCTGCCTGCTTTCTTGCAAACCTGTTTCTTGTTTTCTTCCAGGAAGTCACATTGCCTGTGTCCTCCCAGAACCTAAGAGACAAGAGCTGGCTGGCCTCAGGGGCCAGCAGCCAGGCTCTCCTGTGGCTGTGGGACCCCCAGGCTTTGGAGCAAGCCTGCTCTGAGTTCTTTCCTGCAAGGGTTCGGGATCCTCATCTCACTTTATATTGTCAAGGGCCCAACCCTCGGAGCCTCTCTTCCTCCCCGTCTGGTCCCTGCTTCTCCACTGTGGGGTTTGCTTCGGCTGTCCCATCTCCATGCTCTCAGCCCTCTCCTCCTGTCTCTGACTTTGGAACACCACCTCACCTTGGCTTTCAGCTGTGTGACTGCCCTCACCCCAATTCTCTCTTGTCATGAATCAGGAAGCCCCAAACCTTCGGCAGAGCCATAGAGTTTTGTGTTTGTTTGTTTTATTGTGATAAAGTGTACATAACATAAAAGTTACCATCTTAACCATCTCTAAGTGCATAGTGCATTCACTTTGTTCTACAACCATCCCTGCCATTCATCTCCAGAACCTTTTCACCTTCCTCAACTGAAACTCTGTACCTATTAAACACTGACTCCCCATTCTCCCCTCTCCTCAGTCCCTGGCAACCACTATTCTGCTTGCTCCCTTTTCTTTTATTGATATCATATTCATACATATTTTGAGGGCATGGTAATGATCAAATCCAGGTAATTAGCATATCCATCACCTCAAACATTCTTTCTTTGTATTGGGAACATTACAATTCTTCTCTTCTAGCTATTTTGAAATTTGCAATGAATTATTGTTAACTATAATTTCCCTACTGTGCTATCAAATACTAGAACTTATTCCTTCTCTTTGTATTTCTGTACCCATTAACCAACTTCTCTTCATCCCCCCACCCACACACCCTTCCCAGCCTTTGATGTCAATCATTCCACTCTCTACCTCCATGAAATCCACTGTTTTAGCTCCCACATATCAGTGAGAGCATGCAATATTTGTCTTTCTGTGCCTGGCTTGTTTCACTTAACATAATGACCTCCAGTTCCATCCATGTTGCTGCAAATGACAGAATGTCTTTTTTTTTTTTTTTTTTTTTTTTGAGACGGAGTCTCACACTTGTTGGGCAGACTAGAGTTCAGTGGCACGATCACTGCAACCTCCCCCTCCCGGGTTCAAGCAATTCTCCTGCCTAAGCCTCCCAAGTAGCTGAAATTACAGGCACCTGCCAACACGCTCGGCTAATTTTTGTATTTTTAGTAGAGATGGGGTTTCACCATCTTGGCTAGGTTGGTCTCGAACTCCTGACCTCAGGTGATCTGCCCACCTCGGCCTCCCAAAGTGCTGGCATTACAGGCATGAGCCACTGCGCCCAGCCTCATTCTTTGTTATGGATGAATAATATTCTATTGTGTATATATGCTACATTTTCTTTATCATTCATTCATTGAAAGGCACTTAGGTTGCTTCCTTACTCTTGGCTATTGTGACTAGCGCTATGATAAACATGGGAGTGCAGGTATCACTTCAATATACTGATTTCCTTTCCTTTGAGTGTATACTCAGCAGTAGGATTGCTGGACCATATGGTAGCTCTATTTTTAGTTTTTTGAGGGATCTCCATACCATTTTCCATAGTGGCTATACTAGTTTATATTCCCACCAGCAGTATCCAAACATTCTCTTTTCTCCACATCTTCCCTAGCATTTGTTATTTTTTGTCTTTTTGATAATAGCCATTGTAACTGGGGTGAGATGTTATCTCATTGTAGTTTTGATTTGCATTTCATTGTAGTTTTGATTTGCATTTCTCTGATGATTAGCGATGTTGATAATTTTTTCATATACCTGCTATCCATTTGTTTGTCTCTGAGAAATGCCTATTCAGGTCTTTTGCCCTTTAAATCAGAATTTTATTTTATTTTGCTAATGAGTTGTTTGAGTTTCTTATATATTCAGGTTATTAATCCCTTGCCCCTTAAACACTAAGTCCCCATTTTCCCCTCTCCTCAGTCCTTGGCAACCACCATTCTACTTTCTTTTTTTTTTCTGAAATGAGGTCTCACTCTGTCACCCAGGCCGGAATGCAGTGGTGCGATCTCGGTTCACTGCAACCTCCGCTTTCTGAGTTCAAGTGATTATCCTGCCTCACCCTCCTGAGGAGCTGGGATTACAGGCGTGCACCACCACGCCTGGCTAATTTTTGTATTTTTAGTAGGGATGGGGTTTCCGTGTTGGCCAGGCTGATCTCGAACTCCTGGCCTCAGGTGATCCACCCACCTCGGCCTCCTAAAGTGCTGGGATTATAGGCGTGAGCCACCGCGCCCGGCTTCTACTTTCTGTCTCTATGTATTTAACTAATCTAGATACCTCATTTGAGTGCTATGATAAGTGGAATAATATTTGTCCTTTTATGTGGCTGGCTTATTTTAATTAGTACAATCTATTCAAGGTTCATCCATGTTGCTGCATGTTCTGAATTTCTTTCCTTTTTTTTTCTTTTTTTTTTGAGACGGTGTCTCGCTCTGTCGCCAGGCTGGAGTGCAGTGGTGTGATCTCGGCTCACTGCAGCCTCCGCCTCCCGGGTTCAAGTGATTCTCCTGCCTCAGTCTTCCGAGTAGCTGGGACTATAGGCACGTGCCACCACACCCAGCTAATTTTTGTATTTTTAGTAGAGACTGGTAGCATTTTCACCATGCTGGCCAGCATGGTCTCAATCTCTTGACCTCGTGATCCACCCGCCTCGGCCTCCCAAAGTGTTGGGTTTACAGGCATGAGCCGCCACGCCCGGCCTTCTCTCCGTTTTAAAGCTGAATGATATTCCACTGTATGGATGTACCATGTTTTCATTATCTGTTCATCTGTGGATGGACACTTGGGTGGTTTCCACCTTTTTGCTGTTATGAATAACGCTGCTATGAGCATGGTATATAAATATCTGAGTCCCTGCTTTCCTTCTTTCGTCTTAGAGTTCTTGTGTGCCTATTTTTTCTGTTGGTTAGGGATGGAAGGCTGCTAAGCCCCTCACTTTACAATTGTGGAAACTGAGGTACAGATGGAGAGGTCACTAGTCTAGGGTGAGACCTAGCTAGCTGGAGAGCCAGGTTTTGGGCTTCTTGACTCTGCCGAGCGTGTCCTCCACCCTGTCCCACTACCTCCTGCTTTGGCCCAGGCCTTGGGCCTTTAAGGTGGGATGCTGACCAAATCCTCTCCTCACTTACAACAGGGCAGATGTCTCTGGGCCTCCCCACCCTCTGGCTCCCAGCCCCGCCCTCTGCCCAGCCAGCCTCTGGAACTTTGCATCTTTCTTCCATCGGTGGAGAACAGCAGTGGGCCCTGAGTCTCCAGACACTGCTTCCTACCTTGGGGTTCTTGGGCCCAGCTCCGCAACCTCTCTGTCTCCGACTCCCCAGCAAGTGCCCAGTGTTTTCAAAGAGCAAAAGCCTGGCTCTTCTCCTGCACCATCAGAAGCTGGGACATTTCCACCCTGGCTTCTGCCCAAACCTCAGACACAAGTGCTGTTGTCTTCTCAGAGGGGCCTGAACCTGGCTTTTCCCCCACACACTTGAATCCACATTCTTTCTGGGGACGAGGAGGAGAGGAGGACATTTGAAGGGCAGGGAGAGGAAAAGGAACGTTTACTGAGTTTTTTTTTCCTGAACCAGGGGCTTTACCAGGGGGCTTTATGCTCAGCAGGCCTTAGGCCAGCTTCAGAGTGGGCACTCTCCATAGGCCCCAACTAAGAATGGGGTGCAGGCAGAGCTGGCCTGTCACCCACCAAGGGGAAGCTGCCCTTCCCCTGCCAGCAGTGATGTGGGAGGAATTTCCCTCTTTCCCTTCATAGGGAAGCATGGCTGCTGGCCTGAGATTATGCAATCCAGCCCTGCAGGCCTGGGCCTGACCCTTTGTCCCTGCTGCATCAGCCATGCTGCTGAAATGCCTCACTGATCTCCATGGTGCCCAGGGCAGTGCTCTCTGGTAGAAAGCCCTTCCTCACATTGCTGACACATCTCTTCCCAAATCCTCTCTTGCTGTCTGTCCTCAGAGCGGTGGTAGCAGTTACTACCAACCAGACTTTTCTTGAAGGCCTCATGCTAAGGGCTTTTACAAGGATGCCTTATTTCATCCTTGTGACAATTCTGTGAAATTGAGATTAGTCAAGTGAGAGTAAATCACTTTCCAGGTGAGCGCAGCTGCTCTGCAGCCAGTGTACCTCAGTACTGCTGTACTAGTTGGTAAAATAGTGAAGTACTCTCTACCACTGGAAAATTGCTGCTGCTGCTGCCCTGCACCCGAGGGGCCCTTCCCAGACCCACTAGCCAGGCTGGGAGCTGAAGGACCCCTCTCCAGCCACTGACCTAGAGTCAGCTCAGTGAGGCTTGGACTCAGTGATGAAGGTGTGAGTGGAATATGCAACTCCCTACACCCAACTCTTAGCACAGCCTGGGCTCGTTCCAGATTTGTCAGCATCCCAAAATCCAAGTGTTTTTCCACTTTCCTTGCTGACAATCAGGTCATATATGCCAGTTAATGTGGGGTTTTGCCTGAGTTTCAGAACTTCATGTTGGTCCCTGTTAGAAGTCATGTGACCAGTTTGGGCCAAGCACACCAGCCTGACCAATAGATCTGAGACCTCCCCTGTCTGCCATTGTGTTGGGTGATGCCACCTTCCCTGGGCCTCAGTGTTGCCTCTATCAGCCTGTGCTCCCCACACCCTGGCTCCGGTGACTGGGGCTCCTCCTCCCTTTGGGCTGCCTCTGGACAAAGACCTTGCACCCTCATCAGTGGGATCTGTATCCAAATGAGATACACCTCATAGTTGTTGCAAAGGATAAATGAAAAAAATACAAATTGTGAGTTCCTTGAGGAAAAGGACTGTGCCCACCATTGTATCTCTGATGTCAGCCCAGACTTGGCATCTATTAGGTGTTTAATTATTGTTTATTGAGTGAGGGGGGAAACAAGTCACCTTGCAAGGGCTTGGCACATAGCAGACCTCAGTAGATGCTATTGTTGCAGTGATTGCTTTAATGTGATATATATTATTGTTGTTTTTATTGTTATTTTTAGACACAGGGTCTCACCGTGCCACCCAGGCTAGAGTGCAGTGGCATGATCATAGCTTACTGCAGCCTTGAACTCCTGGGTTTAAGTGATCCGCCCACCTTGGCCTCCTAAAGCACTAGGATTACAGATGTGAGCCACTGTGTCTGGTTTATATTATTTATGAGGTGGCTTGATGGTTTCAAGAATAGGTCCCATCACCTGTATGGATGAGGGGCCACTGACACATGTCCCTGTGTCTAGGGAGGTTCAGGAGTGAGGCTTGAGCCCCTGACTTAGGGATATACCTCTCCGCCCAGAGTTGTGTGAATTGAACCCTGAGTCCTATGTACCTGGATATGTTCACTAATTCCTTCTGCAAATAATTGCTAATGTACCCATCTCTCTTTTGGGCTCTGAGGACATAGCAATTGGCAAATCAAAGCCCCTGCTCTCATGAAGCTTATATTTTAGTGGGGTGAGGGGACAGAGCATAAACAAATATGTATGGTGTCAGGTGGTGATAAGTGCTGTGATGAAGGTCAGACAAGGTAAGGGAGTCACAGTGGGGAAGTGGTTACGGTCTTGTGTTGGCTGGTCAAGGAGGGCTTTCCTGATAAGGGAATGTTGGAGCAGATACCTAAAAGAGAAAGCTGCACCTGTATCTGGAAGAGAATCTCAGTCAGTGGGAGTATCAGGTGCAAGGGCCCCGAGGCAGGGGTGTGCCTGGCCTGTGTGGGGAATAGCTAGGAAGCCAGCGTGTGGAACAAGTGAGAGCACAGCTAGTAGGAGAGAGGTCAGGCAGGTAGCTGGAAGGGATTGATCTCACAGGGTTTTGTAGGTAAATGAGAAGCCATTGGAGGATTTTGAGCAGAGGAAGGACATGATCTAACATGTTTAAAACGTGGATACTTCTCAGTTCCTTATCCTGCTGCGCTCCTGGCCTGGCGAGTGAGAAGAGCTCACTCTGGCTCTGGTGTGAACGGAACACAGAGGAACCATGGCAGAATCGGAAAGACCAGTTAAGAAGCTCCTGATGATGGGCTTGGGCATTGGTGGAGGAGGTGGTGAGAAGGGTAGATTCTGGTTGTGTTTTGAAGGAGGAAACGACAGGATTTGTCGATGGAGTATTTGAGGTTATTAGAGAGGGAAGAGTCTTTGGCCTGAAGAACCAGTAGCATAGAGTTACATTTATCAAGATTAGGAAGAACAGTGAAAAACAAGTTTTGAGGGGAAATCAAGAGTCTAATTTTGGACGTGTTAAATCCAGGATGCCTTTCACACATACAAGTAGAAGTCAGGGTGGCAGCTGGATATCTAAGCCTGTAGGAGGGGAGACCTGTGGGCTGGATAGAAATCTGGGTGGTGACCTGTAAAGCTGCAGGATGAGAGATCACCAAGAATGTGACTGCGGTTAGAGAAGGACCCACCAATGTTTAGAGGCTGGGGAGAAGAGGAGACAGGGCAGGACCAGTCACTGTAGTAGGATAAAGACCAAGGGAGAGTGGCATCCTGCAGCCAAGTGAAGAAGGTGCTTCACAAAGGCAGGGACCATCAGCTAAGCTGCATGAGAGACCGGCCAGGAGCCCAGCAGGATGAGGAACTGAGAAGCACCCATTGGATTTAGTGACATGGAGGTCATTGGTGACTTGACAAGATCAGTTTTGATGGAGTGGTTGGAGATGAAAGTCTAATTAGAGTGGGTTCAAGAAAGTGGTGGAGAGGAGGAGCAGGCAGCGAGGATAGGCAAGAAGCGTTTCTGAAAGGAGGAAGAGAGAAATGAACAGTAGTGGGAGGGAGAGGTGAGGCCAAGGGGCGGGGTTTTGATTTGTAATTTTTTTTTTTTTTTTTTTTTTTTTTTTAAAGACAGGGTCTTGCTTTGTCACCCAGGCTGGAGTTCAGTGGCATGATCATGACTCACTGCAGCCTTGACCTCCCGCAGTCCTCCCACCTCAGTCTCCTCAGTAGCTGGGACCACAGGCCTGGCAAATTTTTGTATTTTTTGTAGAGACGGGGTTCTCACTTTGTTGCCCAGACTGGTCTCAAACTCCAGGGCTCAAGTGATCCTCCCAGCTCAGCCTCCCAAAGTATTGGGATTACAGGAATGAACCACTGTACCCAGCTTTATTTGTAAATTTTTTTGTTTCATTTTATTGTATTTTTGAGTTTTAAAATATATATATTTATTTATTTATTTATTTATTATTTTTTGAGACAGAGTCTCACTCTGTCACCCAGGCTGGAGTGCAGTGGCACAACCTTGGCTCACTGCAACCTCTGCTTCCCAGGTTCAAGCGATTCTCCTGCCTCAGCCTCCTGAGTAGCTGGGACTGCAGGCGCCCGCCACCACACACAGCTAATTTTTGTATTTTTGGTAGAGATGGGGTTTCATCATGTTGCCAGGCTGGTCTCGAACTCCTGACCTCAGGTAATCCACCTGCCTTGGCCTCCCAAAGTGCTGGGGTTACAGGTGTGAGCCACTGTTCCAGGCCAATGTATTTTTGTTTTAAGATGAGAGAAATTACAGCACATTTACCTGCTGGTGGAAATAAACCAATAGAGAATAGGATGATGAAGGAACAACAGTTTTAGCAGTGTCCTCGAACAGGTGGCAGGGACCTGGAGCCAGTGCTTAGCTGGAGAGGATGGTCTTAGGAGCAGAGCTGGGTCATCCACCCTAGCGAGAGGGCAGGTGGAACATGTGTTTTACAGGGAGGGAGGTGGGTTGATTTTTTTCCTCATATAACTTTTTTTATTGAGATAAAATTCACATGCAGAATTCACACGCACAGTTCAGTGGTTTTTAGTGTATTCACAGAGTTGTACAACCACGTATTGCTGATTAACAAATCAGTAATTACTGTAATCACTGCCAACTCATTCCTGAACGTATTCATCCCCAACCCTGCTCAAAACCCCCCTTACCCATGAGCACTCACTCTCCATTCTCCCCCCTCCTCAGTCCCTGAAACCATTAATCCACTTCCTGCCTTTATGGATTTGCCTACTCCAGACATTTCATGGAAGCAGAATGGGACGGCACATGGTCTCTTGTGCCTGGCTTCTTTCACTTAGCACAGTGTTTTACAGGTTCGTGCTGCTGCAGTGTGTATCAGAATTCCATTCTTTTTTATGATATTCTAGTGTACGGATATACTACATTTTGTTTTTTGTTTTTGAGATGGAGTTTCACTCTTGTTGCCCTGACTGGAGTGCAGTGGCGTGACCTTGGCTCACTGCAACCTCTGCCTCCTGGATTCAAACAATTCCCCTGCCTCAGCCTCCCGAGTATCTGGGATTACAGGTGTGCGCCACCACACCCAGCTAATTTTTGTATTTTTAGTAGCGAGGGGGTTTCACCAGTTGGCCAGGCTGGTCTCAAACTCCTGACTTCAGGTGATCTGCCCGCCTCGGCCTCCCAAAGTGCTGGGATTACAGGCGTGAGCCACCGCGTTCGGCCATATACTACATTTTGTTTATTCTTTCACCAGTCAATGGACATTTGGGTTGTTTCTACTTTTGGCCATTGTGAGTAATATTGCTGTGAATGTTCATGTGCAAATTTTCATGTGAAAACTTGCTTTCAGTTCTCTTGGGTATATACCTAGAAGTAGAATTGCTGGGTCATTTGGTAACTCCATGTTTAACATTTTGAGGAATTATCAAACTGTACCAGCAGTGTGTGAGGGGTCCCATGCCTCTCAGATGGGTTGATGTGGGGTGCAAGCATGTGGAATTTATCTCCTGGTAGATCCCTGTTTCAATTCCTGAGCTGAGAGTGCAAGCTTGGCAAAAGAGGTCAGGTGGGTGGTGGTCACCAAGGGAGTGGGAGAATGATGGAGAAGGATGGTGGGCACTCTGAAGGCCCTGGAAGTTGATGCTCAGGCCTTTAAAGGGGGAGAAGCCAGTGCACTCATGAGTTTTCTCTTCCCTGCCACCCATGGCTGCCCAGGCGCAGGTGCGGAGTAGGTGGAGAGTTTGGTGTAAGCAAGTGGGGTGAATGCAGGAAGCAGCCTCCAGGCTTCTGTCCTCCATCTCTGTCCTCACCCCTCCTTTTAGACCTGCTCTTGTTCACAGGCTGTGGGGATGCCACTGCCGACTCCTGCTCAAAGACAGGCTGGTGTGAGGAGCAGAGCAAGGCTTGGAATCAGACGGGCATGGGTTCAAATCCTGCCTCTACTGCTCATTAGCCATATGAACCTAAGCAGATCACTAGCCTTGCCCTGCCTCTGTCTCTTCACCTGTCAAATGCTGGCCTCCCAGAGGGGTTGCAAGGTGGAAGTGGGATTATAGGCCAGCGCTCCCAGTTGTCTCCCTGTTTCTCTGCGCTGCCAGGCCCCCGTCTGTTGGTGTGATATTCCTGGGCTCTAGTTACACAGCTGAGATCCCTGCTGTCCTTTCTCCTTTCTTCTCTTCCTTCCCTAAGAGCAGCATTGAGGGTTCTAGGTTCCTCTAAGAATCCCACAGAACCATAGACCATATCCCCAGAATGTGCACCGACATATGCAGTTTGTATACCAGTTCTGGGGATCACGGGCCTTGTGAAAACTTATCCCAAGACCCCCTCACTCCATTCCCCACAGCTGCAGGGTGTAGCCTCCAGCATGAGCGACCCCCAAAGCTGATGGCCGGCACTTCTCCCCTGATGTTTTCCTTAAGCCAGGGTGTTGAGGAGGTTGGGGCCACTGGCAAAGGGACTCTTCCCTGTCACCAGGGAGCCAGTTGGTGCCCACTACAGGACTTTAGCCCCCTTCCCCTTGGGGAGTCCCAGGTGTCCTGGCTGTCTGCACCCTGCCAGCATTTTGGAGAAGTTCAAGAAATCAGCCCTTTTTCTAGGAACAGTGCACGGTGAATGCATCAGCCCTTTTGCCCAGCACCCAACCCCACTCCATAGACACCCATTACCCAGAAAGGGGAGCGCAAATTAAAATAGTAAACACCCCTCATCACTATGTGTGTTCAACTAAGTGACATTATTTTTTTGAATCTATTCTTAAGCTTCCTTACCTTATTCTTCTGTAAAATGGGCATAATCATTCCTGCCTCCCATGACGGGTTTGTGAATTAGAGATACATAAAACATTCTAGGCATGGGGCTGGGCACAGTGGCTCACGCCTGTAATCCTTGCACTTTGGGAGGCCAAGGCGGGCGGATCACTTGAGGCCAGGAGTTCGAGACCAGCCTGGCTAATATGGCAAAACCCCATCTTTACTAAAAATACAAAAATTAGCCAGGAGTGGGGATGCGCACCTGTAATTCCAGCTACTTGGGAGGCTGAGGCATGAGAATCACTTGAACCCAGCAGGCAGAGGTTGCAGTGAGCTGAGATTGCACTACTGTAGTCCAGCCTGGGTGACGGAGTGAGACTCTGTCTCAAAAACATAAAAAGAAAGAAAAGAAAAGAAAAAAGAAAACTTTAGGTATGGCCCTTAGAGGCATATTATCTCTAGAAATTGTTTTCTCTATTGCTTGATATTCCGTGACCCTTATTTCACCCTGTAGGGGTGTCATAAAAGTTTTTGTTTTTGTTTTTTTGAGACAGAGTTTCACTCTCGTTGCCCAGGCTGGAGTGCAGTGGCGCAGTCTCGGCTCACTGCAACCTCTGCCTCCCAGGTTCAAGCGATTCTCCTGCCTCAGCCTCCCGAGGTGCTGGGATTACAGGTACCCACCACCATGCCCAGCTCATTTTTGTATTTTTAGTAGAGACTGGGTTTTACCGTGTTGTCTAGGCTAGTCTCAAACTCCTGACCTCGTGATCCGCCCTCCTCGGCCTCCCAAAGTGCTGGGATTACAGATGTGAGCCACCGTGCCCCACCATGTGTCATAACAGTTTGAAAGTCAGTTTTTAGTGATCTCCCCTAAAGCTGGGGGCTGTTTTAACCCAGTGATGGCATTTTCTGTAGAGTGCAGATGATGCATCTAGTCATTCTGCAAGTATTTTTTGAGCCTTCCTTGAGTGCTGAAGCTTTTGTGGGCCCAGGGAAATGAAAGCCAGGCTCCCACATTCTGGGACTCTACCCCATGGTGAGGAGCTGAGCCAGGCCCCCCAGACTTGGAGGAACAGATGACACACGCAACAGGAAGGGCTCAAAGATGGAGGTCAGAGGCTGGGCGCTCTTGTGAGGAGGAAGGGAGATGGACTGCATCCCAGCTGGAAGGCGGCTGGGACAGCCAGTGGAGAGGAGGGGAAAGGGCATTCTAGATGGAAGTCACGGCTTGGGCAAAGACTTGGAATGGAGATACGGCCCAGCCGGTTCTAGGATAGCCAGACAGTGGTGGTTCTGGTTGAAGAAAAATGACTGGACAGGCTGGGACCCTTGGGCCTTAGGGAAATAGGAACACCCTTCTTCCTGGTGCATGGCCTTTAGTGGGTCCCTTTAACTCCTGGACCTCAATGTCCCCATCTATACTAGGAGGATGGTAATATCTTACTTCCAAGGCTGTGAAGAGGACTGAGAGAGTGGGTGTGTATAAAGCCTTTGGCATAGTGCTGGCTGCCAGCAGGAACACGGTGGGTGGGACCACTTTTAGCCAAAGATCTTGACCGTACCCTGGGCTATGGGCCACTGTCGGAGCCCCTGGAGCTCATGCTGTGACTTTTCTCCCTCTGGAAGCCTGGGTGGAAGAGGGGGAGAAGGTGGCTCACGCCTGTAATCCCAGGCGTGGGCAGTTTTCCTAGTATTTCTCAGGAGGGAACAAGAAGGGGAGAAGGGAGGAGGAGAAGCAGAGAAAAGGGGGAGAGGTGAGGGGGAGGAGGAGAAGCAGAGAAAAGGGGGAGAGGTGAGGGGGAGGAGGAGAAGATCTTGACTATTACATCAGAGCCCCAGGCTGGTGCTCCTCCATGCTGGCTGCCCTCCTGCCTGGGACTACATGCCTTGCCAGCATGTGGGGCTTGCCTTGGCATCTGAAATCGATAAGCTCCCAGCAGTTCCAGGGTCTCCAGTTAAATCCTCCTTTGCAAAGCTGCTGGGTCCCTTGATCCCTTGTCCTCAAGTGGGAGGATTGGAGCATCGCAGACAGATGTGCACAACACTGACCCTGTCTCTCCATTTATCTTTCTCCTTCCTCCTCCCCCAGTCTGGCTGCCTCTCTGTCTCTGTCTATCTGTCTGTCTCTCTCTCACAAACGCACACGCACACGCACATTGGCAGCATACCTCTTCTCCCACAGTGACTAATACTTTCTGTCTCTGGAGTCCTCCTACCTTCATGACATCAGGCATGGGGAATGCAGGCAGGATCATAATTTCTTAATAGTGTAGCTGCCCATTATCTTCAGCCTCCCCCAGGAAGCCCTGGAGTCAGAACTGCTGACAAGGGGCCTGTGGCCGGGCATTTGCAGGTGTATGTGTGTGGAGGGGTGGGCTAGACAAGGGGTGGGCTAGTCCCACTTGGGACCAGGCCCAGCTCAGCCACACACCCCTCCTCCCTGCTAGCCCTCCCAGACCAATGGATGGGTTCATACCATTCCTGGGGTAGATTTTGTCCCTTCCGTTTCATCTGCCATTATTAGTGTATTTAGGTTTTATATGTTTTCTGGAGCCAATTTTGATCATTTATATTTCTTGAACCATCCATTTCATTGAGAATTGAAAATTTATTATTATCAAACTGTGTATGGTTTTCTCCATAATTAAATATATAGCTGTATCCATAGTCAGAGGCCTTTTCTCATTCCAAATGCTTGTCTTTTTTTCTCTGATAAGAATTGCTGAAAGCTGGGTTTTTTTAAATTGGTCCTTTGAAAGAATCTGCTTTTGATTTTTAGATATCAGCTACTTTCCCCTCCTCCTACTCTGGCAATTTCTACTTTTATTGATACCTTTTTCTTTCTCTCTTATTTTAGTTTATTTTCCCTTTTCTAGCCTCTTGATTTAAGTGTTTAGTTAATTTTCAGTTTTAGTTTCTGAAATGCATTTAAAGCTATAATTTTCCTGTAAGTACCACTTTGGCCTTAAATGAGAGGTTTTATTTCTGTTGATTGTCCTTCAATTCTCAACTGTGATTTCTGCTTTTTAATTAGAGAGTTATAGAGGAGCATGGCTTTTAACATTTTCAGGTGGCTAGATTCTCTTATACTCTTGTTTCTGTTCATTTCTGATCCTGTTACAGTACAGGTTGAGCATCTGCAGTCCAAAAATCTGAAATCTGAAAGGATTCAAAATCTGAAACTTTTTGAGCGCTTATGTGACGCCACAGTGAATAGTCCACATATAAGTACTTAATATGAACTTTGTTTTATGCACAAAATTCTCGGAAATATTGTATAAAATTATTTTCAGTCTATGTGTATAAATATAAATGAATCTTGTATTTAGACTTGGGTCCCATCCCCAAGAGATCTCGTTATGTATATGCAAATATTCCAGAATCTTTTAAAAATAAAAATTCCAAAACACCTCTGGCCCCAAGCATTTCAGATAAAGGACAAAACTTAGCCTATAGGATTTCTGCCTTCTGGAATTTGTTGAAATTTTTATTTATGGCCTCTAATATATGGCCAAATTTCATGTATGTTTAAAAATGCTTGTTCATGGCCAGGCGCGGTGGCTTACGCCTGTAATCCCAGCACTTTGGGAGGCCGAGGCAGGTGGATCACGAGGTCAGGAGATTGAGACCATCCTGGCCAACATGGTGAAACTCTGTCTCTACTAAAAATACAAAAATTAGCTGGGCATGGTAGCGCATGCCTGTAATCCTAGCTACTCGGGAGGCTGAGGCAGGAGAATCGCTGGAACCCGGCAGGCGGAGGTTGCAGTGAGCCAAGATTGCACCACTGCACTCCAGCCTGGAGACAGAGTAAGACTCCATCTCAAAAAAACAAAAAAATAAAAAAATGCTTGTTCACTATTGGAATGTAAAGTTTGTTCTGTCTCTCAGAATAAGCTTAAATTTTGTTTTTAGAGACAGGTTCTCATTCTGCCCCAGAGGCTGGAGTGCAGTGGCAAGATTGTAGCTCATTGGAACCTCAAACTCTTGGGCTCAAGCTGATCCTCCGCTTTATCCTCCCAAAGTACTGGGATTACAGGGATGAGCCACCTTGCCCAGCCAAGTATTTAAATTTTGTTATTTAATGACAGGACATTGCTTTTGGAGATAATTTGTTCTATATTTAAGAGAGGCCTCTTCAAGTCTCTCATAATGATTATGGAATTTGTCAATTCCTGTTGTTTTTAAAAATCCTTTTTTTTGTCCACATACGTGTTTAAGCAACATGCCTAGATGCTTATGATTGATGACTGCGGCACTTCTTGATGCTTGTACCTTTCCGATTATAAATACTCTGTCTTTGTCCGTTTCATGATCTGGCCTTGAATTCTGTTTTGTAGATGCATTTCTTTTCTTTTGGTTACCATGTGGCTGGCATGTTCTTTTTATCCTTCCATTTTTCATCCTCTCTGTCATTTTGCTTTATATGTGTCTTTGAAAGAAGGCAGGCAAATGGATTTTGTATTTAGTATCTGCTTTTAATAGATGGATTTAATCCATTTGCATTTATTGTGATGAGTCATAGATTTATTTCAGCCATCTTATTTCATGCCTACTTTTTATTATATTTGCTTATTTTTGTTAAGTTTATTTTTGCCTTTTGTTGGATTGGTTTCATTTACTTTGTCCTGTTTTTCCTCTGTTGCTTAGGAAGTTTGAGGTGTTGCTTAGGAAGTTTGAGGTTTTACTTCCGTTCTTCTATTGGTTATGCTATATATGTATGTGTGTGTATACTCGTATTTTTCTATCAGCATCTAGATGTAATCAGGATCATTAGCCTCTTGACAAATGAGGCGAGAACTTTAGTACTTATTTTTTCCTGGCTCCTACCCTCACACATTGGATCATCTTAGATTTTAGTTCTACATTATCATCTATTCTCTTCAAATTATGCAACAACATTTAGTTAAACTTACCTGTTCTTTTAAAAATTTGTAGAGATGGGGTCTCACTGTGTTGCCCAGGCTGGTCTCAAACTCCCGGCCTAAAACTATCCTCCTACCTCAGCCTCTCAAACTGCTGGGATTATAGGCTTGAACTTACTGCACTGGCCTTAAACTTAACTCTTATGTTTTGCTGTTTTCTTCGCTTACCACTGTTTGTAGTATCACTCTTCTTTCTCTTTGATGGTTTTATTTTTTACTTTGTAAGAATTCTTCCAGAAAGCCTGGGTGATATAATTTCTAAGACCTTCAATGTCTGAGATGACTGTTTTTCCTTTCCATAGGGTCCATTTTGATTTTCAACTCCCTATTAATTTTTTTTAATTTGAATGATCATATTTTAAAATATCCTAGATCTCTAGTTTCCATTTAGATAGTATATACCTTCAAAATCTGTAAATATATGAATTACGATATTGCCTTAATGTCTTCTGCTTTTTTCTTTTTTTTTTGAGACAGAGCTTCGCTCTTGTTGCCTAGGCTGGAGTGCAATGGCGTGATCTTGGCTCACTGCAACCTCTGCCTCCTGGGTTCAAGTGACTCTCCTGCCTCAGCCTCCCGAGTAGCTGGGATTACAGGCACCTGCCACCATGCCCAGCTAATTTTTTGTATTTTTAATAGAGATGGGGTTTCACGATGTTGGCCAGGCTGGTCTTCAACTCCTGACCTCAGGTGATCCACCTGCCTTGGCCTTCCAAAGTGCTGGGATTACAGGCATGAGCCACCGCACCCGGGTGTCTTCTGCTTTTCGATTCAGGCCTTTCCACCCACACTTCAACCAAATGCATGCTGTTTCCGTCTGTTTTATTAATTGCAGTTCTGAGTCGAATTTTTTTTTTTTTCTAAGAAAAAAAAAAGCTGCAGTCCCTCCAGTTGAAGGTGCAGTCTTCCTGCTCCCTCCTGGGAAATACTGGGGAAACTGCCCGGTCCTTGGCTGTAGGTCCTGCCTTCTGACCTCTTCATTTCACATCCAGATGAAATAGTTCTAGGATATCAGAGCTGTAAGGACCTGCTGGTCCCGGAGCCCCGCCCCTCATTTCCTACATGAGACTGAGGCCCAGGGAAGGAGCAGAAGTAGCCATGAGCTGCTTTTATGCCCTGGGCACCTCTTGGGTCCTCTTGTCCATCACTGGCCCCTCTGAAGTGCCAAATGGCTCTGGGGGATGTGCAGCAATGAAGGGCTGTGGGGACAGGTGACTTTCTTGGGTACTGTGTAAAGGTGCCTGTCTAAGAAGATGTGGATTCCCAGGCATCGCTGGATAGCTTGTCCTGTGGCTTTCCTTGCCATCTACACACTGGCAACTCCCACATCTGTATCTCTTGCCCCCTCTTCTCTTCTCTATGTCTGACTTAAGTCCCCCAATACCTACTGGAAGTCAAACATGGTGTCTAATAGACTCTGAAGCCTGTGTCAAAAACTGAGTCCCCCAAACCCTGTTTCTCACCCAGACTTCCCCACCTCAGCATCTGGGATCACTATTCCCCTAGACGCTCAGGCCAGAAACAGGCGTCATCCTCAATGCCTCTTTTTCTCACCTCTCTATCCCCACACTTTCCTCCAGAAAGCTCTGCTCCTGTTGACTCTGTCTTAGAAAGTGGCCTTGGTCTGGTCACTTCCCCCAGCACCCACTCCCCGCCCTCGGCTCCACCAGCATGTGTTGCCTGGATTCTTGTGCTAGCCTCCTCACTGGTTCCCTGCTTCCAGTCTTGCTCTGTTTTCCCCAGCAGCCAGAATGAACTTTTCAAGATGTCCTCTAGAGCATGCCTTTCTTTTTCTTTCTTTTTTATTTTTTATTTTTTTTTCAGACGGAGTTTTGCTCTTATCACCCAGGCTGGAGTGCAGTGGCGCTATCTCAGCTCACTGCAACCTCTGCCTCCTGGGTTCAAGTGATTCTCCTGCCTCAGCCTCATGAGTAGCTGGGATTGCAGGCGCTCGACACCATGCCTGGCTAATTTTTGTATTTTTAGTAGAGACGGGGTTTCATTTGGCCAGGCTGGTCTCGAACTCCTGACCTCAGGTGATCCACTTGCCTCGGCCTCCCAAAGCACTGGGATTACATGCATGAGCCACCGCGCCTGGCCAGACTATGCCATTCTTTTGCCCAAACTCTCCAGTGGCCCCAGTCTTGCTTAGAACCAAGTGAAACTTACACAGTGTGGCAGGCCCCACCATCTGCCCCCACCTCCTCTCCATCCTTCACACGCCCTTCACTCCCCTTCTTGCCCTTGCACACCTCCACCTTTGAGCCTTCGAATTTGTTGTGTTCCCTCTGCCTGGAGTGCTCTTCCGCTAGGCCACGTGGCTCCCTCCGGCCCCTCATTTAGTCACTGTTCAAATGTCACCTTCTGATATTGGTCCTCCTTCCCTACCCAAAATGACACCAACTTCTGCCAGTGACCCTCCAGCCGACTATATCATTCTTCACACTGTGTATCTATCTCCACTAAAATAACAGCCATTCATTTGTTGATCTGTCTTGCTTCTAGATGGTGAGTCCCATAAAAGCAAGGATTTGGTCTCATTCGCCTTCTGTCCATAGGGCCTAGAACACTTCCTGCCACCTAGCAGGCACTCAGACATTCCTTAAATGAATGACAAGATTGGACAGACTTCACATTTATTTTTTGATTCAAGTACTGTTCGGGGCTACTTTTTGGCCAGGCCATGAGTAGACAGGTGACTGGCACAGACCTGCCGTTACCCCTGGGAGCTAACAGTCCTGCTGGGGACAACTACATGGCTGGCCAGAAGTGTTCCCGGAAGGGTTGGCATGGGGCTGGGGTTGGTCCTGGGGCTCCAGCTACAGCCAAGTCAGAGTCCGCTCACCAAGGCCAGTGGAGAAGGGGAGGGAAGGGGGAGTTGGAGGAAAGTGTCCTGGACTGCGAGGGTAGCCAGAGCGGGAGAGAAGACCCCAGTGAGGATGGCAAGCTCACAGCAGACCCTCCCACAGGGCTTTTGTGCCAGGCACTGCACTGAGGGCATTACATGTATTAACTGAAAACTACCTTGACCATCCCCATTTTAGGAAATGGTGGCACAGAGAGGGTAGCTTGCCTGGGGTCACACCCAGGCATGAGAAGCCAGACTCCGCCCAGTGGGCTGGCTCCAAAATCTGTAACCACCCGCTCCCCTGCCTCACAGGAGAGGGGAAGGTGGATCTGGTCAGGCAGCAGGGGGACTGGGAAGACGCAGGGGAGGCTAAGCCATGAGCAGGTGCTTGGAGGATGCTGCAGGTTCAGACTTCATGCCCCCAGAGGGCAGAAAGGGGTCAGGCCTGCACTGCTAAAAGGAACCCCCCACCCTGCCTACCGAGCTTGTGGCTGTGAGCAGTGGGATGAGACTTTCCCTCAGCAGGAAGGAGGCTGGAGGAAGGTGGCAGTGAGGGGCGAGAGCACCTGGGCAGGAGTAGTTGGGGGGATGGATGGGTTAGGAGGAAGAGCTTCCAGCCCCAGCCTAGGAGGAAGTGCCCTGGCTGTGAGGGGCCGCTCCTCCCCCAGGGTCTCCTTGGTATCTGTCCCCTTGGGGGCTGAGAAGCCCTTCCTGCCCAGATGGCCTCTTCAGGGCTTCCCCCCAGGCATGTCCACAAATAAGCTCTTCTCCCCTAGGGGGTGCAAGGTAGAGGCACGGTTTTCATTGATAGAGGAGGAAAGGGGAAGCTCAGAGAGTCAGGCAGCCTCCCAAAGAGTCACAGTTTGTAGGCCCTGCAGCAGGGATCCAAGCCCAGGTCTGGCCAGAGGGATTGTGTAGCAGAGTTCATCACTGGCTTCATGAGGCGCGTCTGTAGATCAGAGAATTTAGGCCTAGTAAGCACATGGGGTGAAACTGGAGGAGAAGGGTTTGGTGGGTCCACAGTGAGTCAGAGCCTCACCCTGAAGCGGCTTTAAGGTTGGGGAGCTTCAGCTGGGACCCTTCGAGCAGCCCTAGAGAGAGAGCTTATGCAGCCTCTCACGGGACAGCTCGGACTGGGCCACGGTAGGGACAGCAGCAGCAGCAGTGTTGGAGTCTTGCAGGCTGTGGGGGCTACAGGGTAGGTGAGGACAGCCCCTGAGTGGCCTCATCCCACCCCAGTTCTGGACACAGCTGGGCAGGAGGAATTCAGCGCCATGCGGGAGCAATACATGCGCACGGGGGATGGCTTCCTCATCGTCTACTCCGTCACTGACAAGGCCAGCTTTGAGCACGTGGACCGCTTCCACCAGCTTATCCTGCGCGTCAAAGACAGGTGAGCATCAAAGACAGGTGAGAGTACCGGGAAGAGGCCTGCGCCTGCCTCCTAGGGCGCTCTCTCTCTCTCTCTTTCTCTTTCTCTCTCTCTCACCCCTAATTAAAGGCGTGGATTTTTTTAAGCCTTATGTGGAGTAATTAAATCATTTGAAATCTGGTTTATACTCATTTGGCCTTGTTGATTCTCAAAGAGGCTATGTAATGAAAATAAAAGCACAAACTAATAGGAAAAGAACAAGCTTTGAGCAAATTCCATTAAAGACAGAAAAAAATCTAGCTAACATGTGTTCCAAAGGCAAAGTGTTAATAAGTTTACCAGGTAAAGGGACACACATACATACACATAAAGCTCCCACAGATTAATGTGGGTTTTACTCCGAATACATGAATTGCAAAAGAGAAAACAAAAATGGCTCAAATGTGGGAAAATGTTCAACTTTCTTGCTAATCAAAGAAATATAGGGAAAATAGTAAAGTACCATTTTTCACCTGTCAAATTATAATTTTTTAAAATGGAAATACCCAATGCTGCCAAATACTCAATGCTGCGGTGAGATTGTCGTTTCATTCAGTTTTGGACAAAATTTGGCCCATGTCAATAAGAATCTTTACGGTGGCCATGCCTCTTGATGCCCTCTGCTGGGAGCCATCCTAATTGTGCAGCTGGTTGTGTGGTTGGTACATCTGAGTGACCCAAGAGATGGGAACCAGGTCTGGGGAGCCAGCCCCTGGCCAGCAGCCCCTCAAGTCCTCACCACTGGCCTTGCAATGGACCTGAGGCTTAAAGCCAAGATAGCCAGCAGCCCCCGGGCCCTTTCCCCCAAGCCCTGACCTCTCTCTGGAAAGGAAGAGGGAAGGGACTGCAGTCCAGGCTGACTGGGGAGGTGCTGTGGGCTGGCTGTGCTATGCCTGAGATGTGAATGTGCCACCTTAACCAGGTGTGAGGGGTGGTGGAAACCTCACAGAGCTGCTGTTCCTTTATTTCCCAGGGAGTCATTCCCGATGATCCTCGTGGCCAACAAGGTCGATTTGATGCACTTGAGGAAGATCACCAGGGAGCAAGGAAAAGAAATGGCGACCAAACACAATGTAGGTGTGTGCGTGTGTGTAGAGGGGGTCAGGAGATGTGTAAAAGCTGTAGCCTGGTCACCCCTGCAGTCCTGGTCTTTGGAAATGAAACTACTGTTTATTGAAGGGCTCCCCTTAGTTTAAGTCTTGTTGCTACTGAAATCCTGCAATTCCAGGAATCCAGGTAATGCACATCAGTGTTTCGTCAATGGTAGAGACAGGTCCCCTAGAAAGAAAGTAGAAGGTGTCTGGGACCTGGGGGGATCATACAACTCAGGGACTTCTGAGTGATGGGGTGGGACCACAGGTGGCAGTGGTCTGAGGCCCTGGAACCTGGGCCATTACTGAGCCGGTAGGAGTACAGGATGTGAAGGGGCTCCAGGTAGGTCCCAGCTTGAGCTGCGGTGCCTTCCTGCCTCCCCTCTGGGTGTGTGCAGGGATGCACGTTGTCCTGACTTACAGGGGCCCCATAGGACTCTACTGGCCGCTTATCAGGGGCATCTGCCATGGCCGGATTTGGTGTCCAACCTGGAAGAGGCTCCAAAGCAGACCTCAGCACCCCTTACCAGGGCCAGGAGAAAGTGGAAAGTGTGCCCAGTTCAAACCCTGATTCTCTGCCAGCCGGTGTTGACCTTGAGCAAGTGCGTCATTCTGAGCTCAGTCTCCTGAGCTGCAGAATGGAGATACTTGCTTACCTCAGAGGGTTAATGTGAGGACTAAAAGAGGTCAGGGATAGTGAGACCTGGAAAGCCAAACAGCCCATAATGAAGAGCAGTTTCCATTTAGTGTTATCAGAGGCTCAAATATTTGTCCAATGAATATTTCAAAGGCTTAAGCTCTGCCTTTTGTGCTCTGCGCTTTGTGTGTCTGTTGGCTACAACAGAAGTGTGCACATCCAACCTCACGCGATGATGATGGATGGGAAGATACTGACTGGTTTGTGTTCTGGGCAATGATTTACAATCTACTCCTCTAAAACAACAACTTACTCTGTCGCCCTCCATGCATTTCAAGTGTTGATTATTTTTCTTTCCTTCACTGTGCTTTTCTTTTTCCAGCATATTATAATGAAAGGCATTAATTTTGTAATCAGAAAAACTTATGAAAAATAACAAAGTTATTCAGTCTAATCACACTCAGCTTACTTCCATCTGTCTCATCAAGGGAGGCCTGTGTGTTCCCCACCCTGCTCCCCGCCTTTGGGGAATGAACACTTCCTGCCTTGGTGGGGTCCCTGCTGTAGGAGAAGGTGAGCGCTCAGGAGTGAGTGTGTCCTGACCTCATAGAGCCTTTGTTCTCCTCCCTTTGCCAGCCCGAGGCTTGGTGCAGATCTGGCCCTGGAAACCTGCTCTGTGGGGCCACCACAGTCGTATCTCCCGCTGTCTGCACCCTTTCGACCGGGTGATGATTTCTCACCATTGAACGTGCAGACAAAAACCTTGTGTAAACATGGCTGAGCTCCCAGGCTCATAGATACAGATCAAACAAGAGCTGGGATGAGGTGGGGGCCAGCTCCGACGGGGCCAGGGTCACCTGGGCCCAGAATCCTGGTCATGGCCCAGCCTCTCCTCAGCCTTTTCTACCACGTCCACTCTGGAGGGGCCCAGAAAGAGGGACAGAAGTCATCCCAAGGTGGAGCAACAGACCTCAGAAAGAAAAATGGATAGAATCAGAATGTATTTTTGATAAATGAAACAGTCTTTCATCTTCAAGTATATAAAAAGATCACTTTATTCTATTTTTAGGGAGCTATTAAATATCTCTGTGCCTAGAGAACAAGAGGGAATTGGAAAAGCCATTAGTAACACTTTCCAACCTGAAAGAGTGAAAAGCCCTAAATGATGCTTGAGGCTATTGGGGGCTGGGGCTTCTGTGGGGGGTTTTGAAAGCACCTGGGTTCCTCAGAACCTCTGGGCATTTTTAAGGGTGTAACAGGGCTTTGAGGATCTCTGTGCCACTTTGATCAAGTTGAGCTTTGCCTTCCAGATTCCGTACATAGAAACCAGTGCCAAGGACCCACCTCTCAATGTCGACAAAGCCTTCCATGACCTCGTTAGAGTAATTAGGTGAGCACTGCCCTCTCCCTAGAAGCGGGCCTCCACAGCATGGGTTGGCTCCTGGAGGCAGCTGGGAGCTTGAGGAAGCAGCTCCTGTTCTGAGGCCATGAGGCTGTGGAATTCTGGGCCTATTTTTGGATTTCTTGTCCCTCCTTCCATTTCTTTCTTTTGCTTTTTCCACCTACCTCTGCCCTCCCCGCAGCTGCTAACGGGTTTGTGGGTGATGTCTGCTGCACATGTTAAGTGGAAATGCCTTCCTGTCTGATGCAGTGGCTCAGGCTCCCTGGAAGGCAGCTCCCTCCAGCCTGGCTTCAGTGTTCTCCTCACACCAAAGCTTTCCACACTGTACAAACTAGGTCTCTCTCCTCTTCCCTGCCCTGATATCAGAGCACCCTTTGATATTTCCCCTGAACAACCAATATTCTGATTCCAAGGTTCAAATTTCAGAGGCATTGCACATGTATCTCCTTTCCCAACCCCACCAGCTGTCAATCTCCAAGTATTGTCAGCAATCCTAATGAAAGTTTCTTGTATATTCCTTTGCATGGTCAGGGTCAAGACGTTAATCACCTCATGCACTCATGACTAAAACAGCCTCCTGGCTGCATCCGCTGTCACCAAGCTATCCCATTTCCCAAATCTTTAACATGCACAGCAGCCTAACCAGCGGGTCTCAGACATTGTGCGTTGAGTTTGTGGCCTATATGCTGGCACCTCCAAGGGCTGCTGGTGAGCTGTGAGATCAGCCCCGGGGCTCTAACCCCCACTATACACACATGCCCCCACATGCTCAAAAAGCTCATCTTCTCATTATTCCCCAGCGTAATGAGGAAATATTACATTCTTCACTTTATGTTTTTGCTGGCAGTTTTGCACTCTCAAAATGATTTTCTCATCCAGGCGTAGTGGCTCATTCCTGTAATCCCAGCACTCAGAGGCAAAGGTGGAGGTGGAGGCAAGAGGATTGCTTGAGGCTAGGAGTTCAAGACCAGCCTGGGCAACATAGTGAAATGCCATCTTTACAAAAGAAAGAAAGAAACTATTTGCTCTTGGGCATTTTGCCTCCAATTAGGATGTGCTGCCATCAGGTAGCCTATGGTGATGCCTTGGTTGTGAACCTATAGTGCCAAGGTCAGGTTTTAGACATAGGAAAAGTTAACAGAAAACATGAAATGGCTTTTACGCTCAGTTGACCCATCATTTTATTTAAACTATGAAACACAGGAATAGAGGCCAGCACTCTATAAGACAAAACGTGATGTAGCTTATGATTTATGTAAATGTAGCTACAACATAATGTCAGTCATTCCCATCAGTAGGGCGATTTAGGTTATCCCCTCCCCCATCTCCCCCATTGCATTGCCTCAAGAGAAGCTATCCTGCCAGGCCCTCCTCCAGCGGCCAGGACAGCCACTGGGAGAGGGATGGCATCCCCATCCCCCTCACCCACTAACCCCGCCAGAACAGGCCTCCTCTGACTCAGATCTGGGGCTAGGGAGGAGAGGGGCAGAGGAGAAGCAAAGCCCATTCTGACTTTGTCTTTCTGTCCTTCATTGTTTCAAAAGGCAACAGATTCCGGAAAAAAGCCAGAAGAAGAAGAAGAAAACCAAATGGCGGGGAGACCGGGCCACAGGCACCCACAAACTGCAATGTGTGATCTTGTGACAGGCCTGAGGCCCTGGGCACAGTGACGGTGGCCTGGCCAGCCCTCGGGACCCCTCCCCACCTAACTGCACTGAAACCATTTCTAACCACAACCCTTGGCCCAAGGACTTGGTACAGGAAGGGAGAAGGGCAGGTGGGCAGGGAGCAGACAGGGTCTGGCTTTGCCCAGAGGGCACGGGCTTTCCCACCTCTCAAAGAGACAAGGAAGCCACCTGTAAGCAGAAGCAGCATCCAAGTGCCCCTGGCCCCCCCATGTGTTGATTCAACCCGGTTCCTCCCCCTCTCTCGGTGGGTGTGTTGTTTATTGTAACTACATAGTGTTGGTTTGATGTGGAAGTGTTTATCCACATACAAAGTACAAAACAAGCCATGAACAAGCTTCTTTCCCTTACCCCCCATCCACAATGTCTGAGCTTGGATGTCTTTTATAGATTTTTAAATTATTTTAGTGATTATTATTTTATTAAAGGGGTCTGGGCTCACTGCCTGGTGAAGTTTCAAGTGTTCAGCAGACCTCTCTGGTAACATATCTGGAATATTGTTGTTGTTTTTTAACCGAGTTTTCCCATCAGTGCCAAAACTCAACTCAATCTGAAAGTAGAGTGTCTGAGAGGACAGAAGGTAATGGGAACTGTAGCTGGAGGCCTCAGGCCATGGGTCAAACCTGGGAGGGAAAGAGACCCTACACATGGCCTAGAAATGAGAGAAGAGAGAGGTATTTACCCAGAGGATTTTCCTATGGTTGGGGATGCAAATATTAGAAAACAGATTGTATTTTGCTGAGGGGAGTGGCTGTCATGAGCATGTCAGTTCTAAAAGGGGTTTTCATTATCCTGGAAATGTATAAACTAAAGTAAGCTGATTGGCTTTGCAAACATGTTCATTTGTTTTTCAGACAGTATGGGTTAAGTTCTCTGCCCTCCCCAGGGGTCTGAGGAGGCTCTGGGTTTCTCAGATCTGTCTCTTGCTGCGTTTTCACATCAGCTGTGCTGCTTGGTGCCTCTCTGATACGAATACACTGACACGTCAAAGTAACCTAATGTGGACACCATCCAGAAAACTCCAGTTCATGCTGGATCTTAACCAAAAATGATTCAATACTGTTATCACTAAAACAGCACCAAGACCTGAAGCCATCTTCCCTTGGAGTCAACTGACTACCACCTCTATAAGCCTAGTCAATGAGCAGACCCCTTCCAGTATTTGTAAAAGTAGTACTAGGTTGCCTTTTTGGCAATTTTTATTGACCTGTTGAATCTTGACTATAAAATGATCTGAGAAGTAAGGAAGGCTGGGCTGATGTGTGGCTCTCATATACCTTCTGCAAGGGGGCAGTCTCCCCAGCTCCCTGATGATGCTCACCCCCGCCCCCCCACCTCAGGTGCTGCTGGTGTGAGCCAAAGACTGGAGTTTTTCCAGCTGGGGTGGGAGTGGAGAGACAACAGGAACAACGCTGCACCAAAGAAAAGGTCAGAATAAAAGGCAGCACAGCTGGTGACCTTATTTTCTAGATGTTACAAATCAGGTCACTATGCAAACTAGAATATCCTCAGCAGGTGGCCTGGCCACTCTGGAGAAAGAAACCCAAGGAAAGTGAGCACCCAACTGGATGCCAAGACACCCGGGTTCTGAAAATGTGCTGTGTTCCTACCTCGGCAAGATCACCAGCACTGAGGGGCCCAGCTGGAGAATGATTCTGCTACAAAAGGAGACAGTTGAGACTTTTGCTTGTTGGAAATCAAACTTCTTATTTGTCTAAATTGCCCCTTTTTCTGTTCCTAAAAGGAAGGATAAGAGAGAACATTCCAGGTGAGGCACTTCAAAGTTTCCTTAGACCCTATAGTGTTAAGAGGTATTTTAAACACTAAAAGGACAAAGCTCTTCCCAATCCTTATGCTTCCCTAAGTGGTATCTGCAGCAGTTTGTTGTGTGCAGTTTGATGGCAGCTGCAAACTGGAGGTGAGGCGGAGGAAAGGCAGGTAGGAAGGAGTAAGGATGGAGATGCTCAGAATCAAGAGCATGGCGGAGTAGGAGAAGAAGCCCTGCACACAGGGCAGTGTCCACAGCCAGAAAACTCCTGCTGGGCACCAACCACTACGAGCATACCCCATGCCCACCGTGGAGCTGCAACTCCTCGACAGCACTGAGTTTGATAGTCTCACTGGAAGCAGATCAGCTGATGTAGAACAGAGACCTCGGCCATAAAGGTGAGAAGACATAGGGATTTCAACCACACAGTTGGGACAGAAGGGACAGTGCATCTGTTCATCCATCCTGCACTTGGCCCACGTTGAACTCCATGGTGCCTGAGAGAGACTAGTTAAGGGTTGGTCTTCTGTATCCTCTGCTGTTGAGCCTCTGGTAAGCTTTCATCTCCCATGAACTCATTTCCCCATAAATGAAATGGGTAAATAATGCCCCATTTGTAGAAGTGGGCCCTCATGACTGAGGTAGCTTCCAGATAGGCCAGAGTAGAGTGTAGAGTGTGCCCCGTGACATCCCTCCATCTTCTCCTCCATTATCATCTAGCAGGGTCAGACTGGGAAACCTGGTTGGCCACGCCACACCATGACCGAGGAGCCAACTGGGACTTCTGGCTGTTTGACATCCTCATGTTCCCGTTGGTCTTCCGGAGAATAGTGCTACCCTCACATCCCCTGGAGCACAGCCTTCCTGAAATGCCCTCACCCCATGCCTTTGCCATTGTGTGCTCTCAGATTTCTTCCACTGTTTGACACCCTCCTTAGAGGGCTGCTCTTTTTTTTCCAGAGATAATCCTAGCCATCCTCTCCACTCCCACGGCTGGGGACAATGGCCACTTACTACCTGTGCACTTTGCCACTCGGGACACCTGGATGGTTTCTCTTAGGACTTTGCCCACCTCCTTCTCATGGCACTTGCTGTGGAAAATGCCTGGCTGGCCTCGTGGGGCCTGTCTCACTTTTCCAGGAGACATGACCCACTAACGTGGCAACTTTAACCCAAAGGCCCCTCAGACATGTTACAGCAAATCTGGAGCCACAGACAGGTTCCCTCCATTGGCAGCCCATTGTGTTTGAAATTCCATGTCGGGTTTACTTGGAATGAAAGATACTTGAATTATTGTGCGCCTGTGAGCGCCCAGCTTCTGTTTCATAGTCTTAACAGGTGGCCATTGTCGTGAAACGAGTGATGCCTGAAGATCTCAGTGATGTTTGAACCTTCTGTGTAACTTTTTATTAAGTCTTTGTATCTCTCGACTGATTAATAAAGAAGAGAAACACGTATCTGTCTTAGTTCCTTTTACTCCAGTATTCCTGAAGTTTTGCTGAGAACATTGTGAGTTGTTGGTGTTTTGCCCAGAACATCCACGTCTTACAGAGCATGACCTTGGTGCTAACCAGATCTGAAGTAAGGAGGAGCCCACTGGTGGCCGTGGGGTGTCTCCTTCCTGCATGGAGCTGGAGGATGAAGGCAGGCTAGCACAGCATTTAGAGGCACTACCTCTTGATACTGGGCAGATCTGGATTTTAGCCCTACTACCGACCTTTGTATGCCTTTGGGCAAATGACCTGCCTTAGTCTTGAGCTGCCTTGCCTGTGAATGGGACACTAATGTGCACTTCAAAGTAGCTGGAGGACTAAAGCTAATGTAGGAGTGTGGTGAGGAGCCCAGAAACAGTGCTCTTTGTCCAGGACACCTATTGGATTATCTGCCTGACATTCCTTTTCATAGAAACTGCCCTCTTCCCCCATCCTTAGGGTTACAGTCTTTGGCACAATGTGATTTCATTTTTGTTGATTAAATAGGGCGGGTACTTGACCAAGCTGAATCTCTCAGGCTCCGTTTTCCAGGGAGTACAAGCCAAAACCCTCTCTTGGTAGCTCTTTGGGCAACTCTAGCTGAAACATGTAAGCCTGGGTGCTGGAGGATGCTTCTTATGCCCTCTGGGCTGGAGGCAGAGAAGGCTAGACTGCAGACTGGGGAGAGAGGTGATATGGTGGACCACTCAGGCCTGTCTTCCTGCCCATTCATTCTTTCCACAAATATTTATTGGGCACTACCATATGCTAGGCATTGGTCTGGGTGCTAGGTATATGGTAGTGAACAAGGCAGTGGGTCTTCTAAGTCAGTTCTTTCTCCTCTAGTTCTATATTAGTTTCATTGTGGCTGTTGTAACAAATTACCACAAACTTAGTGGCTTTAAAAGAGAAAAGTATTATCTCACAGTTCTGGAGACCAGAAATCAAAACTCAGTATCACTGCCCTGAAATGAAGGTGCCAGGAGGGCCTTCGCTCCTTACCTCTCCCAGCTTCTGGTAGCTGCTGGCATTCCTTGGCATGTGGCTCCATCACTCCAGTCTTCGAGGCCAGCATCTCCATATCTTTTACTTCTCCATCTTCACATTGCCTTCTCTGTGTGTGTCAAATCTCCCTCACTCTCAGTTGATACTTCTTCCATCACTGAGAAGGTTGAAAACAGCTGAACAGAATTTCCACAGACTCCTTTCACCACCTCTGCCCCCTCCCCAGCATCTGCACCCACCTGCTGTGCCTTCTTAGTTGTTAGTGATGAACCCTCCATGCTCCTGGCTGAAGCCAAGCCCCTTCCTCGAGCACTAGCACATACCAGGCATTACCCTGGCCCCCATCCCTCCTCTGTAACTCCAATTTTCCCCTCTACTGGATCTTTCTCATCTTAAAGAAAAAGAAAACCTTCTTTTGACCCACTTCTTTTGCCAGATACCACTTGATTCTCTGCTCTTTTTTGTCTTTTGTAAGTTTTTTTTTTTTTTTTTTTTTTTTTGAGACGGAGTCTTGCTCTATCGCCCAGGCTGGAGTGTAGTGTGATGATCTCGGCTCATTGCAACCTCCACCTCCCGGGTTCAAGCGATTCTCCTGCCTCAGCCTCCTAAGTAGCTGGGACTACAGGCATGCACCACCACACCCAGCTAATTTTTGTATTTTTAATAAAGAGGTGGGGTTTCACCATGTTGGCCAGACTTGTCTTGAACTCCTGACCTCAAATAATCCACCCACCTCTGCCTCCCAAAGTGCTGGGATTACAGGCGTGAGCCATCGCACCCAGCCCAGCAAGAAAACATCTTAAAAGAGTAATCTATGCTCACTGTCATGCATTCCTCTCATTTCTTTCTCTTTAAACTGCTCCAGGTGAGCTTTCACCTGCCACTCCATCACCACCACCATTCTCAAAGTCACCAATGGCTTCCATTTGGCTAAATTCAAAGGCTGGTTCTCAGTCTTTTCATACTTGAGCTCCCTTCAGCAGTAACACAGTTGAACACTCCCTCATGAGACTTCCATTGGCTTCTAGGATGCTGTCATCTTTTAGTTTTTCTCCTTCACTGGTCACTTCCTTCTTAGTCCTTGTCTTCCACCTAATCTGTTAACTTTGGAGCACCCCAGAGCTTAGTCCTTGGTCCTCTTCTCTACCTACACTCACTTTCTTGATGACCTCATCCAATCTTGAGGCTAAGATGCCTTTTATCTGCTGTGGGCTTCCAGTTGTACCTCTCCAGCTTGAAACTGTCTCACAAGTCCCACTCATATATCCAGCTGCCAAATTGATATCTCACTTGGATGTGTCAAGTACCCAGTCTCAAAGTTAACATGTCCCAAACGGAATTCCTGATTTTCACCCTCCCGTACCTGCATTACATGTAGCCTTCCCCAGCTCAGCTAATGGCAACTCCATGCTTCCAGTTATTCAGGCCAAAAACCTTGGAGTTATCCTTCATTGCTCTCTTTCTCCTGCATCTCACACCCAACAAATCTCTGTTGACTCCAAAATATATCCAGAATCTGCCCTTTGCTTGTCACCTCCACTGCTAACATTCTACCCTGAGCTGCCATCTTTCATGCCTGTTTCATTCTTGTCTTTCTGCAGTTCATTCTCAACACAGCAGCCAGAACATTTTTGGTAAAATGGAAGTCAAATTATGTCTCTGCTGTGCTCAAACCTCACACTCCGGTGGCTCCTCCATCTAATTTTTAAGATGTGTCAGAGTGGGCTGTGCCACTGAACACTTAGTAATGGGCTGATGTTTATTAGCCACACAAAAAAAAGGATGGTCAAACATGTCCATTCATTCAGGCAGCACACACTCACTGAGCTCTGAGCCCCACATCAGGGCTGCAGAGAGCATTAAAACCTGTGCAGCACAGGGTTCCCAGCCTCATGGGGATGATGAGCTCTGGGGATCTGTGCATTAAGAGGAATGCTCTGACCTGGAGGAGCTCCCATAAATCTCAGTCCCTCATAATCCTTGTACTCAGTAGATGAAGAGGGTGTTCACTGACCAGATGAAGATTTTAGTCACATTTTGGGCCCACTACTTCCATCACTTTTGAAGATTGAAGGTTTCCCTTTCTAAAGGATGCTCAGATTCCCAGGTCCATACCAGGACTATTTTAAAGTCCACTTTCATCTCCGCACACTTCTAAAGAGGCTGTGAACCGAAGTTCCCAGGTGTCACAGACGTCAGCATTGTCATCACCCAGGAGCTTTCTGGAAAGGCAGACTCCTGGGCCCTGTCCCAACCTGCTGAGTCAGGATCTGCATCTTAACAAGATCCCAGGAGAGTTGTGTGCACAATGAAGACAGTAGCCACTGCTCCAGAACATCAGGCCTGGCATCGAAATGAAATCCAGCCCTGGACTCACTGTTCCTCAGGATCCGGTTCAGCTTCATCCAACCAGAGGATGCTTCATCTGCATTCATTCGATGACTAAAAAGTTCGCGCCTCTGCCTTTAACAGCTGCAAGATTCTGCCCAGCAAGGAGGAGGCAGTGAGCTCCAAGTGCCCACCCACGGTCAGCATGTGCTTCCCTTAATTATGGGAAGTTTTCACACAGAGGCAAGTGGGCTCCCAGTTTGCTTCTCAAACACTTGCATTTTGGTTAAAATGCACAACTATTGTAAATGTAAAGAACAAGAAAAAATCTAACTGCTGAGAACTCTTAGGGACTCCCAGTCCCTAAGCACTTGAAAGGGTGGCCTATTCTGTGCAAGCTGGATTTTCACTTAGCATAGCTGCTGGGCTTCCACATCATCCTAAATAGCTCATTACCATGCTAATGTGGAAATTTAAATATAAAAAAGGAAAGCTGAGTTTATACCAAGCAAAGAACTGATGGATGCTTTCAGTGGAATGTACATCCTGGCAATTATGTGCTAAACCATTAGCTCTGACTCAAATCCAGCTTCCTAGTCTCTCATCAGCCCTCCGCCTGGGCTAATGAGCAGAGGTGAAATCACTGGATAAGTGGCTCTCAAAGTGTGGCCCTCAGACCAGCAGCTTCCATATCCGGGGAGTCTGCTAGAAATGCAGGTTATCTGGTCCCACCCCAGACCTAATGAATCAGAAATTCTGAGGTGAGGCACAGCAATCTGTGTTGAACAACCTTCCCAGGAGACTCTGTTGCACCCTAAAGTTTGAGAACCATTTAATTAGATAAATTATTTAGGTAAAAATAAAAGTTCTTACCACGGGAAGGTAAATTGTGGCTGGGCTTGTTCTTATCTACAAGACAGCTGCTGACTCTCTGGGCAAAGTTGTCCAGGTACTTCTTCCTTCCTTCATCTGATTCATGAGGACCCCTCAAGGTCTGGAACTGTTATCAGAAAGGGGTTCTGATCCAGACTCCAAAAGAGGGTTCTTGGACCTTGCACAAGAAAGACTTCAGGGCGAGTCCATACAGTAAAGTGAAAGCAAGTTTATTAAGAGAGTAAAGGAATAAAAGAATGGCTACCCTATAGGCAGAGCAGCCCCCAGGGCTGCTGGTTGCCCATTTTTATGGTTATTGCTTGATTATATGCTGAAAAAGGGGCGGATTATTCATGCCTCTCCTTTTTAGACCATATGGGATGACCTCCTGACGTTGCCATGGCATTTGTAAACTGTCATGGCGCTGGTGAAGTGCAGCAGTGAGGACGACCAGAGGTCACTCTTGTGGCCATCGTGGTTTTAGCCATCTTCTTTACTGCAACCTGTTTTATCAGCAAAGTCTTTATGACCTGTGTCTTGTGCCCACCTCCTGTCTCATCCTGTGACTTAGAATGCCTTAACTGTCTGGGAAAGTAGGTCTTACCCTCACTTTACCCAGCCCCCTATTCAAGATGGAGTTGCTGTGGTTCACATGCCTCTTGACAGGACCCAGGTACCTCATACAGGGGTTGTTAACCTTGGCTCCATGGGGTTACAGGTGGGGTGGCTGACACCCCTCAAATCATATGCAAAATTCCGTGTATACATATATTCTTCTGGGGAGACAATCATGTTTTAGCAGATTCTCACTGTACCGCTGAGTGTCACCCAGCATGAAAATGAACCAGCCTCTTGAACCTTCTTTTTTGACTTCAGGCCCTTCTGGTAGTTTCACAGCCATAGAGAGTGGAAAGAGGAAATGAAAGGAGCGAAGATCCATCGACTCCACAACTTCTAAGAAGCTTTAAATTGTTCACTTGGTGGACACATCTCTGAGCTTGCTCCCACGACATCCTGAGGGAGGGGAGGCAGCCGGGCTGCCCTTCTCCTCCCAGTTCCCCAGCGTGACTAAGCGTGTAACGCACATGACTCCCTCATCTCCACCCCTGCTGTGGTTAACACCCCCTGCCTCTCGGGCCCTCAACACCCTGGTACAAAACTAGCAAAGAGCAAAGAAAATTCAGGGTGCTGTGGCAGCTCCAGGACTACTTGGCAACCCATCACCAGGATGGGAGCCCAGCTGGGCAACGGGAGCAGAGGAGAGATGGGAGGAATGTCAAAAAAGCACTTGAAGGCAAATGCCATCGACTCAAATTTGAATTTGTAACCACCTAGACCAGTGGTTCGCAACTCAGGCTGTACAATAGAATCACTCAGGGAGCCTGGAAAATAATTCTGCTGCCCAGACCACTCCTTCAAAGAGTCTGGTGCCATTGGTCTAGGTTAGGGCCCGGACATCAAGATGTTAAAGCTTCCCAGGTGATTCTACTGTGCCGCCAGAGCTGAGCCCACTAGCTGGGCTGCATTTTAATCTCATCTCCTGAATACCATGCCTTCCAGTGATCATGGGTTACTAAAAAAACAGCTGCCTGGAGTAGCCACTGTCTGTAAAGCCACTCCTATAAAGGATCAGTTTCCCAGCCCTTGATGTGTAAATGGACACTTGACCATAGGGGATTCTTATATTTTCATTAACGTGGGGGATTCTTATATTTTCATTAAAGTGGGTCCCCTCAGAGTCTAGCTTGATTTGTCGGTTTTCTGGTCACAGTCCACTGTAATATCTCATTTGTCCACATCTCTTCCATTTTTATATCCATAACCCAGGGAAGGGCCTGGTGATACAAAGTTAATACTGAATGTTTATCAAATGAATTAATAATTATTACAGATCTCAACAGGGGCCTCCAGGCCTTAAAATCTAAATCAGATTGGCTCAAACTATCCTTCTCCATTCCCAAGCCTATGGTTTGTGGCAGTCCCAAGGCCCACTGAAGACTTCACACAGTTCTCCCAAGTCAGGTTCTCACAGGGACCTCCACTTCTGTCCATTTCACTCTGACGTTCAGCCCCTGCCTCAGTTTCTACAAAGAAAACTCACTCTCAATAAACATTCCTAGCCAGGTGCAGTCGCTTGCACCTGTAATCCCAACTACTAGGGAGGTTGAGGCAGGAGGACTGCTTGAGCCCAGGAGTTTGAGACCAGCTTGGGCAACCTAGGGATACCGTGTCCCTTGAAAAAATAACCATTCCTGAGTTTTGCTGGGGACTTGGGGGTCACAGGGATGGTCCCTCTGCTGTCAGGGCCTCTCAGTTGGCCTTCACCCCATGCCAGACCCTCCACCAACCTGTCTTCTCCAGCACCAGCCACCCAGTAAGCTCAACACCCATCCCTTTAGATTCTCTAAACCTCATTTGCTTTCTTTAGCCATAATCCCATAATCTCTTCCTAGAATGAAATATGGTTTCAGCTCTTAATAGGATGGCCAAAACCAGTTTGCTGAGGACTGAGGAGTTTCCTGAAACACTGATCATTCATTGCTAAAACCAGGACAGTCCCGGGCAAACCAGGACCATTGGTCACCTTACTGGTAAGAATAAAATTCTCACCTTGTTCTATAATAATGGTACTAAGAACTATAAATTAGCTGGTGGTTCTCGACCTAGCAATCATCATCATCATAATTACCTGGGAGTTAAAACACAGGCTTTTATGATTTAGCAGGTCTGGGGCCTGAGAAATTGCATTTCTTACAAGTTTCCAGTTGATGGGATAGTGCTGGTCTGGGACCACACTTCAAGAACCCTGAATTAGGTAATCCACATTACACATTCAACAGAGGATTTGGCATACAGTAAATAAATGCACAACAATAACTAGTTATCAGCTAACGTTTTGTTGAGCACTTACTGTAAACCAGGCACCCTGCTATTTCTACATATTACCTTATTTAAACCTCATGGCTTCCCTGAGAGGTAGGTGATGTGATGCTTGTTTTACAGAAAGGGAAACTGAGGTCCAGGGACAACCAGAAGTGACTGAGCCTGCACGTGCACCCAGTTCTGACTTGGAAGCCCACGCTCCATTCACCAGCAGCCCCGCCACACTGAGGACTGAGCTAGTCCCAGCTAGCTGCCCCGCCCCTTTTTAATTTTAACTTTGTTTGAGGAAAATCTTTCAATGTGTCTCACACGTCCCTGCCTTCTTCCAAGTGAGCTGAATGCAGATCAACTTCCTCTGCATGACTCAACAGCAGCATTTTGAACATCAGTGACAGTCATTTTCCAGAGTGTCTGCACTGGGCCTCCTCCAGGGGCAGCCTGAGCTGTGGCCTTGGACACCACCTCCAGTTCTCTTCCTCCAGCTGCCTTTCCCAGCTCCATCTGAGAAGTCGAGGCCAGGACAACCCAGCAGTTAGCCCAGTGAGTAAGACCCAGGAGGCCTCATGTGTAGTCTGGGGGCTTCTGGACTGCAGCCCAGGGGAGCACCCACAGCTGGGAGGCCCCTCGGCCCTGACCTTGGCCCTGCTTCCTTAGAGTCAGCCTGGTGGCTGAGGCTGCTGGAAATGGACCCTGTGATGCAAGGCACTACAACTGACTTTCTTGTTAATATGATAGTTCTTCCCCACCACCCCTCCTCCTCCAAACCATCCAAACTTCTAGTTCCTTCTTTGTGGCTGGCATTACTGAGATTTCTGGTATTATTGGTGCACAGAGGATGTGTGGAGTGCGGTAAGAACATAGGCTGCCTAGGTCTGGCCCAGCAATGCTGCCAGCTGATGACCTTCGGTAACGTGTCCAAGCTCTCTATGCTTTGATTGCCTCATTTGTCAAACTGGATTGATGATAACATACTTATTTTAGGGATATTGAGCTATTGTTGAATTAGATACAGTCATGTGCCACATAAGGATGTTTTGGTCAAGGGCAGACCACATATACAAAGGTAGTTCCATAGATTAAAATACCCTATTTTTTCTGTCCTTTTTCTATGTTTAGATACACAAATACTTGCCATTGTCTTACAGTTGCCTACAGTATTCAGTCCAGTAACATACTGTCCAGGTTTGTAGCCTAGAAGGAGTAGGCTATCCCATAGAGCCGTGGTGTGTAGTAGGCTTTACTATCCAGGGTTGTGTAGGTGCACTCTATGATGTTCACACAATGATGAAATCACCTAAGGATGCATTTCTCAGAATGTATATCCATCATCAAACAACACATGACTGCATATACTTTCAAAATAGTGGCTGGCACACCGAAACTCTATTTAAATGTTAGCCAGGATTCCAAAATCGAATCCGTAAATGATTCTGGAGTGTCTACTAGTAACTCCAGCCACCATTTACTCAAACAGCATGTACCAGTCATTGTGCTTTGCACGGGTCACGTCATTTAAGGCTTGGAGGAGCTAGGCACACCCCCCTTAGTTAGTGGGGTGCTCGTCTCCCAGGCCAAGCTGGCCTGTCCAGCGGTACCCCCTCTGCCTCCCTTGTGGGGCAGGCTCTGAGCTGGACATTCAGCAAGGAGGCTTAGCCTCCCCCATCCTCTGACCATAGCCCCTGCCCTGCCACCTCTCCCCTGCCTGACTCATTTCTCCTTTCCTCAGATGCTTCTTACCGAAAAAACAGCCTCCTGTTGCCCTCCTCTCCTGGGTCCCCGGGCTACTCCAAGCTCTGCTCTTGCCCAGCTCCCCTTGTCAATCAAAACAGATTCAGCCTTCACAGGAAGCAATTTGGCATCTGGTATCAAGAGGTTTAAAATCCTCTTTCCTAAAAATGCCACTCCTAGGACCCTCTCCTAAAGAAGTAATAAAAGATGCAAAGAATGATGAACAAAGGTGATCTTCACATTCATAAGATACAAAACGTTAAAGGATCTAAGTGAGCAATAATTGGAGAATGATTAGATAAATGATGCTGTACCCACGTACTGAAGGATTATACCACAAACGTGAACAGCAGAAGAAATGTTTGTTTCATGCATTTTCATCATCCTTGGATGGTAGCGTCTTTTTAAAAATCTTTGCTTAATGGAAACACAAAAGAAGGGCATCTAGTTTCTACTTTATTTTTATTTCTTTGACCCCAGTAAAGATGGACTTTTGAAGACTTGTCCATTTTTATTCCTTATAAACTGCCTATTTATGCCCTCTTCAATTTTCTGTTAATTTCATTTTTCTTATTTATTGGTTTTATGTATTCAGTTTATTGACCACTTATATGTCATATTTATTGCAAAAATTTCCCTTAGAATGTAGTTTCCTTTTTTATTGTATTACTGATTTATTTTTATACTATAGATGTTTAAAATTTTAAATGTCCAAAGCTATTATTTACTCCTTTATCGTTTTTGTCTTTGGTACAATGCTAATATGATCCTTTCTCATCCAAGTATTATTATTATTTCCTTTGAATACCTTTAGGGTTACACCTTAAATTTTTTTTTTAATGTTTCTTTTAGAGACAAGGTCTCGCTCTGTTACTCAGGCTAGAGTGTAGTGGTGATCATAGCTCACTGCGGCCTTGAACCCCTGGGCTCAAGCAATCCTCCTGCCTCAGCCTCCCTAGTAGCTGGTGCTATAGACATGTGCCACCACACACAGCTATTTTTTTTTTCTTAGAGATGGGTCTCACTATGTTGCCCAGGGTGGTCTCCAACTCCTGGCCTCAAGGGATCCTCCCACCTCAGCTATTCACAGTGCTGGGATTACAGGCATGAGCCACCATGTCTGACCCAGATGACTTTCTATTCATAAAATAAGGGAATGGAATTGTCTATACCTCATGCCATTATATTGAAGATTAAGTAAACTAATGTATGGAAAGCTTTAGAAACAATAACTGGCACATAGTCGTTTCTCTGTCATGGTTAGCCTATTGTTAATTTAACTTTAATTCATTGGAAATTTATTCTGGAGTGAGGTGTGAAGGGTGTTTTAGCTTTGTGTTAAGCCAGTTGTCCCAACACCACTTTTTCAATAACATACCCTGACCTCATCAAAAAGCCTGTGGCTGGAATGCAATCTTTTTGCTGATTCTGAGCCACATGGGGAATTCCCTTTACAGAGCTATGAGCTGGGGAGGAGGCTATTCCCAAATTCCCTGCTCATCCTCTCACTAATACTCTTCCCTATGCTAAGTTCACCATGGATTTCCTAAGGATAGGGTGTGGAGCCAAACACCCTCAGCCTGACTATTCTCTCCTTTCCCAGCCCAAGTTCAGGCTGTCAAAGTCAAAATAAAAATATAGAGATAAATCTCTAAATTTAACATTTTATTTGGGAAGCAAGAATTGCAATTCAGGGCCAGTGATCTTCAGAACTTCCGAAGAACAAAGAGAAGGTTAGAGGTTTTATAAAAAGGAGAAATGGCTGGATGTGTTGGCTCACACTTGTAATCCCAGCACTTTGGGAGGCCAAGGCCGGCAGATTGCTTGAGCCCAGGAGTTCCAGACCAGCCTGGGCAACATGGTGAAACTCCATCTCTACAAAAAATTTAAAAATTAGCTGGATGTGGTGGTGCACACCTATAGTCCCAGCTACTTGAGAGGCTGAGGTAGGAGGATCACCTGAGCCCCAGGAGGTTGAGGCTACAGTGAGCCATGATCATGCCACTACACTCCAGCCTGGGAGACAGAGTGAGACCCTGTCTCGGGGAAGTTCTGATTGGTGAGTGATGGCAGTGGTTAAAACTAGTCTTAGAATAACAGCAGGCTGTTTCAGTAGCCATTAGACAAAACTGGTTTCAGTTTATGAGAACAGGCAGTTTCGGCAGCCAGGCTTGCAGAGAATTACATTTTTGGAGCAACGTTATATTCCCTGGGTGTGTTTTCCCCCAGACTCTCTACTCTGATTTAATTGGGTATGATAAGAACGATACAATTTGTACGACCAATTTTCACAAGAGTTTTGTATCCTCAGTCCTTCTACAAACCCTCCTCCTTTTTCTTTCACTTTCTCCCCTTGGGCTACTGAGATCCCATTTTCTCTAACCACCCTGGTGCCACAGCCCACGGAATCTGCTGGGTCAAGGTCAACAACGAACCCCCCTGCCACCCCCAGCCCAGGCCAGCATGCCCAGGTAGAAGCCAAGAGGAAAACAGTGCCTCCATCCTGCACTGGGTGGTGGTGACGGGGGTAGGGTGCTCCCCTCCCTTTGGGAAATATCCAGCCAGGCTTTCTCGCCATTGTCTACCAAACTTACTTGTCTTCCCAAGTAAAGGCCAAACCTCCATCTGAAGCTCAAGCAGTGTTAATGCCTCTCCCTTCGTAACACCCACCTCTGCAAGGAAGTTCTTCAGACGTAACACACATTTTTGCGAGGGGCATAGTATCAAAGATTAGGAAAGGAGATAGGTGATGCCTCTTTTTCTTAGGCAAAGAGCTGAAATGCTACTTTCTGAGTGAGGGCTCACTATGTGCTGGGCAGGGCCAGATGGCTGCACAGCCCGGGGGGGTACCTGTTGACATGACATTTGTGTGAGGGGCACCTGCTGGTCCTCACAGCAGCCAAGGTACATGCTGAGAATCCTCACTACATCCTGCTGGGGACAGTAAAATTCTCTCAGAGAAAGAAACCGAGCTTCAAGGCGAGGACTCAGACCCAAATGTGTCTGATCCATTCCATGCCAACCCTAGACAAGGATCAGAGGACATTTCCTCACCATGTGGCCTTGGGCAAGTTATTCCAATTCTATTGGCCTGGGTTCCCTCTTCTGAAAAATGGACATCCTACTTACTTTTGAGATGTTGTGAAGATTAAATGAGTTAACACATTCAAAGAGCTTAGAATAGTAGGTGGGCTCGCTCCTTCACAGTTGCTTTAAAAAAATGTTTAAGCATTATCAGCATTATTACTCTAGTAGCAGCAGCAGTAGATACTATCCCGGTTGAGGTTTCCTTGCCAACCCAACACCTGGGAAGCAGGACCAGTGCCCTTCTCGTCCACCAGATGGCAGCATCACAGAACGGACAGGCCCTTTCTAGCTGCCTCTGTGCGCACGATTTGTAGGGAAGCCCTCCAGCTTCCCCAGAGGCCTGGGAGAGAACCAGCAGCTCCTCCAAAGCAGGATATCAGAAGTCAGGCTCCTTCACCCACTGGCCCCTGTTCTCAGCCCAGCTCTCTAGGATTTCCTGCCCTAGGACTGCCCATATGCAGATAATGTGCACCCTGGGGGCCCAGGGTCTGGATCTCCGCAAGTTCACCATTTGTATTTGCCAAATGCTTCGCACAGCACCAGGCCGAGGAACCTTCTCAGGAACTGTCTGATGAACCCGCTGGGTCTAAACTACCCCAACGAAGGTCCAGCTCTTTCTGGGTGCTTCCTGCTGAAAGCCACCCCAAACCCCTCCCGGCTGACCTCCAGTGCCTTCTAGGGGTTGGCTGCTCCATCTGCTTCCGGCCTTCCACGTAGACACAAGGACTGTGGGGTTCCCAGGAAGGGCTTTCAGAAAGACTCTCTTGGCTCCATTTTCACAGGCTTCATACACACACACACAGTCCTACCATGGCCTCTACCTTGGGAGACCCCAAACCCTGACCTCTGGGCTCTGGCCTGCTCACTTGCAACCAGCATTGGCCATGTCGTGTGAGGGCATGCTGCCTTAGATCACAGATGGAGCTTATTAAAAGGGCGGTTTCCAAAGCCTCACCTAGGGCCAGTGGTCCTCAAAGTGCTGTTCCAGGACAAGGGCAACACATCTCATGGGAACTTAACAGGAAATGCAAATTCTCCCCACACTCCCACTGAATCCAAAACCCTGGGTTGGGGTCGAGCAAGCTGTGCATTAATACACCCTCTAGGTGAAGCTGCTGTGCGGGGAAGTATGAGACCCACTGGCCTGCCCTCTTCCCTTCTTCTGTGGCTGCAGGATTCGTCTCTGCAGATGGTGCCAAATCTCTCCCTCCAGCACTCCGGTGGGTCTAACTCATCATCTCCAAGAGTGGTGTGGTTGGTGGGTGATGTAGTGCACCACCTGACACAGTTGTGGTCCACATTTTTCCAATATGATGGTGCTCAAAGCTATTGTGTCTTAGTTTTTAATCTCGATGAAAATATGTAATGTTTTCATTACAGTTGCTTAGCAAATAGAACCCTGACTTGTGACAGCTGTCTCCACAAAATATCAAGTTACATGAGCTATCTTGTTTCCAACAGCTGTAATATTTTTCTCCTCCAAGGAAGGAGGAGACATTGAGGTGATCCTGTTATAGAGAGGAGAGGAAGAGATGCAGATGTACACACACACACACACACACACACACACACGCATGCATGCACACACATGCAATGTCACTGAGAGCCCTTGCTCTGAGGAAGGACCAGGCCTGGGATGGGAGCAGGTGTGGTACCTGGAGGATTGAGAGGTACAGCCCCATACTTAAGGAAGCTCACAATCTCGAATGGACAGATATGCTTTTGGCAGAAAGTGTGAAGAGTTAATTTCCTTCCCTGCCACTCCCCTCCAAGAAAAGAGCTTCATGGAACTCAGAATTGCTATCCAGATCCTCCATACACAGAGTAAGGGAGAAAAGACAGACTTATTTCCTGTGAAAATGGATCTGGTGCATTATGTAAACAAGTCTCTCTTGATGCTGGAAGCTGCTGGAAAATTAATTTTTTGTAATTACAAGTAAACTTGTATGTTTCTCAGAAACTGTCAACCAAATTGTCATGATTCTATAAATAGAAGTGTAGTGGATTGAACAGTGGCCCCAAGAAGATGTTGACCTAAAAGGAAGAAGATGAGGCAAAATTAATATAAGTAGAGAGTGTATTTGGGCCAAGCTTGAGGATTGCAACATGGAAGCATAGATACAAGTTGCCCTGAATACACACTCCAATTAGCAGCAATTGCAAGTGGAGTTTTAAAGGCAAAGTAGGGGACAGGGAGTGGACTGTACAAAGTTGTTTGTCAGGAATGAAACCACCTTTGCAAAAATTATAACAGTAAGAAAATTATGACAGTGAAAGAGATCTGACCTAACCAACCTCCATTTTTCCCTTTTACCTCCAAACTGCCCTTAATCATTCCTGGACTTGGACTAAACTAACTGTGGAAGGCATTTAGTTTATAGTTTAAATTATAACAGCCTTTGCCCAAAACTAAACCACCTTGGTAAAACTAATGAAAGACCACCAGGTTAGAAGGATGAGGGGAACCTGACTTCTGGTAGGGTGTAGACGTAAACAATTACAAGCCATTATTCTAGAGGTGACGAGATTTGCAACTTCCCCAGTTACTCCTGCAGATAACATCACTCTTGTAGAACCCAAGATTGGCCTTTTGAGATGTCTTTTCAGGTTTTTGCATTTCTGACAAATGATAGCTCCACCTAGACCCTCCAACTGGTCCTGTGCCCCCACCCAGAAGTTGACTGAGCATGCACGAAGACCATTTTCCACACCCTGATGATTGCGTCCCCAACCAATCAGCAGCACCCATTCCCTGGCCTGCCAAACTATCTTTGAAAAATCCTAGCCTCCAAATGTTCAGAGAATTGATTTGAGTAATAACTCCATCTCCCATATTGTGTGGCTGGACTCATGTCAATTAAATTCTTTCTGTATTGCAATTCCATAGTCTCAGTGAATTGGTTTTGTCTGTATAATGGGCAGAAAGAACCCATTAGGTGATGACAGGAATTCTCACGGGCTTACAGAAATAACATTGATTAATGATTGGCTACACATTGTTAAGCTATGGAGTGTGGGTTATAGGTTAATTTATAGCTACTTGTGGCCCTAGCAAGTAGTTTCAAGAGATGCATGTCAATGAAAAGAGCCAAACTCTGTAAAATATTTGAAGAGATTTATTCTGAACCAGATGTCAGTGACCAAGGCCCATGATACAGCCCCAGGAGGTCCTGAGAACATGTGCCCAATGTGGTCAGGCTGCAGCCTGGCTTTATATGTTTTAGGGAGACATAAGACATCAATCAATACATGTAAGGTATGCATTGGTTTGGTCTGGAAAGGTGGGACAACTTGAAGGGAGAAGGCTTATGGGTCACAAGTGGATTCAAAGATTTTCTGATTGGCAATTGGTTGAAAGAGTTATTATCTAAAAACCTGCAATTAATAGAAGGGAGTAACTGGGTTAAGAGAAGGGATTGTGGAGACCAACGTTCTTACTATGCAGACAAAGCCTCCAAGTAGCAGGTTTCAGAGAGAATAGCTGGTAAATGTCTCTAATCAGAACTAAAAAGGTGCCAGAATCTTAGTTAAACTCTCCTGGATCAGGAAAAGACCTGGAAAGGAAAGAGGGTTCTATAGATTTTCCCCACAAGAGACAGCTTTGCAGGGTTATTTCAAAATATGTGAAAGAATCCGGGCGCAGTGGCTTGCGCTTGTAATCCCAGCACTTTGGGAGGCCGAGACAGGTGGATTACCTGAGGTCAGGTGTTCGAGACCAGCCTGACCAACGTTGCAAAACCCCGTCTCTACCAAAAATACAAAAATTAGCCGGGTGTGGTGGCGGGCACCTGTAATCCCAGTTAACTGGGAGGCTGAGGCAGGAGAATCACTTGATTCAGGAGGTGGTGGTTGCAGTGAGCAGAGATCACGCTGTTGCACTCCAGCCTGGGCAACGAGAGTGAAACCATCTCAAAAAAAATATATGTAAAAGAAATATATTTTTGGGGTAAAATACTTTGATTTCTTTCAGGGCCTTTATCTGTCATGTGATGCTATACTAGAGTCAGTCTGGAATTTGGTATCTTATTGCTACAAAGAGTCTGTTTTGTCACTCTTAATATCTCTGTTTTAAGGTTAATGCTGATTGGCTGTGCCTGAATTCCAAAGAGGGGAGGGTATAGTGAGGCATGTCCAACCCATCCTTACCATCATGGCCTGAACTACTTTTTCATACTGACTTTGGAATGCCTTTGGCTGAGAGGAGGGATCCAGTCAGTCAGTTTGGGAGCTTAGAATTTTATTTTTGGTTTACACTTACACAGCTCAAAGTGGGGAGTAGGGCGTGATTGCTGTCTTATTTTAATGCTTCTCTGGGCCTAATAATTTCAAAGAGCTCACATTCCTCCACTGAGAGTCCTTTTCTTTCCTCAAAAATATGCCCAGGTCCTAACCTCCAGTACCTAGGAATGTGACCTTATGTGGAAATAGAGTCTTTGCAGATAGAACTAAGGATCTCAAGATGAGATCATCCTGGATTTATGGTGGGCCCCAAATCCAATGACTGGTGTTCTTACAAGAGAAAGAAGAGAGAAATTGGAAACACATAGAGCAGAATACCTTGTGAAGACAAAGGCAGGTGTGGCAGTGATGCATCTACAAGCCAAGAAATGCCAAGGATTGCCAAGCCACAGAAGCCAGGAAAGAGGCATGGAGTGGGTTCTCCCTCAGAGCCTCCAGAAGGATCCATGCTGCCAACACCCTGATTTTGGACATCTGGCCTCCAAAACAGAATAAATTTCTGTGGTTTTAAACCACCCAGTTTGCAGTAATTTGTTACAACAATCCCAGGAAACTAATTCAAGAATATGATGTGGTATTTTGTGGCAACAAATTGTAACCTGAGGGGTTCTTCCAGCCTGCTGCACAAAGAAAGACCACAGCATTGCAGCAAAGAAAACAGTTTAGTAGACATGAAGCTGGCCATACCACATGGGAGATGGAGTTAGTACTCAAATCAATCTCATCCAAAGCTCCTTTCTCAAGGGCGGTCTGGGGGAAGGGGTGGGAGTGGCTAGGCTTGCTGCTGTTTGGTTGGAATAGAGATGAAATTATAGGGGTCAAAGCTGTCCTCCTAGGCACTGAATCACTTCTGGGTGGGGCCACAGGAGCAGAATTGGTGGTTCCAGGTGGAGCCATGGGTGTCAGACATGCAAAAAACCTGAAAAGGTATCGCAAAAGGCAAATCTACAATAGTGGTGTGATCTGCAGGAATGGCTGACGATCTATGTCTACACCTTAGCAGAATCAGCCTCCTCTCTGCCCCCTAGGCTGATGGTCTTTCATTAGCTTTACAAAGGTGGTTGAGTTTTGGGGAAAGGCTATCATCATTTAAACTATAACCTAAACATCTCTCAAAGTTAGCTGGGCCCAAAAGCCCAGGAACAATTAGGGAAAGGCAAGATGGGTGCCAGGGGGCAGGGGAGGGGTTAAATCAGCTCACTGTTATAATTTTTCTCGCTCTTATAATTTTTGCAAAGGTGGTTTCAAAATTTGAAAGTCTAGAAAGAAGACATGATTCTCTGATAACATTTTATATTGCCAAACATGACTCAGAAAGAAGTAGAAAACTTGAACAGTTCAGCAATAATAGAAAAATGTGGAAAATGTGTTAAAGATTTATCACTTCACAAAGCACCAACCTGAGATTATTTTACTGCTAAATTTTACTTAACTCCCCCAAAGAAACAATTCTCTTACTATTCAAACTATAAAAGACTAGCAAGAAAAGTCCCAAAGTCATTTAGTAAGACTAGAAATACCTTAGCATCAAAGTCTGGTAAAGCAAGCAGAGAAAATAAATGAGAAATTTCACTTATAAAAATAGATGTAAACATTATAATACTAATAAATCTGACAGCATATAAAAGGAATAATCTGCCATATTGAAAGCAGTTCTTCCTCATATCTGAGTTTTGGCATAAGCCCCTGAGGAAAGAAAAATAACTCTGAGCAGTGTGAGTTATGTGAGGTTTGCAAAATTCACCAGCCCCAGAGAGACATGAGTATGGGACTTCAGTGACACAGAGGGGATGGGTGCATGCCTCCATGCCCACCTGGAGTGATTGTTTAAAGGCATTTTGTTCCTAACTAGCTGCCTCATCCATTAATCTTCATGTTCTTGGAATTTGTGATAACAAAGAACAGTGTATAGCAGCCAATCAGTAGCTTATGTTATTTTAATGTAAATTCTTGGTAAACAACTTAGGAACTGCCTCTTCTTTTCCTTTAAAAACCTACTAATTGGCTGGGCGAGGTGGCTCATGCCTGTAATCCCATCACTTTGGGAGGCCAAGGAGGGCAGATCACGAGGTCGGGAGATGGAGACCATCCTGGCTAGCACAGTGAAACCCCGTCTCTACTAAAAATACAAAAAATTAGCCCGGCATGGTGGTGGGCGCCTGTAGTCCCAGCTACTCGGGAGGCTGAGGCAGGAGGATGGTGTGAACCCGGGAGGCGGAGCTTGCAGTGAGCCGAGATAGCACCACTGCAGTCCAGCCTGGGTGACAGAGCGAGACTCCGTCTCAAAATAAATAAATAAAATAAAATAAAATAAAATAAAATAAAATAAAAAACCCACTAGTCACTGCTGCTAATCAGAGCGTATATTTAGGGCAACTTGAATCTATGTTCCCCGGTTGCAGTCCCCAAACTTGGCCCAAATAACTCTCTACTTATATAAAGTTTGTCTCAGTTTGTTTTTTTTTTTAGGTCAACACCCCAAAGGCCAAGAACAAGAGCCAGCTTGTCAAGTCCTCCCATTCTTGAGGGAGACAGCTGGCCTCTGTGCCAGCCTAAGAGGGCCCTTCAGACCCTGAGGTTTCCTTCAGAGGCTGAAGAGTGAGAGTGAGGACATCTTTGGATAGCGCTGTCAGTGAGCATACTCCATCTGGCCTTCTGCCTCCCCTCCCTCCTCAAGTCAAAAGAGGGTCTCCTGAGACCTGAGGGACAGAAGAACTAATACAAACTCAGGGTAAGAGGCTGTGGCTGGAGCTGCCCTTCTGTGGTGGCAGATCATGGGTGAGGACTGTCTGAAGGAAGGCCTGCATTTCCAGCCTTCACTGGGTAACAGCATGTGCATATTTCCTGTGGGCGCTGTGGAAGGGAGTGGTATTTAGTAGGGATCCCCACACTTGGCAAAAGAACAGCCAGGAGGCTGAGGGAGAAGTCTACATTGCCAACTTGAGGAGGTGTTGCCTGGATCAAAGGTTCTGTAAGAGAGGGAGCCTCAGTGCTGGGGAGTGGGTCCCCCTCCGTAACTATAAGTGCAACACCCACTGAGGGTGCCAGCACCAACTAACAGTGGCACCAAACTAGTAGGGACTTCCTGCTCCTCATCTCTCCTCTCTCCCAGAGGGCCCCTGTGATGGTTAATTCCATGCATCAACTTGGCTAGGTCACAGGGTGCCCAGATAGTTTGTTGCACTTTTTTTTTAGTGTATCTATGAGGGGGTTTCAGGAAGAGATTAGCATTTGCATTGGTAGACTGAGTAAAGCAAATGACCCTCCCCACTGTAGTGGTGCATCATCCAATCTATTCAGGTCTGAATAGGACAAAGACCAGAGGAAGGGAGAATTCACTCTCTCTGCCTGACTGCTGAGCTGGGACATCAGTTTCCTGACTTGGGCCTGGGATTTACACCATTGGCTCCCCTGGTTCTTGGGCTTTCAAACTCAGACTGAACTACACCACCAGCTCTCTCGGGTCTCTAGATTGCAGATGGCACACCGTGGGACTTCTCAGCCTCCATAATTGTTACAGGAAAGAAGTCCTGATCCAGACCCCAAGAGAGGGTTCTTGGATCTTGCGTAAGAGAGAATTCAGGGTGAGTCCATAGGGTAAAGTGAAAGTAAGTTTATTTAAAAAGTAGAGGTATAAAAGAATGGCTACTCCATAGAGCAGCCTGATGGCTGCTAGATGCCCATTTTTGTGGTTATTTATTTATTATCTGCTAAACAAGGGGTGAATTATTCATGCCTCCCCTTTTAGACCATATAGGGTAACCTCCTGATGTTGCCATGGCATTTGTAAACTGTCATGGCACTGGTGGGAGTGTGGCAGTGACGACAACCAAAGGTCACTCTCATGGCCATCTTGGTTTGGGTAGGATTTGGCTGGCTTCTTTACTGCAAGCTGTTTTCTCAGCAAGGTCTTTATGACCTGTATCTTGTGCTGACCTCCTGTCTCATCCTGTGACTTAGAATGCCTTAACCATCTGGGAATGCAGCCCAGTAGGTCTCAGCCTCACTTTACCCAACCCCTATTCAAGATGGAGTTGCGGTGGTTCAAACACCTCTGATATAATCACATGAGCCAATTCCTTATTAAAATTTCTGTCTCTGTCTCTCTGTGCATTCAATGATTCTGTTTTTCTGGAGAGCCCTGACTAATCCAGCCCCCAAAATAGCACTTAGGAAAGAGGTGTGGCCAGGCGTGGTGGATTGTACCTGTAATCCCAGCACTTTGGGAGGCTGAGGTAGGCGGATGACTTGAGGTCAGGAGTTCGAGACCAGCCTGGTCAACATGGTGAAACCCTGTTTCTGCTAAAAATACACACACAAAAAAAATTAGACGGGCATGGTGGCCGTGCACCTGTAATCCCAGCTACTTGGGAGGCTGAGGTGGGAGAATCCCTTGAACCCGGGAGGCGGAGGTTGCAGTGAGCTGAGATTGTGCCACTGCACTACTGCACCCCAGGCTGGGTGACAGAGTGAGACTCCATCTCAAAAAAAGAAAGAGGTGAAGCTGCTGTCCCCATCACAGATTTCCCAGCTGAAGGCAGCACGAAGGGAGAGGAGAAATTTAAGTTAGCTAAAAGACTGGAGTTTTAATATTGTTTAATATTGTATTGAACAGGGCTTTTTATTACTAAAATGAAACTGTTCTTAGACAACAAATGATTGGAAAAACTCTGAAAGTGGCCCATGTTTTCATCCCGTGGAGGAAGAGCACACCCCGGTGGGCTTGGAAAGCAATGGGAAAAGTTCACTTTCTCCTTGCACCTTACTGAGTAGACATTTGTGCAACAAACTGGTTCCACCAGGAATGCAAGTGTGGTTCAGTATTAGGATAATTTTTAAACCATGTGATCATACCTGTAGATGTTGGGAAGACATTTGATAAAATTCAGTATACATTCCTAATAGAAAACACTGTATAAAATAGGAATCAGGCCGGGCAGAATGGCTCATGCCTGTAATCCTAGCACTTTGGCAGGCCAAGGCAGGTGGATTGCTGGAGCTCAGGAGTTCGAGACCAGCCTGGGCAATGTGGCAAAACCCTGTCTCTGCAAAAAAATACAAAAATTAGCCAGGGTGGTGGGGCACACCTGTAGTCCCAGCTACTCAGGAGGCTGAGGTGCAAGGATCGCTTGAACCTGGGAGGTTGAGGCTGTGGTGAGAGATCGCGCCACTGCACTCAAGCCTGGGGTCAGAGTGAGACCCTATCTCAAAAATAAATATAAAATAAAATAAATAAAATAAAATAAAATAAAATAAAATAAAATAAAATAAAATAAAATAAAATAAAAATCAAAAGAAACAACCTAACATTTTAAAGACTGTGTACCTGAAACCAGTAACTCATGTCTTTTTTTAAAATTTTTAATTCTTATTTATTTTTATTTTATTTATTTATTTATTTTTGAGACAGAGTTTTGCTCTTGTTGCCCAGGCTGGAGTGCAGTGGCACGATCTAGGCTCACTGCAACCTCCGCCTTCCGGTTTCAAGCGATTCTCCTGCCTCAGCCTCCCGAGTAGCTGGGACCACAGGCATGCACCACCACGCCCAGCTAATTTTTTGTCTTTTTAGTAGAGACGAGGTTTCACCATGTTGGCCAGGATGGTCTTGATCTCTTGACCTCGTGATCCGCCCACCTTGGCCTCCCAAAGTGCTGGGATTATAGGCATGAGCTACGGCGTCTGGCCATGCCTATTTTTTTTAATGCAGAAAAGTACAAAGAAAAACAAAAATCACTCATATTTTCATCACCTAGAACTAATAATTTGGCTATTTGCTTATGGCTTTTTAAATAAAAATTATTATACTGCATAATACACGTTTATTAAAAATAATTAAACTATAAAAAAGTACAATAAAGTTAAAAAAAAAATCACCAACCAGAAACAGTCATAATTGGCCAGGCACCATGGCTCACATTTGTAATCCCAGCAATTTGGGAGGCCGAGGCGGGCAGATCACTTGAGGTCAGGAGTTCGAGACCAGCCTGGCCAACATGGTGAAACCCAGTCTTCTACTAAAATTATAAAAACTAGCTGGGCATTGTGGTGGGCGCCTGTAATCCCAGCTACTCAGGAGGCTGAGGCAGGAGAATCGCTTGAACCAGGGAGGTGGAGGTTGCAGTGAGCAGAGATGGCACCACTGCACTCCAGCCCGGGCAACAGGGCAAGACTCCGTCTCAAAAAAAAAAAAAAAATTAGCTGGTCGTGGTGGTGCAGGTCTGTGGTCCCAGCTGCTCGGGAGGCTGAGGTGGGAGGATTACTTGAAGCTGGGAGGCTGAGGTTGCAGTGAGCCGAGATCACGCCACTGCACTCCAGCCTGGGTACAGAGCCAGACTCCATCTCATAAAAAAAGAAAGAAAGAAACAGTCATCATTAATATCAGGTAAACATCATTTCAGGTATCTTTCCATACATATTTACAGATGGACAGAGATACATGGATACATACATTTAATTTTACTTAAATTTGCATCTGTGTTTGTGAAGAATACTGGTCTATAGTTCTCTCTTCCTGTAGTGTCTTCATCTGGTTTTCATATTAAGGTAATACTGGCCTCATAAAATGAATTTGGGAAGTGTTCTATATTTCCATATTTAAAAAAAGTTTGTATAGTATTGCTATTGTTAAAAGAAAAGTGTTTCATCAAATTCATGAGTAAAGGCTTCTGGGCCTGGATTTCTTCTGTGGGACATTTTAAATTACAAGTTCAATATTTGGAATTAATATAAGGATATTCAAATTTTCTGTTTCTTCTTTGGTAGTTTGTGTCCCTGAAGAAATTTTTCTGTTTCATCTAGGTGGCTCAATTATTTTGCATGAAGTTGTTCATAATATTCTATTCCCTTATCATCCTTTTAATATCTGTGGAGGCCATAGTTATGTCCCGTCTTTCATTCCTGATATTAATACTTTGTCTTTTCTCTTTTTTCCTTGCTTAGTTTAGCTAAAAGCTTATCAATTTTGTTGATATTTTCAAAGACCCAGTTTTTTATTTCATTGATTTTCTCTATTGTTGATCTATGTTTTATTTAATTAATTACTGTACTTGTCTTTATGATTTTCTTTCCTCTACTTTAGGTTTAATTTACATTTCTTTTTCCAATTTATTGAGGTAGGAATGCAGATCACTGGTTTTAGGCTTTTCTTCATTCTAATATAAACAAACATTTAAAGCTATAAATTTTTTTCTTAGCACTGCTTTAGCTGCATCTGATAAAATTTAATATGTTGTTATCATTAGATTAAAATATTTTCCAATTTCCTTTGTGATTTCTTTTTTGACCTATGGATTATATAGAATGTGTTGTTTAATTTTCAGATATCTTGGGTTTTTCTAATTATCTGATTTTTCTTAAGCTCTAATGTAATTCCACTGTGATCAGAGAATATACTCTCCATAATTTCAGACCCTTTAATTATCTGGACTATTATAAGGTGTATCATATACCCTTGAAAAGAAGGTGGTTGGCCATTTTGTTGTACAGAGTCCTTCAAATATCAATTAAGTCAAAATCATAGTGACAGAAAATAGAATGGTGGTTGCGGGTAGTTGGAGGGTGTGGAGGGGAATGGGGAGTTATTGTTTAATGGGTATAAAGTTTTGGTTTTGCAAGAAGAGTTCTGGAGATGGTGATGATGGTTACACAGCAATACGAGTGTACTTAATACCACTGAGCTGTACCCTTAAGAATGGTTAGGATAGTAAATATTATACGTATTTTGCAACAATAAAAAGCTTTTAAAATTATACAGATAAAACACAAACACATTCGTGTTGTAAAAAGTCAAACAAGGCTGGGCGTGGTGACTCACACCTGTAATCCCAGCACTTTGGGAGGCTGAGGTGGGCGGATCACCAGGTCAGGAGATCAAGACCATCCTGGCCAGCATGGTGAAACTTTATCTCTACTAAAAATACAAAAATTAGCCCGGCGTGGTGGTGCATGCCTGTAATCCCAGCTACTCGGGAGGCTGAGGCAGGAGAACCGCTTGAACCAGGGAATCGAAGGTTGCAGTAAGCCAAGATCGTGCCACTGTCCTCCAACCTGGCAACAGAGCAAGACTCTGTCTCAAAAAAAAAAAAACAAAAACAAAAAACAAAAAACAAAGAGTCAAACAATACAAACAAAACCCTAGTTCTTCCTTGACAACTTCCCCATCTGGATATACAGCCTTACACACATTGTGTCTGACCCAGTCCTCATGACCACTCTGTGATATAAATATTATGATCTGCATTTTACAGATAAGGAAACAGAACTGCAGATTCTCTAGTTCCAGAGTCAGTAAGTGCTTGAGTCTCAATTTAAACCCAAACAAATGCTAGAGATTCTGATTTTACCCTGTGCTCCCTAGCCTCCTCCTGTAGGTCAGGCTCGAACTCAGGCACTGAGGCAGAAAGATGTATCGGATACAGCTGCTGCCCCCAAAGAATCTCCAGTCAGACAGAGGGAACAAACACAGAAAATTACTCTAGCTCTGTATGGAAATACAAAAGTAAAACTAATGACACCACCAGGTGTGGAGGCTCACGCCTAAAATCCCAGCACTTTGGGGGCCCGAGGTAGGCAGATCATTTGAGGTCAGGAGTTCGAGACCAGCCTGGCCAACATGGTGAAGCCTCATTCTACTAAAAATACAAAAAGATTAGCTGGGCGTGGTGTTGCATGCCTGTAGTCCCTGCTACTTGGGAGGCTGAGGCAGGAGAATCGCTTGAACCTGGGAGGTGGAGGTTGCAGTGAGCCAAGATAGCGCCACTGAACTCCAGCCTGGGTGACAGAATAAGACCCCATCCAAAAACAAAAACAAAAGCAAAAAACTAATGATACCTACGTAGCAGAGGACATTTATCTTTCTGTTCCAAAGGAGAGATGATTTTGTGAGATACCAAGTTTTTAAAAATAATAAAATTAGGCTGGGTGCTGTGGCTCACACCTGTAATCCCAGCACTTTGGGTGGCTGAGGAGGGTGAATCACCTGAGGTCAGGAGTTCGAGACTAGCCTGGCCAAAATGGTGAAACCCTGTCTCTACTGAAAATAAAAAAAAAATTAACCAGGGCTGGTGGCACACACCTGTAATCCCAGCTACTCGGGAGGCTGAGGGAGGAGAATTGCTTGAACCCAGGAGGCAGAGGTTGCAGTGAGCCAAGATTGTCCCACTGCACTCCAGCCTGGGCAACAAGAGGGAAACTCCATCTCAAAAAAAAAAAAACAAAAAAAAGGCCGGGCGCGGTGGCTCACGCCTGTAATCCCAGCACTTTGGGAGGCCAAGGCGGGCGGATCACGAGGTCAGGAGCTCGAGACCATCCTGGCTAACACAGTGAAACCCCGTCTCCAATAAAAATGCAAAAAATGCGCTGGGCATGGTGGCAGGCACCTGTAGTCCCAGCTACTTGGGAGGCTGAGGCAGGAGAATGGCGTGAACCCGGGAGGCGGAGCTTGCAGTGAGCCGAGATCACGCCACTGCACTCCAGCTCTGGGGGACAGAGTGAGACTCCATCTCAAATAATAATAATAAAATTGTATGTACATTTTCAGTCTTCTTTTTAATTTAGGTCTCAACCTAACTTTCCAAATCAATCTGGCTAAAACAGCCCTGCCCACCATGCCAGTCACTCTCTCTCAGCCTACTCACTGCACTATCTGCAGAGCACTTTTCCTTACCTGCTGTTTTCTTGTACTTTGTTTAAATTTTGGTGTCTGTCTTTCTACACTAGAATGTCAGCTGCATGAGAGCAGTGAGCCTGTCGGTTCTGTTCACCCTGAATCTCTTATGCCTGGAACAGTGCCTGGCACTCAGTAGAAGGCTGTATTCATTTCCTAGGGCTGCAGTAACGAAGTGCCGCAAACTGGATGGCTTAAAACAACAGGAATGTATTCTCCCACAGTTCTGGAGGCCAGCAGGGCTGAGCTCTCTCCCAAGGCGCTAGGGAAAAATCCTTCCTTGCTTCTTTCCAGCTCCTGGTGGGTGCCAGGAATCCTTGACATTCCTCCCCTGTAGTTGTACCACTCTGGTTTCTACGTGTGTCTTCACATGGCCTTCCCTTCCTGTGTCTCCTCTGTGTCGCTATCTCTGAATCTCTCTTTTCTTATAAGGACACCAGTCATTGGACTTAGGGCCCACCCTAATTGAGTATGATCTCACCTTAACTTGGTTACATCTGCAGAGACTCTATTTGAAATAAGATTACATTCATAGGTACCAAGGGTTAGGACTTCAACATAGACACAATTCAGTCCACACTAGTGACCAACGAATATTTATTTGAGCTACTGTTCTTTCAATAGTTGGTATGTAATAGGATACACTCTCAAATGTGTTCAGGCAAAGGCTGTGGAAGGCATTATTCTCCCCAGGTTTTGCTGTGATCAAACCATCTATAAAATATTTTTTTGCTGGTAGTAGTAACTAGATGTCCAGGTCAAGGGAAATAAAGTCTCCAGTGTTCTAGGCACAGATTCCATCCCAGGTAGGGTATAGAGTTTTCAATGCCATATTCTCAATGTTCTCATATATTTAATTTGTGAGAGTAATTTAATGACAAATAAGGTTTTAAAAGTGGGGGGGGGCAGGCACAGTGGCTCACGCCTGTAATCTCAGCACTTTGGGCGGCTGAGGTGGGTGGATTGAGGTCAGGGGTTCGAGACCAGCCTGGCCAACATGGCAAAACTCCATCTTTACCAAAAATACAAAAATTATCTGGACATGGTGGCAAGTGTCTATAATCCTAGCTACTCAGGAGGCTAAGGCAGGAGAATCGCTTGAATCTGGGAGGCCGAGGTTGCGGTGAGCTGAGATTGCCTTACTGCACTCCAGATGGGGCAACAGAGTGAGACTCCATCTCAAAAAATAAATAAAATAAAATAAAAAATAAAATAACTTTAAAAAGGAGGGGGGTGAAATCATAATCCCATCACCCTAACGTACTTTGGAGAAGTTTTAGAAGAGGAACATTCCAGGTAGAGAGAACAGCAAGTACAAAAGCCTTGCAGCATAAATGAGCTTGATGTGTTCAAGGAAAGAAAGGCGATGCAGCTGGGGATGGCAATGTCCCACAGGTCGTCTCAGGCTGGGCATCTGTCTCAGTGGGTGTCCATCCAGTTCACAAACCAACAACCTTCCTTTCTCTAGTAATCCCCCCACAAACTCACTACCTTCCACACCCCCTCCCAAACTAGCCCAGGTTGAGGTGTGGACTTGCTGTGTGTGAAGGATGAAGGGGATGACAGATTCAGCAGGATCCTGTCTCCAAGGGGTTTGGAATTGGGACAGGATAAGGGTCAAGGCAGTCTCTCTGGATTGGTGAGACCTGTGTCCTCCATCTCTGGATGTTGGGGGGAAAGTGCTGTGTTCTGCACTTCAACCAGACAGGCAGGTCAGCAGGGAGGGCCACAAGGATGAGGAGCGCAGTTCTGGCAGTTAGTTTCCTGGTCCATCCATCCTGAGAGCCAGACACATTCTGCCTCAGCTTCCAGGAGAATTCCCAGTATCCCTAGCCTACACTCTCTTTTGCTTCAGCAGACCTGGGTTAACCAATAGAGAAATATTTTGAGGAAAGAATTCTGTGGTCAAATAATCTGGGAAACACTGGGTTAAATAGAATTTAATAACTTTTTGTCTGAAGGACTTCTCAGAGCCTTTACTAGGACTGTGTACATGCAACTCTCAAGAAGGAACTCCAGCGAGCAGCATTTCTTCCGTTGATTTCCCAGGCTACACTGGGAGAATGTTAAGTTGGGGGACTTTAAGCCTCTGTTTTGGCTGAGTCCTGGAAAGCCAAGAACAATAGAGAAGGGTCCAGGTATTCTGACCACCAGGAACTCACGTATTGTTGAAAAAACTCATTGCAGTAAGTAATTTTATCCAAGAGAGAGGATAAAGCCAGAGAGAGAAAAAGAGAGTGACAGAGCAAGAGTCAGAACGAGAACGGGAGACCGGGGCGGGGTGGGGAGGGGGGAGGGAGGGAGAGAGAGAAAAGGAAAGAGAATATTTTGATTGCTATCCATCGGCTCCAGCCTTTCGATAAAGCTGTTGAAACAGTAGAGTCATTCCAAATCACTCTGGTACATTTGTCAACTCCAAAATCACATTCCAGTAATTGATGTGAGCCCTTTCATGTGGCCGTCTGAAATATATGCTATCCGCAAGACGATTTACTATCCGAACTTAAGAGATTCGGAGCTCCACCTGCTCTGATCATTAAAGGGTTAGAAACCATGGGCTTCACCATTGACTCTCAGGCACCTCGGGGCTTCCTCTTCATCTTTCCTTTTATTCGCCGGTCGCTTGCCCTTGTTGGGCGCCCCACAGATGGCCAAGACGGGCCGGTCCCCGGAAGTTCCCCGTCTGATGATGCAGGGAATGACGATCCAAACAGACACCTAGAAGAGAGGATGGGGAGAGAGGGGCAGAGGGTTTTGTGGCGCGCAGGAGGGGCCCTGAGCTCGGCTTGGTGAGGCTGGGGGCTAGGTCCAAGCTTTACAGATGCCAGAGGAGCTGGCAGCGTTGCAGGCTCTAGGGGCCAGTTGGAGGGCCGGGACGCAGGACCTGAGGCTGGGGAGGCCTGGCTGAGCCTGTCCAGGGAGGGCCTCGAATGCCAGCTGAGTCCAGACTATACTGTGTATTATAGACCGCGTGTAGGAAACAGGTTTTAGGTGATGTTTATCCATGATAAGCCAGTTGTACACAGGTGTTGGTGAGTCATTAACCACCTAGGGCAGCACTTGGTCCACCCGGACTGGCGAGTGCACACCTCCGGCTGACGCCTGCGCCACGTGCTGGGGTCGGAGGCCGAGCTCACCGGCTGGTTGCTCTTTAGAGCGGGCAGGAGCCAGGCGGGCGGCCCGCCCCTCTAGGGCGGAGACTTCCGGAGCTGCGGACTCACTGGAGCCGAGAACTGGGGCGGCGCGGCGCGGCGCGGTGCATTTCCAGGCGCTGCTCTCCGTCGCAGAGAACCCTGAGCTCGGCGCGCCGAGAGTCCCAGCAGGGCAAGGGGGCGCGGCGTCCTGGTCCTCGAGCTTGGGAGACAGATGCGCATGGGCGTGGGGGCATGCGGACCTAAGCTCGGGTGAAGCTCTCGGGAAGGGCAAGACTGCGGCGACGAGATGCGAGCAGAGGAGCCCTGCGCCCCCGGGGCCCCCAGCGCCCTGGGAGCCCAGCGCACGCCGGGCCCCGAGCTGCGCCTGTCCAGCCAGCTGCTGCCCGAGCTCTGTACCTTCGTGGTGCGCGTGCTGTTCTACCTGGGGCCTGTCTACCTAGCTGGCTACCTGGGGCTCAGCATAACCTGGTTGCTGCTCGGCGCCCTGCTGTGGATGTGGTGGCGCAGGAACCGCCGCGGGAAGCTTGGGCGCCTGGCCGCCGCCTTCGAATTCCTTGACAATGAACGCGAGTTCATCAGCCGCGAGCTGCGGGGCCAGCACCTGCCAGCCTGGGTGAGCCAAGCCGGGTGGGAGTGGGAGGTGGGGAGATGCCTTTCGAGGTTCGGAGGAACTTGCGGTCAGCGGGGAGCTGGTGCGCGCAAACCCGAGGCAGGGCGGGAGCCCGGCGACCTGCACACCCCGTTCCCCACCGCTCCCGGGGCGCAGACCCTGGGGACGGTGACCGCCCCTCCCGCGGCGCGCAGCACCCTCACGTCCACCTCTGGTCCGACTGCGGTGGGAGTGGGGAACTTGGGTTTCATTTAAGGCCCCAGAGCTCGAGAGAAGAGTCACGGGCAGACCACACCCGGGAGAAAAACAAGGGCGTCTGGGACTTCGCAGACTTACTCGGGTTGGAATCAGAAGGCATTTCTTCCACCCGCCTGTTGATTCAGAGAACGAACGCCGGACGCAAAACGTAGATGGGCAAATACCGCAGTGACAGAAACGGCGGGCCCAGTTGCTTTCGGCCGAGGCCTGGACTGCGGTAGGGGGAGGGCTCCGCGGGGCTGGAGGTGGAGTGGCGGGTACGGCTGGGAGACCGACGGCGCCGGGCCCCGGGCCTCCTTCCCTCCCTCCCTCCGCCGGATAGGGATGCCGGCACACGCACACTGCCCCGACAAACCCATCTCCTGGGGCGGCATGGGCGGCACTACGATTCCTCAAACGCTTCTGGTCCTGGCTTACCTAACAAAACCCAAGTTCTGGGCCCCATTGCATAACTCCCAGGGTGGCACAGAGGTATCCTGGGTGATTCTTATGATTAGGTGAGCTTGGGAAACACCGGCAAGAGGGGTGTTCCGTCCAATGGTTGGTCTGCGGCAAACCCTTACTGTCTCTCCGGTGCTGGGGCTCTTCGTTTTCAGATTTCTTCCAGTTACTCTCAGGCCCACGGGGGAGGTCGCCAGACCCCTCACTGTCTCTAGCCTGTGGCCTATAAAGTCCAGCAGGGCCATAGGTTCCTCCTGACAGTAGTCTGTAAAGTGAGGTGTGAGAAAAAAATATAAGGCCCATTTAGTTTATCTTATAAGAGAAATGAAGTCTTACTGTATCAGTCAGCCATAACTGAGTACAACAGGCTGCGTGGCTTAAGCAGCAGACACTTTTTTCCTTTCCTTTCTAGAGCCCCGAAGTCCAAGATCAAGGTGTTGGCAGGGTTGGTTTCTCCTGCGGCCTCTGCTGGCTTGCAGCTGGCTGTCTTCCTACCGTCTTCACACCGTCTTCCTTCTGTGTCCTAATCTCTTCTTAGAAGGACATCAGTCATATTGGATTAAGGCTCACCCTAATGAACTCATTTTAACTTAATTACCACTTTAAAAACCCTACCTGCAAATAGAATCACATTCTGAAGAACTGAGAATTAGCACTTCAAAGTGGGCATACACTTCATAACACTTAATATTTAATGTACGATTTGATGGTAAAGCTTTGCAAATAGCTTACATATTTGGGGGATGAGGGGCCAAAGACTCTTCCTGATAAGGGTGCACACTTTTCTACGGTAGTAGCCATAGGGGTAGCGCATGGGGCCTGACTCCCACAGACTTTGGTCATCCTGATGGTTCTGTGGGGCTTGTGATTCTGAAAGGTGTGGACCCAGCAGGCTTGACCTGTCCACACCCCTTGCACACAGTTGAGGGAGTCCAGGCCATCTGTCAGATCTCTGTTTTGTCCCCCTTGATGGCCTTAGCCCATGAGGGTGGGCCTGCGAGTCTTCACCAAGTAACATCCCTTCTTTTCTCCCCTTCTGTATCAGGGAAGCCTCTAGACACTGAGCTATATGTAAAGGCAGTATATCCGATATTGGGTCAAAAATCAGATCGTGTAGGGGCGTGGACACCCTCCCTGCCTCTCCCCCACATACACCACAGAGACAGTTCTGGCCTCTGTTGGGGATACAGACCCCAGGAGCAATATGGACCTAGCCAACAGGGAGCTCAGCCTGAACTCAAGAAGGCACCTCCTAGGTTTTCACCCCACAACCCATATCCCAGGCTTGACCCAGCTGGGTAGAGGGACACTCAGAGGAAGGTGATGCTCTCTGTCCTACCAAGAAGGCAGTCTCGGGTGGGGGACAGATGCATAACAGGTCATTGCCATTGAGGAGAATTGGAGCCAGGAGTCGGAACAGGGTCTAGTCAGGTAGAAGGCCTGGTATGAAGGACACCCTACCAGGTTTCCATATCATATTGTCCCCGAATCACAGCCCCCTTTCTCCTTGACAAGGACCTGGGAAAGGCTGGCTTCAGCCTGCATTCTGCAGACTCGCCTGGCTGGCTTGTCTGGCCAGGTTGGAGGACCAGGGCCTGGATAACCTGTTGGACTGGGCCACTGGTGCGGCACAGGGCATTCTGGCCGAGGGAGGTGGTGAGCACAGCATGGAGGTGTGACATAGCCACTGCATGAGGGGGCGCTGTGTGCTGGGCCTGGCTGAAGTGTGTGGTAGGGGTTGATGTGTGACAGGGTCAAGTTGAGGCAGACTTGATGGAGGCTGGCCTTGTTCTGAAGGCTGGAAGGAGCCTTGGATGCTTCTGAAAGGCCCTTCAGAAAGCAGCATGGTGGGACGAGGAAGGCTGGAGGAGACAGGCCAGTTGGGAAGGTGATTTCAGCCAAGATGGTAGTAATGAGGGAGGAGAGTGGGAGATGCGTGGGAGTGGGACTTTAGATGCGTGGTGGCCTCTAGAGTAGGGGTGCAGGGGGATCCAGGGGTCTTCAGGGTGCTTTCTGGTTTAGGGAGCTGTTGACCATTATTGCGATTGGGATTCCAGGATGAGAAACAGGTCTGGGGAGGTTGGTTGCCTGTATGAACACCTGTGAAGTGCATACAAACAGATGCAGGTGTGGGCTTTTCACCCGCCTCGTGAAGGTTTCCACGCCCAGTGATGATATGGAAAACCTGGAGTCTACCTGGTTGAATATTCTTCTCTCTGCCTCTTTAGGAACACAAACTGTGAAGGCAAAGAGAGACAGGGCTCTGGGCGTGGTGGGGGCAGCACGGCCCCTTGCACAAGATTTTGGGCATGGATGAATGGATCTCTTCATCATCACATGCTGACCTTTTAGCATGCCTTCCCTCTGGAGAACTGATTTCTCTGCGTGAAAGAGAGGATGATGGCTTATGACCTCCTTTGGTATCAAGAAATATTTCTGTAAGTTAACAGATGGCAAATCAGTAGTTGGGGGACTGAAGAAAAGTTGAGCAGCTCAAGGGCACCACACTCAGACCTGCATTGCATGTCGTGTGAGTTGGCCCTGTACTCTAGCCCCCAGTGGGGAGGGATGGATATCCGGCCACCTGCTGCTTGTCAAGCTGTATGCTGCTTAGATGGGGCACCTTTTTCTAATTTGCACCAACTCCCTGTGAAGGAGTGGAGGCCAAGGCCTGGCTGAGCTGAGGCGGGGATGCCATCCTTCCCCACTGCCATCCAAGGCAGCCATCGTCAGCCAGTCCTCAGTCATGCACGACTTTCCTGCCTGGTCTTAGACTCCTTCTCAACATTTTGCTCCAAGATGCTACCTCCAGGTGATCATAGAAATTTGCTTTCCCTGACTGAACCTGTTTCCCCACCTGTAAAAGGAGGTTGTATTGGATGGTCTTTCAGAGTCATTTTGGCCCTGATGTCTGATTTCTAGTCAAACTTCAGACAATCCTGCTTCTCCTCCAGGTCCCCAGCCATGGGAGATATAGCTGGAAGGAAGAATTCTCCTTACTAGAAGCCTTGAAGGAAGAACCTGTGGGTCCCCTTTGTCTTGTGAATGTGGCCTGACGACATGGGGAAGAAGGCAGGGTGGCCCCCGCAGCTCACCCTTGAACAGAGGGTTCAAGAGGCTGCATGTTTACATGCGGATGCTCCTCTCACACAGTGTTTATGTGTACTTTTGAAGGAATTAAGAGCCGCCTCAGCTGTCCTTGTCGGGTAGGGACTGTGTATAGCACAGTGACAAGCACGGAGCCCTTGATATTACTCATTTAATTGTAGGCCTCGGCAAGCCACAAAAGCTTTGTTGCCACACATGGTCGTGGTGAGTCGACTGTTTGAAAAGCTGCTTGCACAGAGCCAGACACAAGCGAATGCCCAGTGGGGGCTGTCCCTTTATGTTCCTCTGTTTCCCGGGCTTCCTAACTACCTTTTCCTAATATGAAATGAATGCCCAAGTGTCCCAGTGGTAAGCTCGTCTTTCCAGCATCTGGATGACTGTCAAGGGGTGGAGCGAGTGGAAGGGACGCGCAGAGCACTTCTGTGGAACCCCCTGCACCCTGGCTTTTCCTGGAGCCTGCTCCTGTGGGTTCTCGGAGTCCCGGCTGTGCTGCCCGCGCTAGAGCTGCCTTCTGATCTTCAGAGCCCATCCTTCGTGCTCTGGGCTCCTAAGACCCTTCTTGGGGTAACCTTTGCTGCTTTGCTTCCCTGCCCACCTCCCTTGGTAGGGGCCCCTGCGTGGAGCTCTGCAGCCTTCACTCCTGGATTTGTGCACAGATCAGCCCTTCACTGACCCGTGAATTTCCAGTTACTCATTCAGCCATTGATCAGTGCTTCAACTGGATGATTGGGTTGCTTATCAGATATTGATTTGCCCCTGCCATGACTGGGCCCCTGTGAGGAGGGAAGTTCAAAATCCTCACATTGCTCCAGGTTGGGGGAATGAGAGCCGGTAGTAGGAAAATAGCCTGAGGCAGTGTAGAGAAGAGAAAGAGCTGTGAGAAAACGTGGCATTTTGTCTATCTGTGGTTTCTAGCCAGGCTGGCTCTCCTTTCAGCTGGTAGCCATCAGTTACATCAGTTGGCAGCTTTGTGAGGGGCAGTTAACTCGTGTGTGTCTGCTGGTGAGGTGGTCGTGATGTGAAGTAGTGGAAGTCATTGGAGTCATTCATGGAGGGATCTTGGGAAGCCCCTTGTCCTCTCTGGGCCTCTGATTTCTCTGAAAATCATGACATTTTAGGAGATGTTCTATAGAGTCTTCATAGCTGTAGGGTCTGCCATCATTAACCAGTCCCGAGCCTGCTTTTCTCTGGTGACACATACCCCACAGGACCCCACTCGCTGCCTTTCATGCCTGTCCCCATCTAACTGGGTGCGCACTGGGGCTGCCGGCAGAAGCAAGCACCAGGGGAAAAAGGTGAGCCGTTCACACAAAGCGATGGGCATTCTGAGGCGCAGAGCAGTGGTCCCTGGGATTGCTCCCTCCAAGCCTCCCTGCCAGCCACTCAGGCAGACAGCCAAGGGCTGAGTGCTTTGCTTACCTAGTGCTGAGAGCTTGACATTCTTTCTGTGGTTGGAGCAGCAGTCGTTCCAGGACCCAGGCTCTCAGGGTCTGTCCTGAGATACTTCAGTTAATTAGAGGAAGTAAATGCAGTGACAGCTCTGAGCTAGCCTGGGCACTCTCAGATTAGATCACAAAGCCTGATGCTTGGAGCCAGGGCCGTGGAACCTGATTTTAAACATCAGGACTGGTTGGGTGCTGCTTGGAATTAGGGAGACTTCTTACCCTTGAGGTCCCTGCAGCCCTGTGAAGTTATTCAAATGGCTTGGAGTCAGGCCTGTCCTCGGGAAGGAAGAGGCAGATAAATTTTTAGTCATGCCTTTGGGGTTTCTGCCCCATGTCTTAATGATGGTTCATGGACTTATCATGTCCTGGGCCAGGATTGAGCAATATGAGTGACAGAGTATGGGCCCTCTTTCCTCCAAGCCCAACAGAGGGATCTTAGGCATACATGTGTTCATTCCTATACTCACTCAGCAAGCATTTATCGAGAACTTGCAGTGTGTCAGGCACAGAGCTGCAGGCGGGGCAGCATGAGTACACATGGCCCCTGCCCTTGAGGAACCCATGAGCTAGATGGAGATTCAGACCTGCAAGGGCAGCCTCTTCTGATAGAGCATGATCAGTTCTCTGAGGTGGCTCCAAGTCTGAGGCTCTGAGAAAGCATGGGTGAGGGGCTCTATCCTTGGCTGGAAGTGGCCCAGGAAGCCTTCTTGGAGGAAGAGGCACTGTGGTATTGCTGGCTGTGGTAGGGAGTTGGGGACTCGGCCCACAGTCTTTCACAGGTTAGGTCAGTTGAGCTCATTATTGCATCTTGGGGTGAGCAGATTCTGGGACAGCAATGTATAATACCTGCGCTCACATGAGACTGCTCACTGCTTCATTTACAAGGGGCTGAATCTTTCTGGGCCAGGAGTGTCCAGGCAACCTTTTCTCAGCCAGGGGCCTGAGGCCCTGAGTAACTGAGAGGTCACATGGTGGATGAGGATCAGGGCCATGAGTAGGGACAGACCCTTTTGTCCTGTGTTGCAGCCCCCTCTCCAGTGGGCAGGAAGGTGGGGAGAGATGGTCACCGGCTCCCACTGGGTCCTGGCCCAGAGTCTTGGTGGCAGGCAGAGATGGCACTTCTGTGGGAATGTCTCTGGTGACTTTGGGGAGGGGGCTCTGGGAGGTATGAGCTGCCCCCTGAAGACCTGGGAGGGCCACAACCCAGCTACCTCAGGGAGCAGGGGCTGAGACCTGGCCTGCCTTGCTCTTTCGCCTCCCCCTCCCACTACTCCCAGCAGAGTTCAGGGATTTCTAATTCTCTGGGAACCTGGAGCTTGTAGCACAAAAGTGCTCACATGTGCTTGAGGCAAGTGATTTCCTTTTCCTCCTCTTCTTCCTCGACTGCAAATATTGAAGAGGGATTTAAGATGTTTTTCTGCCCCATTGAGAATTATTAAAAAGACAAAGCACCTTTTTTTTTTAAGGTGCTGTATATTTCAAGCTAAGGATATGAGACTTGATTTCCTCAGGCCACAGAGGGATGCAGAACTCAGGTCCCATAAGCCCTATCTCTGTGGGAGGGCAGGCCGAGAAGCCCTGTGCCAGTGTCATGAGTCATGAGCCTTGGAAATCTCAGAACAAAAAGCCAAGGAAATTGTCTAGGCTATAGGATGTTTCAAGACCCCAGAATCACCCACTCTATTCCTTTGCCCATGTTGTATTTACTTTTTAACATAACTGGTTATAAAATGTCTAAAAATGTGTTTTTTTTTTTCTGGTCATGAAAGTAAACATTCTCATTGGAGAATATTTGGAAATGGCATAAAAGTTAAAATTAGGATAAGCATTTTATAATCCCTCCACCCAGAGATACAGTATGTTTGGGTGTGCTTCCTTTATATAGAAAATATATGAAAACAGTTTCTTAAAAACTTGTACTTTTTTCTTTTCTGATTTTTTATGTTCTTAACATTATATTACATTCTCCAAACAAACTTCTAAGGACGATCATATCCTTCATATGAATATACCACAAGTTGTGTAATTGTTTCTCTAACATTGATTATATTGGTTACTTCCAGGCTTTCCTGGTCACACGGCTAGCGGAGGTGGGTGGTGGTTCCTCTGTCCGCAGTTTCTCCCTCTGATCTGTGCATCTAGATTCTGTGACTCATCCTTCAAATCCAAGCTCAGGCCCCACCCCCAGGACTCTTGTCCATGGGCTCCTACAGGGCCCTGAGCATGTGTCTGTCACTCTGCCTCCCAGACTGATTTGTAACTTACGTATTTTTATGGCTAACTTTTCCTCCAGGCTGAAAGTTCTTTTAAGATAAGGTGTATGTCTTGTACATATCTGTAGCTTCAGCTGCTAGCTCAGTGCCCAGTTCATAGTAAGGACTCAATAGAAATCTGCTGAATGAATGCTACAGTGAATGCCTGCCGTGTAAATCTTAGTCCACATTTCTCAATTTAATTAGTATGATTCCTAGAAGTTTATGAAGATTTTTAAAGACACTTTTGCCCATTCACTGTGGTCTTATCAGCATTGAATATTATCTTTTGGGGCCTTTGCTATTTTGATAAGCAAGAGGATAAGTTTTTTTAACTTCTAGGAATTACCAACCCTAACTGGATCATTGAACTCTCTGAACTTACTATCATCGCTTAGGTCCCCTTTAAAAAACTACTCTGTGGACAGCTCAGGGCCACCCCCCTCTGCTTTGAGCCCTTATTCCTTAGCAAAGAGTGACAGTGTTCAGTGTCAGTGTTCTCATCACTGTGACTAGTGGAATTTCATCTGCTCAGTTCTGCTGGGTTCAGCTGATTTAGGCCAGTTTGCTGGCTGCGTGTGTTAAGGAGCTGTGGATTACAGAACAGTGCCAGACAGATTTTCAAGTTGGCAAAGCAATTGTTTCCCTCAAAGTACTTGAGCTGGGTAATTTAAAGCAGAAGGGTTGGAAGATTTAAAAGTAGTTTTAATGGTTAAATGTTTGCCTTCCAAGAACAGAGGAAAAAAAGGACAAAGTCTGCGCATCAGGAGAAAAGTGACATCAAAGGACCACTTGGCTTGTAAAGCAGGAACCACTGAACAGGCAGCCACAGAGCAGCAGCTGATCTTGGGAAGACAGGAGCCAGCCTGAAGTCCAATGGCCTCCTTTTGTAGGACATCTCTGTAGGACACTCAGAATGAGTGGGTCTTCTCTCAGCAGTTAGTTAGCAGGGGTGTATTGTCTGTAAGAATGTCCTTTGGAGTAGGGAAGAGCCATGAGGCTAATTTTAGGAAACTGTGTGTGTCTTTGCACATGCGTGTGAGTCTGCGGATGTGTCTGTTTAGTTTGTGTGTGTCTGCGTGTGTGTCCACACATCTGTGTTTGTGCATCTGTGTGTGTGTGTGTGTGTGACATGGCTGCTCCATGGGAGAGCTGCCACCCTGTGCGAGGGAGCTGGCAGAATTCATCGAATGACAGGGAGGCCCTTTAAGTGAGGCTCCTTAGTCCCTCCGCCTCCCAAGAGGGTCTGGTGGCCCAAGCTCTTGTCAAGGCCTCCCACCCCAACCCCAGACCCATCTGTGTGGACCCCACCAAAACCTTGGCTCCGATGGGAGGCAGCTGTCATTCTGGCTCCATTTCCTCACTGCTGTGGAATCATTTTTCCTAGAGGGCTTAAGAAATAATGCACAGACATCACCGCCTAAATATGGATTATTGATGTGGGCCTCTTTGGTGGCCTGTCTAGCATGGAATTCTACTTAGACTTGAATTTGCTTTACCTCTTCTCTCTAAATTCTCATCACCACTACTCCCTTGAAAATGCCTAAAAACACTGTCATTAAAATATTAGATCACTTTGCCTGGAATGCGTCGGCTCAAGTACACTAACAGCATCAAGAGGTATGTTAGTTTACGGAGGCCTCAGATGGGGAGGGTGGAGGGTTGTGAACTATTTAAACTTCTCTGACAGGTAGTGCGGGGAGGACAGCAGACGTCGGAGATCCTGGTGACTTGACCATGTGTCTGGGCATCTTTGGAATTTTCCAGGCCTGCTTTGGGGAAATGTTCTCACCTATAATACATCAGTGAGGATAGTGTACATGTTTTATGGAGATGAAGCTTGCTAGAGAGCTGGATTTGTCTCTAACACCAAACCATCTAGAAGTCCACTGTTTCCATGGATCTGGGAGGAACAGGAATTAACAGCCCCACTTATTAATCAGCAAGAAACCTGAGGCTGAAGGGAGTTAAGACCAAAACCCTGTGTTCTAAGTCCCTGGGCGCACTTCCTTCTCTTCCTCCTGCCTGGCTACAGAAAGCAGGTATGAGATGGGGGTGGCTCACCTTTTAGAGGGCAGAGCAGGCCCGGAGCCAGGGAAATCATAATATTCTGTTTTTTGCCTTTTGGCTCTGGCCTCCCCTTGCTCTTTGTGGAAGAATTCCCTTTATAAAGGAGTTGAGGTCTGAAGGCTGCTATATGAATTTGGTGACACAGCAGTGTTCTCCTAGGAGTGACAGCTGGAAACCCAGGCTGTGACTTTCAAACTTAGTCAGGAACCCCCGGAGGCAGAGGAGCCACCTTCTTCCAGGGCCTGAGCAAGCCCTCCAGCCTGGGGAGCCCTGTCCACTCATTCTTCCACACCCTCTGCTAAGATCAGAACCACCAGGAGCTTGTTAAAGACGCAGGTTTCCAGGCTCCTGCCCCAGTCCTCTGGAATCAAAATCTCTGTGGGCCCTGACCGAGCAGCTGTACTGTAGCGAGCTCTCCAGGTGGGACTGTTGAACACAGAAGTCTGAGAATCGCTGCAGAGCTCTTTGCACTGCCAGGTGGTGTGGGTGACTCCCCACTAGCTGGTCCCAGAGACTCCCAGCCTCGTGGGGAACTGCAACAAAAGCTCAGTGATTTTAGGGCTCAGTTCAGTGTGAGCCACTCATCTTATTTTTCAGCCTCTCTTTGTTTCCCTAGTGAGGAAAGACACAAGGCAGAGGCTCAGATTGGGTGCGTTTGCCAAGCTTCACTATGCAGTTGCCCCCATTGGGCAGAGTTTCACATGGGCGCCTGACAGGCATTGGGCCCAGCTCTCTGCGGCTGTCTTTATCTGAGCCACAGATCCCTGGGCCAGTCAGCGAGGCCAGGGAAACACCAACCGTGTTCCTCTTTCCATCTCAACCACTTGCACTGTGTTGTAAATCCTCCTCATTCTCTGTTCTCGCCTTGCAGTGGTGGCCAGAGGCACTAGGAAACTCAGCAGAGAATTTGCTGCGCTCTGGGTGAGGCAGAACTGGACACATAGCTCAGGTGACCTTGTTCTTGCACGTACTTGAGGTCAGAGGGGTCAGAGTGCCTGCACCTCCCAGGTCTGTACAACTTCCAGCAAAAGTTACCACTTCCAGAACGCTTATTCTGATCCAGGAAGGATACCGAGCATCATCCATGCCTTTAGTCTTTTCAGGAACTGTGAAGTTGGCAGTATTGTACCCATCTCGCAGATGAGAAAGCTGAGGCTTAGAGAGGTGGAATTTGAAATACACAAGGAATAGGTTAGAAAAACACTAAGGAATGGACTTCAAATGCTGACATTTCAGGTGGAGGATGGGGAGGAGAGGAAATGGATGAGAAGATTTGAGGCTTAGGCTCAAATCATATGCAGGTGAGATCTGGGTTCTGATCACATGGGTAATCTTGTTTAAGTACTAACTAGTCTCTGAGTCTCCTCATTTGTAAAAGGGGAATAATGATTTATAGAGTGTTGGGAGCATCAAATGAAAGTGTTTATGGAATGCCCTTTGTAAGTCATAAGGCATGGCCTCTACCAATCAGGGCTAAAGCCCCATAAGGGCAGTTGCCTGCTAAATCCCAGACTTTGTAAAAGAGGTTTCTATAAAACCCCTACATGATGCTGTGTGAGGTTTTCTTAGGAGGAGTAGTGGACGAAGTGGAAAAGCACAGACTCTGTGGTCAGACAGACCCAGGCTTGGGTCTCCGTTCTAGCACTCCACTACTGGAGATTATAAGTCATGTAACCTCTCTGAACTTTAGTTTCCTTATCTGTAAAATGGGGCAAATAAGGGATTAGGTGAGTATTAAATGACATGAGATGACATGAACTCAAAACGGTTGAAAATAGGATGGAAAATATGCAACTGGCCAAGTCTTGAAACAAAAGAAAGCTGAGATAGCAATTGTCATATTAGACAAAATAGAATAGAACTCAAAGACAAAGAAGGTTGTTATATGCTTGTAAAGGGCAATAATGATATACCTGGGCATGGTGGCTCACACCTGTAATCCTAACAGTTTGGGAGGCTGAGGCAGGTGGATGGTTTGAGCCCAGGAGTTCACGACCAGCATGGGCAACACTGCAAAGCCCCATCTCTACAAAAAAATTAGAAAATTAGCTAGACATGGTGGCATGTACCTGTAGTCTCAGCTACTAGGGAGGCCAAGGCAGGCGGATAGCTTGAGCCCAGGAGTTTGAGACTAGCCTGTGTAACATGACCTAATCCCGTCTCTACCAAAACAAACAAACAAACAAACAATAGTCAGGCGTGGTGGTGCATACCTGTAGTCCTAGCTACTCGGGAGGCTGAGGTGGGAGGATTGCTTGAGCCTGGGAGGTCAAGGCTGCAGTAGGCCAAAATCACACCACTGCACTCCAGCCTGGGTGACACAGTGAGACCTTGTCTCAATAATTATGATAATCACAGACATATATGTATTACAGAATATAAACTTGAAATATAAATCAACAACCGACATGAGGAAGTAGATAAATCAACAGTTGTGCTTGGAATCTTTTAATACATCCCTTTCTGAAAATGATAAATGAAGCAGGCAAAGACTAAGCAAGGATAAAGCATATTAGAAGGACATGATTAATAACCTGATCACACATGGAATAGTCATGGAAATTAATCATGTACTAGGCCACAAGGAATTATCAACATATTCCAGTGAATTGACAATCCTACAGACTGTTCAGGCCACAAAGAAATAAAATTATTATTAGAAAACAGCAAAAATATATACCTATTGAAATCTCACATGTCTAGATACTTTAAAACATTACTATTTTGAAAACTCATTAAGAGGAAGTCATAATGGGAATAGAAAAATGAGAGCAGAATAGCAATTTATTGTGTCAAAAACTAGAGGATTTTATACCTTTGAATTGATTTATTACAAAACAAAAATGGAAAATAAATGATATTCCCCAAACTCATGAAGTTCAACTCTAAAAACATAAAAGAGCCAACAGATTTAAATCAAAGAAAAAGAGTTCTGGGAGAATCAATGAACAATTAGAACTATTAACAAATTTCAGCAAAGTTGCCCAGAAAATGAAATGCCACACAGTACTCTAACAAAAAATATACAGGACTTTTAGAGAAAAAGAGTTGGAAAATTTGATCCTAAATGTGAATAGAAAATGTGAATAAATAAAGGGTGTCAATGATGTAATATTTAACCGTGTCAGCCCACAAGTTAACTTATAATTTAAAAAATATAACAATTGAAATCTCAGGAGGATTTTTTTTTTGTAGATTGACAAGCTGATTCTAAAATTCATACAGAACAATAAATATCTACTATTATCTAAATCAGTGTGAGAAAGAAAAAGCAAAATGGGGAATCGGCGGCCGGGTGTGGTGGCTCATGCCTGTAATCCCAACGCGTTGGGAGGCCGAGGCTGGTGGATCAGGAGTTCAGGAGTTCGAGACCAGCCTGGCCAACATGGTGAAACCCTGTCTCTGCTAAAAATACAAAAAATTAGCCAGGCGTGGTGGCAGGTGCCTGTAATCCCAGCTACTCGGGAGGCTGAGGCTGGAGAATCACTTGAACCCAGTGGGTGGAGGTTGCAGTGAGCCGAGATTGCACCATTGCACTCCAGCCTGGGCAACAAAAATGAAACTCGATCTAAAAAAAAAAAAAAAAAAAAAAAAAAATGCAGGGGAGGGGATTCACCCTACCCCAGGTCATTTGGCAAAAACACAGTGATTAAAACCACGTGGTACTGGAACAGGCCGACTTATGGAGTTGAATGGCAAGTCCAGAAACACACCAAAGTACATATGAGGAGCTAGTTTTTGAGTGAAGTAGATTCCCAAGTCAAGGAAAAAGATGCAATTTTTTTTTTATGTGTTGGTTGAAAATTGCCTTAGTGAAAGTATGGAGGGAGAAAAAAATTGTATCTTTGTCTCACCTTATGTAAAAAAATCCAGAGAGATTAAAGACCTAAACGTGAAAGCCAACAGATGAAAATCCAGAGTAACTTTGAGAATGTGGGGTGGGAAAAGATTTCTTCAAGTTCCAAAAAAAGACCAATTATAATGGAAAAATAGATTGATCTGTCGATGTCAAAATGGGAAAGCACTGAGGATGAGTCATTGCTCCCTAAGAATCAGTCTCTATGATTTCATCCCCTGCTCCAAACTTACTCAGGGGCAGTCACAAGGAATGTAGTCTGGCTCTTGCACCTCGGCTCACTGGGAGTGAAGGCAGGTGTTGAGATTCAGGCTAAGGGAGGGGCTTCAGGTCCCTAGGCAGGGTAGGAGAATTGAGGTCTCTTATTTTCTTGGACTGAATTGTTGCTTTCTTCATGGGGTTCAGACTCATCCATGATGGGGCCTCTTGGTGAGGAGCCTCAAATACAGGTGTGGGCAATCGAGAGAAACCATGACAGCTTAATCATTGTGGGCCTTGGTCATTCTGTTGCTGCCTACACTTTCTTTTTCTTTTTTTTTTTTTTTTTTTTGAGATGGAGTCTTGCTCTGTGGCCCAGGCTGGAGTGCAGTGGTGTGACCTCGACTCACTGCAACCTGTGCCTCCAGGGTTCAAGCAATTCTTCTGCCTCAGCCTCCTGAGTACCTGGGATTACAGGTGTGTGCCACCATGCCCACCTAATTTTTATATTTTTTAGTAGAGATGGAGTTTTGCCATGTTGGCCAGGCTGGTCTCAAACTCCTGGGCTCAAGTGATCCACCTGCCTCGGCCTCCCAAAGCGCTGGGATTATAGGCATGAGACATAGTTCCCGGCCTTGCTTCCTACATTTTCAGGATGCATGTGGGTCACCCTGAGGCAAGGGGTGGGCTGGTCATTGATCCCAACCCTGACTGAACTCCAACATCATACCAGGAGCTTGTGAAAAATAAGTTGGTGAGCCCCACCCTTGATATACTCTGATTCAGTGGCATGAGGCAGCTCAGGAATCTTCATTTGACTAACTCCCAAGAGTGGCCAGGGTTGGACCCACCAAGCAGGATCACCTTTCGGGGTCGAGAGATCAGAACTACTCAGCTCCTGAAGTCACAAAACAACCCGGGCCAAAGGTGTGGGATGGGAAGTGTGATGCTTGGGCTGGAAGGAGGACAGCTACTGGTGAGGTCAGCAAGTTCCTCTGAGAATGCTCCCTCTTCCCACCTTAGTACTGATTCTGTATTAGAGTGATCTGTTAGTTGCCTGCCTGTGAGTTCCTTGAGGGCAAGGGCCATGCTTCATTCATTCATTCCACAAATATTTATTAAGACCTTCATATGTTAGAAACAGACTTTAATAGGGGTGAGGCCCAGTCAGCCCTCCTAGAGCTTCCAGTGTGTAGGGAGGTAGGCAGCAAGACCAGGCAGCTCTAGTAAAGTGTATCAAATGCTGCAATGGAGAACCAGCAGGCTGCCTCACTTATCCCCAACTTGGGACACCCAGAGAGGCTTCCTGCAAGTGAAGTCTAAGATAGTGACGAACGAATCAATCAAAGGGGAGTAGGGAGGACTGTTTCAGACACACAAAATGACACATGCAGGCCTTTGGTAGGAACAGAAAAGGTAAAGGTGGTTGGATTGAAAGGGACCGGTGGGAGTGGGCGATGAGGCCATGACATGAGCTGGGTCTCCTCTCTAGGCCCATGTGCAGTAATTTCTACTTTAGTACTGGGCAGTGTAATAGGAAGAAACGGAAAGGTCTTGCCTTCCATTTGCCTGGTTCCCAGCTGAGACCAGACCCAGGGTAGCTGCAGAGAATGTTTGCTGAGCAGGTGGCATCACTCCCACTGAACTGAGCTCCTGCCCACTCTCCCCACAATTCCTTCCCGCATCGATCTCTTCTATTTCTGTGGGCTGGGCCAGCTGCACCTCTGGGAACCAGGCCGTATTTTCTCTTCCGTACCTGGGAATATAAACTTTTCTGAGTTAGTATAGGCCACTGCCCAGAGCAAGGGAAACTGAGGCTGGGAGAATAGTATCCCAAGAGAGAATGGGAGAATGGTGTCCCAAGAGTCTCAGAAGCACTGAACTCCTCTGACCAATCAAGGCTGTTAAAAACTGTTCCGGGAGAACTGAATTTCTCTGTCCCCTATTTTGGGAATGGCTGTGATCCTGAACGAGTGCTGCAGGCCAGGGCATGTGTTTGAGTCTTTAGGGCAACCCCAAAGCTGGCTCAGGACCTGGCATTTGGTAGGTGTGCGAACTGCAGGGACACATCTACTTAGTCCCAGAACAGTGGCCTTTCTGAGCTCCCAGATAGAGGGGGCATGCCTTTTCCCCACCGTGGGTGGTCCCAGGCCCACTCTGAATCTGACCCCAAGCCAGCCTCATGTTCAGGGGACTTGGGGCATGGCCACAGTGGTGGCTGTGGCTGCTGTTTTGGTGAACAGTGTTTTGTGCAGGTACCCTGTACATGTCCACGCTTACTCCTCTGTAAGAAAACCCCTGGGGGAATGAGAAGCTCAGCAGACAGATGCAGAGACTGAGACTCCTGGAGGGGGATTAAGCACTCTCAGAATTATGTCATGCACAGGTCAGCCAACAGGACTGTCCCTCCACTCCACTCACCTTCCACTGTTCCCCCTTCCCACACTGGGGTTCACCCAGCAGGTGGAGCTGGAGTGGTTAGGGGTTGTGACCCCGTAGTTGGAAGCTATGTGACTATAGGAAGGGCCTAAGGGGAAGGGAGGAGGCTTGGGAGGGGCTTCTGGGAGCCAAGGTGGGCAGAGGTGGGAGGGGCGCCCCACAGCACCCCACTCCTTAGTTGTCTATGAAAACATCAAGCTGTTAAGTACTTATCACTGGGTGGTAGAATTCCCTAATATTTTTTCTTTTTGTTTAGGTGATGTTTGCATTTTCTAATTTTTCTACGGAGACTGCATATTGTTTGTGTCATTGAAACGAATAAGGGGGATGGAATTTGCAAGGAGCAACCTGTGTTATCCTGGGGGTTTCCAGGTTGGGGGTCCTGTGCTTCCCCAGGAGTGGGGATTTACTTGCGTGTGCAAACAAGCAGTTTCCAGCCCTCCCTTTCCTCCTCGCCTTCCATGTCCTCTCCCACCTCGGCCTCCGCGTGGGACTGGGGTGGAGGGGAGGGGTGAAACCGCGTGGAGTCCTGTCCTGCCCGCCACCGCGTGCCCAGAAACGCCCACGCGAGCCTTGGAGCTGGGCTGCACTGCGGAATCGGTGCCAGCTCGTTGTCTGTTTATTTGCTGCCTGCTCCACTGGATAGTGCGCTGTTTGAGGGCAGGACCAGTTCCGAGTTGCCAGGGCTGGACGCCGAGTGGGTGCGGAGAGCGCACCTGTGACCGACGTGGAGGCGGCGGGGAGGAAGGGTTGAGGTGCAGCGCGTGGGCGGAATGGGAAGCCCGCCAGGCTGGCTTGCTTGGTTCCCAGCGGGTGTGCGGCTTCTAGTCTAACTTCCCCTCGGGGCTTCTTTCCTAGATCCACTTCCCGGACGTGGAGCGGGTCGAGTGGGCCAACAAGGTAAGGCCGCTGGCAGGGCCTAGCAGGGCCGGACGCATGCCAGCCTCGTCCTCCCCGCGGCTGTCACCCCCACAGCCTGATGGGGGCCTCGCGGCAATTTCCTTGCCTGACGCGGGCAGGGATGCTCCCTTTCCCTCTTCTTTCACCAGAATGGCTCGCTTTTGTTAACAACAACAAATTGAAATTAATACGTGGTCACAGCAGAAAAATTAGAAAATACAGAGAAGTATAGAGAAAAGTACAATCCCCACTAGCTCACCAGGCCAGGAGCTGTACTTTCCTAGGGAGAGGAAGACATTAATTAGACAACAGCTTCTGGACACTGCCTGGTTTCCTGCCTAGATCCAACAGCATTTCTGTGCAGTCTTGGGCAGACTGCCTAACACCTCTGAGCTGGCTTCCTTATCCGTAAAATGGGAATAATTAGAGTCCTTGCCCTGGCTCGATTCACTGACATCACTACTGTAATTGCTGTTAGGTCACCCCTGGGAACTCCCCTTGGGCTCTGCTGCCAGATGTCCCAAGGAGGCTCCTGCTGGATGATGACCCTTGGCCGAGCCCTCCCCAGCAGGAATCCCGACTTCATGGAGGATGAACTGGAGGCCTGCCCCTCCCTGATCTGCCCAGACCTGTCCCTAACTGTGAGGGCTCCACGGCAGTCCCCAGCTCAAATCTCCTGACTGAGGAATGTTTCTAATACAAACCTTGCCTCTGGGAGGAGGCTTAGCCCGTAGCAGGAATGACTTAGGTTAGGTATAAGAAAGGACTTCCTGATGGATGTTGATCCAAGATTGCTGTTTTCACATTACCAGACGTGTCATTGCTGAGTGCATCAAAAAGCATTCCCTAGCCGGGCATGGTAGCACACACCAGGGTCACAACTCCTTGAGAGGCTGAGGCAGGAGGATCGTTTCAGCCTAGGAGTTCAAGGCCAGCTTGAGCAACATAGCAAGACTCCATCTCAAAAACAACAGTAACAGCAAAAGAACAGAGAACATTCTCAGCCTCTGGGTAAATTTGGAAGAAGCAGGTTGCTGCTTTAAGAGGAGTGACTGGGTTTCTGGGGATTCATGCAGGACCCAGCGCCTCTGGGCAAACCTTGTAGAGTTCCTCCTGCACTGTGTTAGCTGGTTCATGCACCTCTGCCTGCGTTACATCTTTCTTTCAGTAATACACAGAGGCCTATACAAGGCGTTGGAGATATAAGACTGTTGGGATATGAGGCTCCCACCTTCATCTTGGATGGGGAGACAGAGACAGTTGTGTAGGTAAACCACATACTAGGGCACCGAGTGTGTCCTAACAAGCTTTAAACTCAGGAGGCACTTGGCCAGTGACAAACCAGCAAGACAGGAAGATGAGACCAGACCCAAGAAAGTAGAACCTGGGGTTTGGAGAGGCCTTTGAGAGAGATGGGAACAATGAGCCCTAAAATCTCACAGCCTTTAGGCTCCTCCAATGATGGCTTTGGAAGGGGCACATGGAGGAAGGAAATGCATATTTAAACTGAAGCCCAAGCCCACAGGAAAGATACAGTCTTGTATCTCCAACGCCTTGTGTAGGCCTCTGTGTATTACTGAAAGAAAGATGTAACGCAGGCAGAGGTGCATGAACCAGCTAACACAGTGCAGGAGGAACTCTACAAGGTTTGCCCAGAGGCGCTGGGTCCTGCATGAATCCCCAGAAACCCAGTCACTCCTCTTAAAGCAGCAACCTGCTTCTTCCAAATTTACCCAGAGGCTGAGAATGTTCTCTGTTCTTTTGCTGTTACTGTTGTTTTTGAGATGGAGTCTTGCTTTGTTGCCCAAGCTGGCCTTGAACTCCTAGGCTGAAACGATCCTCCTGCCTCAGCCTCCCAAGGAGTTGTGACCCCGCTGTGTGCTACCATGCCTGGCTAGGGAATGCTTTTTGATGCACTCAGCAATGACACGTCTGGTAATGTGAAAATAGCAATCTTGGATCAACATCCATCAGCTCGGGTAACAGGGGGACCCTATCGCTACAAAAACATTAAAATGCGTGGTGGTGCACGCATGTAGTCCCAGCCACCCAGGAGGCTGTGGTGGGAAATCACCTAAGCCTGGGAGGTTGAGGCTGCAGTGAGCTGTAATCATGCCACTGCACTCCAGCCTGGGCGACAGAGTGAGACCTTGTCTTAAAAAAGAAGGCCAGGTGCTGTGGCTCACACCTGTAATCCCAGCACTTTGAGAGGCCAAGGCGGACAGATCACTTGAGGCCAGGAGTTCAAGACCAGTCTGGGCAACATGGTGAAACCCTGTCTCTAACTAAAAATAAAAAAAAAATTAAAAATTAAAAAAATTCACTGGGTGTGGTGGCAGGTACCTGTAATCTCAGCTACTTGGGAGGCTGAGGCAGGACAATCACTTGAACCAGGAGGTGGAGGTTGCAGTGAGCCGAGGTCGTGCCATTGCACTCCAGCCTGGGCAACAAGAGCGAAACTCCGTTTGAGAAAAAAGAAAAAGAAGATGGAGAAGCCTTGCCCCAAACAGAAAGTACCTGCTGGCTGGCCCGCCCTCCATTCCCCTCTGATTTCCACCATCCTCCCCTGTCTCTGCCATCTTCCTTCTCCCCAGGTCCTGCACTTCATTCCCAAATCAGCACAGTGAGTCATTCTGCTGCAGAAATCGGGCAAAGGCTGCCTTTTCTGATTGCTAGAAAATGAAATCCACAGGAAACAATTTAACTTTCTCTTCTGTAATTTTTTTCTTAAACTTCTGGCATCTGCTACTTTTTGTTTAAACCACAGTGTAGAATGAGATTATGTTTTAGCACAGAACTAAAGGGCTTTCTAATAATAAATGTAGTGAATGAGTATTTCTTGGTGCTCTGCGGAATAGCACCAAATCTTGGGGTCCTGCTGCCTGCATGACAGTGGGAACCACGGCTGTAGTTATCAGATGTTTGACGGACAGACAGATGAACAGGTGAGCAGATGGGTGGGCAGGCAAGCAGGTGAGTGCTGCAGCATAGGAACCCCCACCCCAAGACCAGGCTGCAGAGAATCAGGACCTTGTCCCATGCAGCTGTGGGTCTGCAGTGGGGGTACAGACCTGACTACCAAGAGCCTCTTCCCGTCTTCACAGATCATCTCTCAGACCTGGCCCTACCTAAGCATGATCATGGAAAGCAAGTTCCGGGAGAAACTTGAGCCCAAGATCCGAGAGAAGAGCATCCACCTGAGGACCTTTACCTTTACCAAGCTCTACTTTGGACAGAAGGTGGGTGTGTCTCGGGAGGGTCAGCCTGGACTGGCTGTGCAGTCTTCTCTCTGTTCCCTCTCCTCCCACCTTTCTCCCACCCAGGTCAGTCATATGACTGCAGAGATCCCACTGGACCTTACAGGGGGACACCCTCCCGCCACCACCTGCATTTCCCAGCCTGTCAGCCTCAGTAGACACCCTTCCCCCACATCCCTGTACCATCATCTCCCCAGGTTCCAAGGAAGCCTGGCTCAGAGGGAACAGAAAGGAGAGGTGGGAGATATTTCCACTTTTCTTAAGGAAAACTTTGAAGACACGCCATGGTGGTAGCCAGACAGATACAAAGATGGAAATCATAGTTGCTAACCTCAGAGCCGGTGAACACACGCTCACAGTTTGGATAGTCAGTGCCGCCTAGCGCTTTATATTCTCCACTAATTGGCTGTTATGGCACTCAGTGTTACAAGTCCATGCTAGTTCTGTGAAGATCAGCAGGTGTCCCAGGATGAAATGGTCTGTGGCCAATGAAGTTTGTGTCAGCACACCTAATGTCATGGTCCCTGTTCTAGACTGGGCTTCCTGTTTCAGCCTTGGTGCCCTACGCCTCCTGCCTCGAAGTGCCCCTAGTGACTTGAATCTTTTGATCATCCAAAATGTATCCCTCAGCCAGAGACCACTGTGACCCAGTAAATGAGAGGCACTGGCATCCGGTCTTCCCAGCAACGAGCAGGTGTCCAAGTATAGGCCAGCCTGCTGAGAGAGCTGTCTGCCAGCCCTTCCTGGCTAGCCCCTGGGCAGGGGTGGATTAGGCAGGCCTGAGCCCTGGAGATTGGGATTTCTGCCATTCAAACTGGCTTGTGCCAGCATCTGTTGGTTCATGCATTCATTTCTTGTTTCATTCACCTGTGACTTATTGAGCACGTGCTGTGTGCTGGGCATCATAGAGTTGGGTGTGGCTGCACCCCTTCCTGTGGGAGGAACACATCAACTGGTGGATGACAACGTGGCAGTATCTGCGTGCATGATGGCAGAGGAATGCAAGTTCAGAAATGGAGGGGTGGAGGGGCTGTGGGAGTCAGGGAAGACTTCCAGGAAAAGGTGATGGCTCAGTTGGCTTTTGAAGAATTCAGCAGGCTAGGAGCCAAGAAGCTTGCAGGGTGCTGTGTTCACAGCAGAGCCTGCTCAGTCAGGCTGCTCCTCTGGTGGTTGTCTCTATGCCAGAGGTCCCCAACTCTCGGTACCAGGCTACACACCAGGAGGTCAGCAGCCGGGAGCTGCCGGAGCTCCGCCTCCTGTCAGATCAGCAGCGGCATTAAATTCTTATAGGAGCACAAACCCTGTGTGAACTGCGCATGTGAGGGATCTAGGTTGCATGTTCCTTATGAGAAGCTAATGCCTGATGATCTGAGGTGGAAAAGTTTCATCCCAAAACCATTTCCCACCCCACCCCCGGTCTGTGGGAAAATTGTCTTCCAAGAAACTGGTCCCTGGTGGCAAAAAGATTGGGGACCGTTGGTCTATGGGATGTAGCACTGCTGGCAAGCAATCCTAAGAAATGATATTTACCATATCAGAAGAACCTGGAGGGGGAAGCTGCAGGCTGAACAGATGTCCCAGCCCTGCAGGAGAAACACCTGCCTCCTGATCCTGGCATTCAGCACTCTTCATGTCCTGGCCACCCCCCTCCCTCTGCTCTCCCATTCCCATGTCCCCTCCTGACCATCGTGGGGTCACAGAGGACTCCTCACACGACCCTCCTGGGCTTGGCCAGGACCTAGTGCGCTCACCACACCCCCTTTCTTCACACACCCATGAACATTTAAAAAAATGTTTTTCAGCTGCCATAAGCATTCATTCACCCCTGTGAGTATTGCCAGCTTCCTCCAGTTCCTGTGCCTATGCCCAGCTCCACCCTGTGCTGTGGGGCCAGTGACTTGACTTCTGTAAGCTCCAGTTTCCTCACGTGTAAAGGGAAAGGACCCACTTCCAGAGTTTGCTATGGGGCATGAACAACAGGCCTGGCCTCAGGGCCACTCTGTGTGGCTGTGTGAGTAGGGGCAGGAAGGGAGAGAAAGGAGGGGGCACATTCTAGGGAGGGAAGTCTCTGGGCTGCAGGATAGATTTACATGTCTGTGCCTCGTCTTGGAAGTATGGTGGTCATGCTCGTTGCTGACAAAGCCCAGTGCCGGGGGGAGAGCTGGCAGCTGTCCCCTGCTACAAGAAGCCTCTGACCTAGCCCTTTTGGCATTTCTTCCAGTGTCCCAGGGTCAACGGTGTCAAGGCACACACTAATACGTGCAACCGAAGACGTGTGACTGTGGACCTGCAGATCTGGTGAGCTCTATCGGGCTGGGTATGGGCTTCGGGGTGCAGGGGACACAGTGGGAACAGCCAGTTTGAAGATGGAGTAGTATATATATACTCTGACTTGGGATGTGGAACCCCTCACAGGACCCTCCCCTCCTCCCAGCTTCTCCCATCCCCTGGCATACTCTGGGTTCCAAGGCCCAGGCAGCAGAGCTTTCTTGGAAGGCTAGACCTGGGTCACTTGGAGAGTCAGACCAGCTGCCTCAGAGAGGATGTGTCTAGTGGGAGCAAGTGTGATAAGAAGATGTGAAGTCCATTGGTGAGGCCCAGGGAGTTCCAAGCACAGGCTGTGAGAGGTCAGCTGGAGACCTGGGCTCTGCGGCACCTCAGGAAAATAGAGAATGCAAAGACACATAAGTGACTAGTTCAGGGGGTTGGGCAAGGATATCTCTTTGAAATGAGGTTCATAATGGGTGTGAGTCAGGAAGGAGGGAGATTCAGTCCAGGAAGCCTTCCTGGAAGTGGCAAGATTTGAATTGCACTTTAAAAGACAAAGGACCAACTCCTGAGGATCCAGAGTGTTGCCATTCCTTTCCCATGTCTCATTCTGCCCTTAGCCTAGAGGCTGGCACTGACAGCATGTTGGGAAGATAGGAGCTAGTTCTTCGGACCGCCCATCCCCATTTAGGGGCTGGTCCCAAGTGGGTTGGGATGGTGACAGGCTATCAGGTGCTCCCAGCCCCTGGGGCGCTGCCACAAGGTCCTTGTAGGAATAGTCAGGGCACATCGAGGTTGTGTGGCCCACTCAGCTGCCCAGGCAGCCCCCGGGGTCCCCATCTTCCCCGTCTGGCTCACTCCTGCCCTTTCAAGAGGCACTCGGTTTTTGCGATTTGTGACATTGGGCTCCTCTGCCTGTGCCCTGCACATGTGTGCTGGCTGCCCCTCTCCCTTCCCTGAGTCTCCTTCAGTGCTTTCACAGGATCTGCTGATCTTTACCCTCAAGGGCACCCATTCTGGGCTCCCTGTGCCCATCACCTGGCGAGAGCCACTGGGTGGACTTGGGCTTCTGTGCTGAAGCCTGACGCCTTGTTACCTTTGCCCACCTCCACCAGCCCCAGCAGCACCTGGGATGTAAGCAGTGGGGGCTGCTTCTGTGTCCCCATGAAAGACACCTGGGCAGAGATGGGACAGGGGGACAGCAGGGGTGGAAAAGTGGGCAGCGTGTTTACCAAGAGCCCCTCCTTTTCATCTTCAGGGTATCGTGGGGTGAGGTGAGTGCCTGGAATCACTGCTCTCATGGTCAGAGATGAGGATATGCCTGGGATACCTGAATGCAGGGACCCACAGGGGCTGCCTCCTGGGGTCTGGGCTTGGATCAGGGTCTGGGTCAGGTCTGAGCAGAGCTGAGAAAGGCTGAGGCTACTAGGCCATGTGCCCAGTGCATAGAGCTCAGGGTCGGCAACTGGCTGCCTGGGCTCCGGCTGTGTGACACTGGGCAAGTTTCCCAACCTTTCTGAGCAAGTGGACCTACCCCTCCTCCCCACCTTCCTTTTCCACCCCCCATTTCAGCTACATCGGGGACTGTGAGATCAGTGTGGAGCTGCAGAAGATTCAGGCTGGTGTGAACGGGATCCAGGTGGGTGGAGCCCGGTGGGGCTGCCTCTGTTCCAGCCCCCAGGGTGGGGATCAGGGAAGGGGAAGCCAGGTCATGCCAGAGTAGGCCGCAGAAGGTGGTGGCAACACTAAACACAGAGGATGGTGACTACGGAGGAGCTGTAGGCCTGAGGTCACATGGCCAGGAAGTGGTGGCTGGGCTTCACCAACCCACTACTGTGCTCTAGAGACCCCAGCCTCATCTGACTGCAAAGGCCCTGGGAGAGGCTTTGGCTGCCTGGCGAGGAGAGAGATGGTGTTCATGGAGCGATGGAAAGCCATTGCTTAGAGACTGAGGTGGACCCAGGAGGTGAAAATAACTCTCGGCAGGAGTAGAAGAGCTGATTTGGGCCTGGAAATCATTCCTGGGTTCCTGCTGGCTGGGCCAGCCCAAAACTTGGCAAAGGCTATAGGTCTCTCAGGCCAGCACACCCGTGGAAGGCAGTGGGGCCAGCTCAGGGCCCCTTGGTAGCTGGCAAGAGGTGGCAGCTGTGTCCAGGCCTCAGCACCTTAAGTACGGTTCCTGCTGTGAGAGCAGGCAGCTTGGGGCAGGTGGCCCTGACATGTGGGGCAGCGTGGGCATGAAATGAGGCAGCAGATGGCCTCAGCTGAGCCCAGCAGGCATGGGGAGAAAGTAGGCCTGGGCCCCTCACGGGCCCTCTGTGCCTATCCAGTTGCAGGGCACCCTGCGGGTCATCCTGGAGCCCCTCCTAGTGGACAAGCCCTTTGTGGGAGCCGTGACTGTGTTCTTCCTTCAGAAGCCGGTGAGTCCCAAGGACTGCGGTAAGCCTGCTGCTCCCTGGGAGTAGGCACTGGTCTGCTGGGCCCTAGACATTGGGTTTGAGTCCAAGAATGGACATTGTCCCAGCCCACTGAGACCTGGGCAGTCACACTCCTTATCTCATTTAATCCTTAAGACAGCTCGAGTTAGACTCTGCCCTCCCTAAGATGAGGCAGCTAAGCTCAGAGAAGGTCACACAGATGGTCTGAATTGGAGCCGAGGCTCAAACTCAGAGCTTTCAAAGTCCAGGCCAGCCTGTGGCCATGTGGACGATCCTACTCCTGTAGGGGTTCTGCCTGGGAAGCAGCAGGTTCCACAGCCCCTGCCCCATCCTGAGCTGAGGCCTGGGCCCTCGATACCGCTAGATGCCTGAGCTGGGCTGGGGGGTGGCCTCGCCTGCCTGACACCCTGGCAGAGGGTGCTCTGCCTGCTTTCCTCCGAACCCCCACCCTGGAAGGCTGGGTTCTCCATTCACATGGGTGTGAGGCTCTTGGCAGGGGGTTCTCAGCCCTGGGCTCCCAACCCTTTCCAGCCTAATAGCTTCCCTCTGCCCCTGAAGCACCTACAGATCAACTGGACTGGCCTGACCAACCTGCTGGATGCGCCGGGAATCAAGTAGGTGCCTGGGAGAGCCTCGAGGGAGATCATAAGTTTGGGGGCCTCCAGGGCTCTGCAGCCAGTGACAGGAGCTGTGCAATGGTGGTGCTTTCCCTCCTGGTGCTCTCTGCAGAGGGAGAAGCATTGGTCTGTTTGGAGTGGGAGGCTAAGGGTGTTGTGTGGCCTCTGTGGGTGGGCACTGTGCCCAGCACACCCCCCGCCCACACCACACACACACACCACACACCACACCCATGTAGTGGGCAAGAAGTGCTTTGCTGAGTGTTGGGCTGACGTTCAGGTCCCCGTCCTGGTGCAGGGGGAGAGTGGCTCTGTCTGCTGAGATGTGGTCTGAGGGGAGGCTGTGTGGCTCTGGAACCAGAGGCAGCCAGCTCCTGGCTCTGTCACTGAGCAACTGAGTGAATGTGGAGAAGTTGCTTCACTTCTCTGGGCTCTTCCTCAGTAAAAGGGGAGCCTGGTTCCTCTGCCTTGGGTCCCTCGGAGGACACTCAGCTGTGTGGTGGTGGCACATTGGGTGTGGACACACGAGTGTCCTTTCTTCCTCACTGCACCCCTTCCAAACCAAGTGTGTGGTGAGAAGCCGATGTGACTTCCCCTGACCGTGGTCACAAACATAGGCATGGAAGGGGCACTGTCACAACAGAGGCCAGTGAGGAGTAGCTGGTCCTGGAGATCTCACCATCTGGGGGCAAGTGAAGGCTGCTCTCAGAGCCCCAGGCCCCATGAGAGGAGCAGAGAAAGGCACCAGCCCCACTGGACACACCTCCCCAGGAGGAAGGGACATTTGGACTGGTCAGGGCTGGCACCAGCTGGCTCATCAGACTCAGGGGAGGGCTGCTGACTCGCTCATTCACTGACATCTGCATGGATCTCACCCACACTGGACAAAGGGAATCCAGGCATGCATTCTTTTATTCAAAAAGTATTTACACCGTGCCAGCCCTGTTCCAGGCACCATCCCTGTCCCCCGGTATCAGGAGGTGGAGTCAGGCAATGAACAAACAACCCCAGGAATACGCATTATTAGCTCCAGGTTAGAGGTGAGGATGCTGAGGTCCAGAGAGGTTAGCGACTTGCCAAGGCTACACAGCTAGTCGATGGTGGAGCTGAGATTCTAACACAGGCTTCAGCCTTGCTCTTAGCCACTGTGCTGTGTGACCTCCAAGAACAAAGTAGCCTGGAGGCAGAGGGAGTTGGGGACGTGTAGGTGGGAGGACTGCTGTTGAGATAGAATGTCAGGGGCTGTCACGATGTATAGGCACACCCACCCCTACCCAGGCAAGTGGGGTCAGGGCTGTTCTCTAGGTGGGGCCCACCCTACCAATCTGGGCTCCTGGTTCCTGCTAGGGATGGAGTGGCAGGTGGCATGGGGGAGGCAGTGCCACCCCTCCACAGCTGGTCCTGCCTTGTGTCCAGTGATGTGTCAGACAGCTTACTGGAGGACCTCATTGCCACCCACCTGGTGCTGCCCAACCGTGTGACTGTGCCTGTGAAGAAGGGGCTGGATCTGACCAACCTGCGCTTCCCTCTGCCCTGTGTGAGTACCCAGTACTAGCCACAGACCAGCCTGCTGGGAGGCAGCGCAAATATCCTCTCAGCCTTCACATGTGGTGCATTGGCTTTATTTCACACTAATGCTTGACAGTCCCAGAAAAATGGTACAAACACCATCGCCCACGTCATAATTACTAAAGACATTTTGTCCTTGGGGTGTATCCCACTTGGGAGGTAGTGTCAAATTTACTGCATTCTAAACTTACTTGGAATATTTCCTCTGTTTGTGACAACTGACCATGAATATTTACATTGACTTGTTTCATTCTGGTCTCCATTTTTAGGGTTTTATACCTTAACTTCCTTTTACAATTATGTAAAGTAGTTGTACATTTCCAAAGTCCAATTAAAAAACAAATTACATTTTAAGGAGTCTGGCTTCTATCCCTTGTTCCCTCCACCTACTCCCCACCCTTCACTTATAAGTCATGGTTTATCCTTCCATTTTATTGATTGATTGGGTCTTGCTCTGTTGCCTAGCCAGGCTGGAGTGCAGTGGCACAATCACAGCTCACTGCAGCCTCCACCTCCTGGGCTCAAGCAATCCTCCTACCTCAGCTTTCCGAGTAGCTGGGACTACAGGCGTGCACTACCACGCCTGGCTAATTTTTGTATTTTTTGTAGAGACAGAGTTTTGCCACGTTGGCCAGGCTGGTCTCAAACTCCTGGGCTCAAGTGATCTGCCCGCCTCAGCCTCCCAAAGTGCTGGGATTACAGGCATGAGCCACCACACCTGTCCTTTGTTACTTAATATGAACAAATACATATATATGGTCGTATGACACATATTTGCTTATATTCAAATTCCCCCTTTCTTCGATAGATGGCAGCATAGTAGAGTTTTCCCCAGCATGCTTTTTTTTGGGCGGTGGGTGTGAAGGGAGGTGGTGGCGGGGAGTCTTGCTCTGTGGCCCAGGCTGAAATGCAGTGGCGTGATCTTGGCTTACTGCAACCTCTGTCTCCTAGGTTCAAGTGATTCTCCAGCCTCAGCCTTCTGAGTAGCTGGGACTACAGGGGCACACCACCAAGCCTGGCTAATTTTTGTATTTTTAGTAGAGACCGGGTTTCACCATGTTGGCGAGGCTGGTCTCGAACTTCTGACCTCAGGTGATCCACCCACTTTGGCCTCCCAAAGTGCTGGAATTACAGGCGTGAGCACTGTGCCTGGCCCCCAGTGTGCTTTTAACACTGAGTATGTCATGAGGATCATGCTATGACAGTGTAGATTAGAGATCTTCCACATTCTTTTTAAGAGCTCCAAAGTACTTCACTATGGGAATGTACTGAAGTTTATTCAACACAGTTCCTATTGATGGACCATTATGTTGTGTTGGGTCTTTCACTATTACAAATAGTAGTGTAATGAATAGCCTTGCATACATGTCTTTTTATATTTTTGCTAGTATGCCCTTGGGATAGATTCCTAGAAATGGGATTTCTGGGTCAAAGAGTAAATGCATGTGTATTTACTAATGTTAAAAAAATTCTAGGAAGGAGATATATCTCAAAACCCATGAACTATGCCTTTCCTAATTCCTGTGCTCCAGTCTTTATTAACAGAGTTATATCTCTTTCATTTCCTTTTAAACATCTATTCATGCAAGTGTAGGGAGGGGGTCTGCCCTGTAGTACAGTCCAGAATGTGGTGGGGATGAGGCTCAGTGTTGGGGCCTTTAGGAGTGCAGGTACCTACTGTCAGCAGCTGGCAGTGCCCACAGGGGCCAGGAGAAGGGATGCTAGGACTCCCTTGTTGGAGTCTACATGTAGGACACACAACAGAGGGGTCTGGAGTAAAGGAGGAAGCTTCCTTAGGTGTCATGATTGTTGGCACAGGAGGGAGACAGATAGCTGCAGTTGAATAAGCCATTCATGTGGCAGTTTGGAGGCAGGGAGTGTGGAGGCCAGGGCTGTGGGCAGGGCATACTGATGGAGAGAGCCCTGCCATCACTTGCTGTGTGGCCTTGGCCAGGTCACTGCCGTATCTGGCTTCTATCTCCTGGTCCAGACCGTGGAGGGGGCAATATGGGGGCAGCAGTGATCTCTGATGGTTTTAGCTCTGATACTCCAGGACTTGGAGGCCCCAGGAAGCAGCTGTGAGCCCTGGGCTTGGACATTTTCCAGGGGGTGATCAGAGTGCACTTGCTGGAGGCAGAGCAGCTGGCCCAGAAGGACAACTTTCTGGGGCTCCGAGGCAAGTCAGATCCCTACGCCAAGGTGAGCATCGGCCTACAGCATTTCCGGAGTAGGACCATCTACAGGAACCTGAACCCCACCTGGAACGAAGTGTTTGAGGTAAGGGTCTCCTTGGCTGCTTCTAGCCTTCACTCTGAGTCATGCTGGGCAGAGGCAATCCAGGGGCAACACTAGGCAGGGAGTGGGCCTTGGAGACAGGCAGGTCTGTGGAATTCCTGCTCCTGTATCTACCAGGCTTCCAGACTGGGTTACTCTGGCCCGACTAAAGGGCCAGCCTGAAGGCAAATTCCTACCTCCTTTCCCCTTCCAACTTTGTTAGAAGTTAACAAATCAAAGAGAAAGAGCCTTAGAGGCATTTCTGCTCCACTCTTCTCAGCTTCCCCTGTCAGAGCCAAACATCAGGAGCCTGAAGTTATTCCTTAAGTTCAACCACAATCCCTACTATTTGAAGGGTGGGACCCACAGCCTGTTAAGCCCCCCAGATTACACGCTCCAGGAGCCACATCTTAGGTGACCCCTCTCAACTTCTCCTCTCAATATACCATCTGGATGCTCTGTTACGTTTGGGGTGAGGCAGTGAAAGCAGGGGTGCTAAAAGGCAGCTTGGGGCTTCCTGATATTGTAGACTCACGGAGGGGCCAGGAGAATGTAACGAACAGGTGCTCAGGACACCGCATGGCCCATGCAGAACAAACAGCCACTGTCCCCTGGGCACCTGCTCTGCCATGGCTTGCACATGTTTTCTCTAATCTTCTCTTCCCCCCGAAGGGGAGGGGCTTCACTCCCTTCTTATGGGTGGGGTTCTTGAGGCACTGAGGGGGTCAGGAACCTGCTAGCGTTCTGAGCCATGATTTGGCTCCCTTTGGGTCATATGTCAGGTCGACTGTTGCCTGCAGGTCAAGACACCTCTTTTTCCTTCCAGTTCATGGTGTACGAAGTCCCTGGACAGGACCTGGAGGTAGACCTGTATGATGAGGATACCGACAGGGATGACTTCCTGGGCAGGTGAGGAGGAGGGCGCACAGCTGGGCCTGGAGGCAGCCTTCCCTCCCTGCGGGGTGCTGGGCTAGATACCCTGCTCCTACCACTTAATGACTAGCAACCCGCTGTGGTCACCCTGACATAGTGACTGTGCCAGGCAACCTGCCTCACCATTCTACATTCCTACCACAAACCTTCCCAGATGTCTCCCAAGTGCCCAGCCCTGACCTAGGCCCTGGGGGGTACAGAGAGGACCCCAAGATTTGTATATTACGGCTTTGCTTTCTGTCTTCCTGATAATATACCAAGTCCCCATTTGGAGTAGTAGACAAGGCTGGCATGGATGGCCAGATGCTCAGTCCCAAGGAACCCTGGGCCATGCTCTAGGGGGTAGAACCCAGCCCTTCAGGGGTATGAGAGGACTAAAATGATCAGGGTGGGGCTGGCTATCAAAATTTAAAACTTACATGTATTTTGGTCCAGCAGTCCCACTTCCAGGATCTCCTATAAAATAAAAGCCCTAGTATCTGAAATGTTTATTGCAGAACTATCCATAGAAGAAAAAGAACACCCCCATCCCCTAAATGAATATCTAACCTCAGAGAACACTGGCTGAATGTTTGAATACATTTTCCATTGCCAAACTACAGAATATTCTGCAGCTCTGAAAAACAAGTGGAATCTCTGTGTATTAACCTGGAGGACACCCATTATGAAGTGGGGGAGAGCAGCTGGGCATAACATGTCATTTGAGTCATCATCTGGGAGAGGAACCTTGAATGCGTATTTTTGCATGTGTTCATGTTAGCAGAGAAAGGCAGGCTGTTAACACCGCTTATCTCAGATGAGGAAGCAGAAAAGGCAGGTTTACCCAAATCTTCAGATTGCTGTGTTGTTTAGCTTGTTTCCAAGATCATGTAATTTTGAAAAGTAGAAACAAAACAAACTGGGAGGGGGCACAATCTGACAGTTTCAGAAACAAGCAGAATCTATGTGTATTATTAGCCTGGATGTTAATACACATAGATTCACCACCAGATGTTGCTTATCATTTTTTATTTTTATCTTAATGAAAACAGTTGCAATTTTTGTAATGTTGCAGATTAGAAGTGTGGCTTGTGGGTCATGCTTTATGTATTAGTAACTGATTTCAGGTGTGTTTTGAGCTTAAGCATGTTTCTTACAGTTATATAGAATTACATTTTCCCCTCTGGCTGTCAGGACCTTCTGGTTGGGCTTGGCTCAGGGTGAGTTAGGGGCAAGCTGAGGTGTGGGTGTTACCTCCTCTCACACACACATGCTGTGTTAGTCCATATTTTATTGCTATAAAGGATACCAGAGGCCAGGTAATTTATAAAGAAAAGAGAGTTTTCTGGCTCATGGTTCTGCAGGCTGTACATGAAGCATAGTGCCAGCATTTACTCAGGGCAGAAGGTGAAGAGGGATCAGGTATGTCACATGGCAAGAGAGAAGGGAGCAACAGGAGTGAGGATGTCCCCGCTTCTTTTTAACAACCAGATCTTGCATGAGCTCATTACTGTGGGGAGGGCACCAAGCCATTCATGAGGGATCTGCCCCCATGACCCAAACACCTCTCACTAGGCCCCGCCCACCTTTAACGTATGGGGATCACATTTCAACATGAGATTTGGAGGGGACAGACATCCAAACTACATCACATGCCAACTATACTTTCCCTTGTAGGGCACCTGGGGTAGATTTGGAAATGAAGGGGCATTTGGGGTTATTGACATGACTGTGAGAGGTGGTTCTTCTGGCATTTAAAGGGTACAGGACCAGGAGGCCAAATTTCTGCAATGCATGGGTAGTTTTGCACAATGAAGAATCATCCCACCCAAAATGCTAGTCGCACTGTCACTGAGAAATCCAGAGGTGATGTGTCCAGCAGCCTCTGCTTGTCCCCTGTGGGGATGGGAGCCCCCTTCCTCCCCAAGTAGCACACCCAGTGGGAGCAGCCCTGATGGTAGTTAGTCTTTCCTTCACTCGAGCTGATGGTGGTCTCCCATTGGTTCCTTGGGGTAAGATCCTCTGTCTTAATGGCCGCACTCAGATATCTGAAAACAGAGTCCAGTGTGGGCCTCCATGCCCTCTGCTGCTTTCTTCCTCTGAGCTGACCCAATCCCCTCTCCCTGTATATTCCAGCCTGCAGATCTGCCTTGGAGATGTCATGACCAACAGAGTGGTGGATGAGGTACAGTTGGTGCTTGCAACCCTCGGGGGAGTTTCAAGGTAGCCCTTTCCTGTGGACAGCTCCAGCAGCTTGCTTCAGCCCAGCTATTCCTATGCTGTGGTCCCCCTCTGTGCTAGGCTCCATCCTCAGGGCAAGAGCTGGGTGAGGCACAGATGGCTCCAGGGTATTCTCCAGGGCCCCAGCTGGAAGAAGTTTCCCTGGGAAATACCCACAGATTAAGGACCCCAGCAGGGGACAGTCACATTATAGGGGAGGGCAGGCTGGGCCTGGGTTTTTTTTAATCCCACAGTGTAGCACTTCTGTCTTCCTATAACCACATCTCCCAGTCCCTCTGAGCCCAGAGCATACCCTGTCTGGGCTGGTCCACCTTTTCCCATACTAGGACAGGTTTCCCTGTCCCTACTAGGATGCCAGGTCTCAGGACTGGGCTGCCCAGAGAGCATCAGTAGCATCTCCCTGGCCCTTTTCCCTGAGCTTTCTGCCCCTACCCCACAGTGGTTTGTCCTGAATGACACAACCAGCGGGCGGCTGCACCTGCGGCTGGAGTGGCTTTCATTGCTTACTGACCAAGAAGTTCTGACTGAGGTGAGTGTGGGGTGTCAAGGGCTCCCTTGCAGAAAGGTGGAGGAGCACACGTGCCAGGTGTGTGCAGGTGGAGGAAGGGTGGGAGATGATGCCCCCTTCTTGCTCACCTCCTGAAGAACATGTCACTCAGCCCGTCTCCACACAGGGCAGCTCCTGATAGCTCTCAGCAAATGTCCTCTGAGCATCTCCATCATCTTTAGATGATGGGGTCCTTAGAACTCTGTGTCAATGCCTGTCCTCCCAGTTCATAGGGAAATCCACTCAGTGTCTAACTTGAATCTGTCATGCACCAGTTATAGTCTTAACCTCAACAAAATGCTAGGTTGTGAGAGGTCCTCCGGCAGCTAGTCTGGAGTGTGAAGGCTAGCTGGCTTTCTTCTGCCATGAGTAGGCTTCTCCAAAATCAGTCTTTGTGTCCTGCTGCTGGGAGTACCCAGTGAGGGTCTGTGTCTGTTTGCAGGACCATGGTGGCCTTTCCACTGCCATTCTCGTGGTCTTCTTGGAGAGTGCCTGCAACTTGCCGGTGAGTGGCGACATGTCCAGAGTGTCACACAAACGCAACAAAGTGCCCATCACTTTCAAATTGTCCTGTGTTGCTTTAACCCCGTTATTCCTGTGCTGCAGAGAAACCCTTTTGACTACCTGAATGGTGAATATCGAGCCAAAAAACTCTCCAGGTTTGCCAGAGTGAGTGAGTATGTGGCTAAAAACTCCAGGGAGGGCAAATCACAGCTTCTCTCCCCAGAGTAACCACAACCCCATGTCTTCTGGGCCACAGTCTGTGCACACACAGCCTGGGGATAACAAGAGGTGCTGATTGTGGAGTCTACTGTGTGCCAGGCACTAGGCTTGGCAACTCATCCCCCACATTTGTTATCCCTGAGTCTCATGATGACTGTGTCATTCATTTTTATTACCATTTTCTGGGTCACACAGCTAAGAGGAGGAGCCAGATTCCACACTGTTTTCATAGCCCCAGGGAACGAGAGCCTGTGCCTGGCCAGGCCCAGCTCTGGCTTCTGGTCTTTTAACTTGGAACTGCTTTCTGGGGTTGGTCCTGTCCTGGGGCTCGCACAGTAATGACAGCCCAGGGGGACTGGGGCATTAGAGTAGCTTTCTCTCAAAGAGAAGTAACTGGGTGGCCCCAGTTCCCCCAGATGCTCCTGGGGGTTGGGGGTAGGACTGTCTCAAGCTGATATTGACTATGCCACCTTCACTGTTATGGATTTGATTCCTCACAGAACAAGGTCAGCAAAGACCCTTCTTCCTATGTCAAACTATCTGTAGGCAAGAAGACACATACAAGTAAGGTAAGACAGCTTGGTGTGTAGCCCTGGGGTAAGGAAACAAGGACCCAGCCCTTCTCAGGGAGAGAGGCAAAAGGGAGGGGAATTAACTTATGGTGAATGCCTAGTAGGCACTTGATGTTATTTAGTCTTCAGAATAACCTCACAAAATAGTTTTATAATTCAAGAATCTGAGGATCAGAGATAAATGACTTGACCAAGGACACAGAACTAGGGTTCAAGCTTGGGCATGGTTCTGAAGCCCATGTCCTTTCCACCAATCATGAATTTTCTCAGTCCAGCAGCAGAAATCCTGTTGGCCTCTCCTCTCCTGAAGTGAGCTCTAAGGCCAATATGATTTTCAGCTCCCCCGTAAAAATTCCTGGCAAACCACTCCCTGCCTTTGAGTGTTGTCCCGTCCTAGTGCCTCCCACTAGCTGTAGCGTGTTTGGGTCTGATCCCAGGGCATATAGGTAAGGTTCCCAATGGTACCTGGTGGCCAGAGTGATAGCAGAGGGTGCCGGTATCCAGCTCTGCCCAACCTAACCCTTCAATGATCTCTCCCTCTTCTGTTCCCAGACCTGTCCCCACAACAAGGACCCTGTGTGGAGCCAGGTGTTCTCCTTCTTTGTGCACAATGTGGCCACTGAGCGGCTCCATCTGAAGGTTTGATGGAAGAAGGGCTCTTGAAACAGAGTTAAGAGGTTTTTAAGCCAGGCGGGCTGGGAAGCTTGAAGTGCACCTTGAGCAGGTTCTCCTGGCAGCGTTTAAAGTCAGCCCCTTGTATGTAAGAGAGGACACTGAGGCCCCACAAGGCCTCATCTCCTTAAGGCTAGTGCCTGAGGTCACTGTATAGGGGGATGTGGGAGGATAAATCCTCAAGTCCCTTGACTTTCCCTGCAAAAGGGTCTTTATATTTGCTACACAGTACCCAGAGCAGCCTATCTACACAGGACATTAATAATGGTGTACTTTAAAAAATATATGTTTCATTTAATCTTCACAAAAGATCTGTAGAGTAAGCAAAGAGAGGCAAAAACAATGTCTTGTCCAAGATCTCATGACCAACAAGTGGTGGAGCTGGGATCTTTTAGGGCCCTGAGCCCTGCCTGGAGAGCAGCACAGCTCATCAGTCCCCAAAGCCCCCTGGCTCTGGGCATTTGACAGACTAGCTCATACAGATCATAATTGCCTCTACTCTGAGTCACTATCTTCCCTGACAGAAGACAAGGACCAGGTCTGGCCTGATCCCATTCTAGTTTTCAGAATAGGACCAGATGCCCATAGAAGCACAGTACAGACTGAAGTAAACCCAAACTTGGCTGGGGCTCAGATACTAGTAGTGGAGTGGTGGGGCTTGGTTATCCTCTTGTTTTGTGACTGGACCACTGCCCAGGTGCTTGATGATGACCAGGAGTGTGCTCTGGGAATGCTGGAGGTCCCCCTGTGCCAGATCCTCCCCTATGCTGACCTCACTCTTGAGCAGCGCTTTCAGCTGGACCACTCAGGCCTGGACAGCCTCATCTCCATGAGGCTGGTGCTTCGGGTAAATCTCTCCGGTCCCCTGGGGGAGGGGAGGAATAGAGCTCTGGCAATGGAGCAAGGTGTACTGCCCCAGCACTAAGCACCTGCTGTGTGCCTGGAAGAAGCCAGGAGATGGATTCATGTTTTTCATCAATTTTGAAATACTGAATGGGAGCAAGTCAATATTCAAAGAGATACAGGCTCTTCAAATATTGCCTCTCCTCCATTCTTCTTAAATTCCTCTCTCTAGAATTTTCTATAATGTACCTTCTCATCTATCCTCCATGTCTCTTGACCTCAACTAAATATTTCCCTTCTCTGTATTCATGGTGGTACATTCTAATTCTCTCAAGAGCTATCTTCCAGGCCACTAATTCTTTGGCTATGCCTAGTTTGCTGTTTAACCTGTTCATAGTTTTTTCAATGGTGGTTTTTCATTTCTATTTTTATCTTTTCCAAATCTATTTGGTATTTTCTCATAGAATTTTATTATCTTCTCATGTTTATATTCCATCTTTGGTCATTTGAAAATATGTTACAATGTATTAATATGTATGTTCTATTATTTGAAGATCTTGGGAGTTAAATTTTGATGTTTGTTTTGTCTGTTGATGCTTTTTGATGGTGACTCATTTCTGTTTTATAACTTGGATTGCAAACATATGTTCAGTGTTCCTTTATGACCTGGATCGAGGTTGTTCTCTTCCAAGGAGCTTCTGCTTTTGCTGCAGCTCAGTACCTCAGGTGCATTACAAACTTGAGTCCATTTTTGTGTATATTTCTTAACTTTGGGTTTCAAGATCCCATAGGTAGCTCATATTTATACTCAAAATTCATATGAGGACAGGCCTATGAGGTGCCATGTTATTAGGAAAGACTTTATCCCCTCAACCAGAGTACAGGCTGTGGCAAACACATGTTCTTGTCATCAGTCTTTGCTGGTAGGCCGAATAATTTTTATCCTAAACTACTTTTTTAACTAAAGAGATCCCACCTTCATGGGTCTTCCCTTCAGCTCCTAGCCTCACAGCCTCTTCTAACTCCCTGAATTCCAAGGTTGATATACAACCCTAGGAAAGCTTAACTTATTTTTCAGATTTTTTCTTTTTTTAACAGAATTATCCTTATTTTCTTGTGAATTTGGCTATGCATTTCAAAGGATGTTTGCTTCATTTTATTTGGCATTTCTAACAAGTTTTTCAGAATATTTGGAACACCATATGTATTACTGGAAATGGAAGTTCCCTAGGAAGGGTCTTTATAATTCACAACTGAGGGGAAAGGGGGAACGGGAAACAATGGCTGAGGTTGTGGAAGTGGTGACTCAGCTCATAAGCCACCCTCTTATCTGCTTGCAGTTCCTGCAAGTGGAGGAACGAGAGCTGGGGAGCCCATACACAGGACCTGAAGCCCTAAAGAAAGGCCCTCTGCTCATCAAGAAAGTGGCTACCAACCAGGGTCCCAAAGCCCAACCTCAGGAAGAAGGCCCTACAGATTTGCCATGTCCCCCAGACCCTGCTTCTGATACTAAGGACGTATCCAGGAGTACCACAACCACCACCAGTGCTACCACCGTTGCCACTGAGCCCACATCCCAAGAGACAGGCCCAGAGCCTAAAGGCAAGGACAGTGCCAAAAGGTTCTGTGAGCCCATCGGGGAGAAGAAGAGTCCAGCCACCATCTTCCTGACTGTCCCAGGTCCCCACTCTCCAGGGCCCATCAAGTCACCCAGACCCATGAAATGCCCTGCCTCCCCATTCGCATGGCCGCCCAAGAGGCTGGCTCCCAGCATGTCCTCGCTCAACTCCTTGGCCTCTTCTTGCTTTGACCTGGCAGATATCAGCCTCAACATTGAGTATGCACCTCTCTGCTTAATCTTTTCTAAAATCGCCTGTATGAAAAATACCTCGCTGGATGGAAAAGTAGATATGAACTTACATTTCTGTGCAAGTTGTTTTTTCACAAAATATCTTCCTAAGAGGCAGCATGGTGTGGTAGAAAGAACACAGGACAAGGGAGAGAGAGCCAAACAGGCTGTTTATGGCTCTAGCTGCGTACTGACTATAAAATAGATGCTGGACTCTGGTTGGTAAGGTCCCTTCCAGCAGAACCATTGAGTTATACTGGGATGACATGGAAAGCTTAATATGTAGAATTATGTAATAAATGGCTGTCATTTATGAAGGGTTTACTATGGGCTTAGCATGTTACCTGATTTAATTCAACCTTCACAATAACCCTACAAGATGGAACTATCATAAAAGTTTAATAAATTCATCCAAGGTCCCAAAAGGAATCATGATACAAAGGCAGATTCCACTTCAGGGTTCCCGTTCTTCCTACTATGAAGTAGGATAATTATACATGAATGCTGGATGGAACTGAATTCCATCTGAAAGTAAACTCACTGTGAATTATTATCCTACATGGCTCTATACTCCTCAAGCAGGAATGCTTCTTTGTCTTTGGGGGTGGCGGAAGAGGGCCAATGCTTGTTATGGCGAGAGAAGTGATGGGCTCTTTCTTTACAGAGGTGGGGACCTCAGGCGACGGCAGCTGGGTGAGATTCAGCTCACAGTGCGCTATGTGTGTCTGCGGCGCTGCCTCAGCGTGCTAATCAATGGCTGCAGGTAAAGGGATTCTAGGGCCAGGGAGGTCCTTTGGGAGCATCAGGTGACCATAAATCAGAGTAGGGACACTCAGAGCAATGAAAAGGGCACATAGTCCCAAGATAAATAACACTTTGGGGGAAAAATGAGATTTGAAGGCCTGAACACTGTAATCAAGTCCTCAAAGGGGCACTTTGGCCATCATTCTTCAGTGATGCTGATGGGCTCAAGAGCCAAGGGCTTTGCTCAGACGCAACCACTGCAAGACTGTCTGGAGTGGCTGGTAGCCAGTACATTTTCCAAGTGAGAATCTCAAACTTCCCTTAGAAGGAAAGTACTTGCTCTACTCCAAGCATTATAAAGATGCGTGTTATCAAAAACATTCATCTGATATTTTGTCCTCTAAATTCTACAGGCTATTACTTTTGATCATCAGGACCACTGAGCATTTTTATCCTTAAGCGTATCTAATGCTGAATGGCTAATATAGCCTTCTCTCAAATGTTTGAAGTGTTTGAAACTCTCAAACACTGAAACTCTCAAATGTTCAGTGTTTGAAAACCAGGGCCCTTTTTTTTTTTTCCTAATGTCTTTGACACCAAATCAGAAACCTAACACCATGTACCAGCAGTGGAGCTGATCCCTACGTCCGTGTCTACTTGTTGCCAGAAAGGAAGTGGGCATGTCGTAAGAAGACTTCAGTGAAGCGGAAGACCTTGGAACCCCTGTTTGATGAGACGTAAGTGGGCTGGTGGCCTGCCTAGAGTGCCTCACCCATTCAAGTATTTTCCAAGTACCTGTTATGTTGCCTGGCAGCCTGCCAGATGCTGGAAGGGGCTATGGCTGAACAAGACAACATAGTCTATGACTTCATGAAGCTTCTGTACGTTAGTGGGGAAAATGGAGTGCCAGAGAAGTTTATCAAAATGGCCACCTACATTTACTGCTCATAGAGGCTAAAGTGTTCCTGAATATGGAATGTTCCCTACTCTTTCTGTTTAAATGAAGTCTCTCTGGTAGTAAAAAGATTTGAATGTTCAAATATTTTTTTGATCTGTTTTAATTCCAGCAGTTAAACATTCCTTGAGCCTGAGGACCTAAAGTTTCCTCTAAAGCTTGAAGCTCTTTGGCCTGTCTTCCCTCCTGCAACAAAACATAGGTGATGGGTAGAGGAGATACCCTCCCCTTCTCCACAAAGGCTTGTCCACCTATGTCCTTGGGGACAAGGGTGACTCTAATCACATTAATTGCTTTTGATGGGCCAGTGGTGGCAAGTCTCATCCCAAATATTTTTATTCTTAGAAGTCTGAATCTCATCAGCGTGTACCTTCTGCTTCAGGGTTCTAAAAAGACATTTCTAGCCAGCTTAGGAAAATATTACATCTCATAATTTTCCTGGCCAATAACTTTTTTAAAAAGGGTTACACTGAGTCCTCTTTGGGCCATATCTAAGAACTATTATGTTCCTTCAAGAGCTACACTTTGAGTTCATCAGTATCAAGAAAAGGGTATGAGGAAGAGAGACTATTCATTCAACATTTACTGAATGCTTTATGCCAGGCAGCATCCTATACTCTAGAGCCACACAAGTAAGAGATTTTGCCTTCAAAGGGAGCTCTGACATAATTATAAAAAGATGTCAAAATTGTGGTGTGGTAGCTACTACGTGGCTAAGGGATTAAAAAAAATTATGTGGGAATATATGAGGGAAGAGGTTTAACATTTGACTTTGACTTTTGTGACAAACCTAAATCTGTTACTAATTCTCAAAAGTATGACAGCAAGATAAGCCTGGACTATCTGGAAGGCAGAGTTGGCAGCCTCCACCCTAAAAATAAACCTAAAAGTAAGAGGTTTCCTCTGCCTTACTCCATAGGAGGTGGCCACTGTTTTCCATGCAACTGTAGCAAACCTAACTGCTCAGTGTTCTAGCCCTTAGCTGGTAAGAAAAAAACTGAGAAGGGGGTTGAGGTGGTCCTGTGAATAGGTACTGTTCAGGGTGAGGAGGGCCAGCTAAAAGAGTGGTAGCCAGGGGCAGGTGTGGTGGCTCACGCCTGTAATCCCAGCACTTTGGGAGGCTGCGGCAGGCAGATTATCTGAGGTCGGGAGTTTGAGACCAGCCTGACCAACATGGTGAAACCCTGTCTCTACTAAAAACACAAAAAATTAGCCAGGTGTGGTGGTGCATGCCTGTAATCCCAGCTACTCGGGAGGCTGAGGCAGAATTGATTGAACCCAGGAGGCAGAGGTTGCGGTGAGCCAAGATCGCGCCATTGCACTCCAGCCTGGGCGACAGAGCGAAACTCCGTCTCAAAAAGAAGAGTGGTAGCAAAGGTAGAATTGGAGAAAGATAGATGCAAACTAAGCCACAGCAGTCTGAGGCACTTCTAGGCAAACAGCCTCTTAATACTTCTGGATTTTGTGAACAACACTGGACAGTGATTATTTGTAATAATGATACATCGTGAGTAGTTATGAGCCAGTCCTGCTCTAGGTGCTCCTAATAGTCTGTACCTTTCTGTTTTAGTAGGGAAATGGATGAAGCACTTTAGATTTTCAAGAAAACTGAATGAAATGCATAATTCTCACTTCCTTTTTGCTTCCTAAAGATTTGAATTTTTTGTTCCCATGGAAGAAGTAAAGAAGAGGTCACTAGATGTTGCAGTGAAAAATAGTAGGCCACTTGGCTCACACAGAAGAAAGGAGTTAGGAAAAGTAAGTACAAGAGATATTTGATATACCAAGGAGATTATGATCAATTCGCCTTATCCCAATTTCTTTCCTTAATGCAGTGTTTTGGAGGGGAACTAATTATTTGTGATTATTTAGGTACTGATTGACTTATCAAAAGAAGATCTGATTAAGGGCTTTTCACAATGGTAAGTGTGCCCTTTCATTTTATCACTGTTATCCTGCTATTCAAGACAGTTTTCCCTTTTCAGTACTGTTTCAGCTCCTTTGGTTATCAAGAAGGGAGGGAGATGAACACCTTTATTTAAGGCTTTACTGCCTGCAGATCTCACTGATACCCTAAAAGACACCTGTAAACTCTAGCCTTAACCCTGAACCCTGGCTGGCCAACTTACAGAGAGACAGGTTCTGCTGGTCTTACAGAGGCCCAGGCAGGCAGGACTAGGCAGTTTGTCCTGTTACCACAACACACTGTCATTACTAACGTTAAGTCCAAACGTAACTGTCTTACAGGTATGAGCTGACTCCAAATGGACAGCCCAGAAGCTGATGATGAGAATTCTTATCACTCACCTTTATATTAAAATGTATATATATGTATATATTTTTTCCTTTGGATCACTTACATCCAATATATGTATATTTTGTCATTTAAATCAGAACAACCACTTGAAATTATATACATACAATTCTTGTGTGGAATTTAACTCCATGACTGAATAGCATAAGGAAGAGGTTATTTAAAAGCAAGAACTACTTTTTTTGGTTGGATTTTTTTGTTCAAGTCCAGAAAGAAATGTTATATTTGTGCCTACTAAATTATCCAAACCTCAGTGTTTATATACTTAAACAAGTGCCACTTTTTAGTAGGTAATTATATACCATCTGATTTAGGACTTACCTGAATGTATGTACCAGAAAGTGTCCTGCCTCTGGCATAGGGGCTGGGGGAGGTCTGTTTCTGGAGCCACTACCAGCATTCCTGGGCAGTGACTGGCCAAAGGGAAGTCACTTTTTTATGGAAATAGAAAGTGACCCAACTCAAAACTGCCAAGAGCTAACACTGCCAAAGCCCTTCTGGCTGCCACCTGTGGTACTTGTATGCCTGGATATTTGTTCTTTTATTTGACCTGGAGCTAAAAATGTATTTCCCTACTGGCAAAAATGTTATACTGATATACTTAAATACCTTGAGTTAAATACTCTTGTGTAGTCTAAGGGCCAAACTCCAGCGTGTAGCATTATTTCCATAGGAAAATGCAAACCAAGTTCCAAGCCCAGGTCTATGTCTGACTCTCATAGCAAAGCACTGGAGACTGCTGAAGAGTGTCACCATCAGAGAAAAGGAAGCTTTCAGATAAGTTTAGGCTATTCAACTTTTCTAAAGAGATGGTTGGTTCACCTAAATAACATGTTAAAAGCAAAGTATTAAATTATATGCTTAAACAAGCGCCTCTTTTACATTTCAGACTTTACAAGACCAAATATACTTCTCATCCCCTCCAACATTCCTGGACCTCCTCTTCTCTCTTACCAACACCAACACTACCTGCCGTCAGTTTTCTGTCTCTGCCTCTGCCTTCACTGCCACTTTTCTGAAGCAGGGCAACATTCGAGAACAAAGTTTTGTCATGTTACTCTTATTCCAGTTTCCTGCCATCTGATTCACATGCAGATGTTCTATTCCAGAGTAGTCCAAATACTATGCTCTGCTGACTCAAGTCATGTCTCAAACCTATTTCCTCTATTAAGTAAGTCAGTCAATCCATAGTGAAATGGACTCTTCCTACCGCCTGTAGCATTTACTGTTGATACTGAGTATTTTCCATTTTAATAGTTCCCAGCCTTTATAACACTAAGTTTTAAGAAATGTTGATTAGGCATCTGCTAAGGTTACATGCTAAGCAGCTACTTATATTGTATTTGGTATTTAATTTTGTTTATTCTCCAGTTGAACAGTAGGGAACAATTCAAGCTACTTGAATTGTTTTTCACCCTCACCATCCAAGACCGTGTTAAGTACATAGAAGATGCATGGTGAAATTCGTTTCTGCTGAGGTTTCTATTTTAAATGGCAAATTCTCATAATAAAATGGAGCATTGATGCCTACCCTGTCTACCTTATGATGGCATTCTAATTGCCCCCTAAATAGACAAGTGCCTTGAAAATGGAGAAGCACCAGAGAAATAAGGGAATGTATCATATGTACATCGAAACATTAGCAACCCTAAAACAGCTAATCAAAATGGCAGATAAGTGAAAACCTACCCCTCTTCTTCCAAACTTAAACCACAAACATTTATTTTAAACGTGGTCAATTGAACCGTTTTTACCTGTGTCAGGCAACACAGGTAAATACCTGGTGATGGTCTGAAGAGGAGTTAAAATGTTGAAGGGAACCAGAATTTTAGTACACAGCAGACAGGAGGCAAGGTTATATAGGCGCTGTGTGAGGGGCAGGGAGCCTGAAAAGTTGTTAATACCTTGGCTGCCACTGAGGACAAGAATTGGTTTTCAGCAGTGGGTGGAAACAATCAGCTAATATGCAGGAGCATAGGGTCTGAAGTTAACATCATCTTGGTACAGAAACCCCCAAACCTAAGACGGAATGTGAATATTGGTTTAGAACCTGGAAGCCTGTGAAGCCTTGATGGAGGCAACCATAAAATTGGCCCCACAGGGTTGCCACTCCCATCCAGGGCACATATGCGACAACTGCAGCAGATGGCTGTCACTAAAGGGAAACTCACGGGCAAAAATAAATTATGAAACAAAACAAAAACAGACTTTAAAAAAAATACAAAGTACACAGGAATATCAAACTGAAAAATAGCCATAGATAATATTTCAGCCAGAAGGAAAATGTACCAGTAAGGCAGAAATAGCATGTGAGAAGCAGTGGAAAGCAAAGAAATCCATAAAATACATTGGCAAACCTAAGCAAGTTTTGATGATGATTGTTCACAAGATATAAACAAATAACCAAAGATTTTTGCAAGGGTTCAGAAACATAGTAGAACTAAAATGTTAGTACTAACAACTAAGAAGGGGCAGCTAGGCTGATTAAGAAAGTAAGTATTCAAGACCATATCTTATTTAGGAAGCTAAAGATACTCATCTTAAAAATATAACTGTGTCAGTCACTAATTCATTACCTCTCAGCTTCAAATTGACGTCTGTCTCCTTTGCTGCTTTCCCGGCAGGCTGATGTTTGGCTTTGCCAATAGGGGGCGATGGAAGGACACTCTATAGCAGGAAGAAGGGGCTTTTCTTCTGATGTTTTCCATGGCTGCTAGCTAATTGGCATACAGAGCTGTTCTCAATCAATCACCTAAGTACCCCCACAGTTTACCCTTGGCTCATGGCCTTCATGTTTTATCAGCAGGCAACACCTTTTGGCAAGTTTCTTAGCCACAAGTGGGTTGCATGGTCCTATGGCTGCCAGCGGAAATCTAAATCTCAGCCTGGTAGGGAGGCACTTAGTTTCTAACTTCCTTTCTTGTTCACTCTCCCTTACCCCTGGGGGTAAGGATCTGCATCCTGAAGTTGATATTCTGTATCCCCTAGAGTCCACTTCTACCCCGTTTAGTAGTAAATACAAGAATTGCTAACTAGTAAAAGGTGGTTAAGTTTTTCATGTTTGGTTACCTGTGCAATGTGGTTTCTGTCTCCTAAGTATGTATTCAAAATTGCAAGATAACTATGAAAATAGAGTAATAGCAGAAAGCCAATAAAGTTGATATATACAACTTCCAAATTAGCAGTGAAGAAGAAAAGGTTATAAAGAAAAATCAACCCTGCAAAACGTAGGAGGGGAAAGCAAAGACATAGTAGACAATACAAAAGATGGTCAAGATACGTCTAAATATATTTGTAATTACAATAAACAACACTATTAAAATCTAGAATGTCAAAAGTAAAAAGCAGTTATATGCTGTTTATAAGAGGTTCACATGAAACAGAAATGTTGAAAGTAAAAAGATTAAAAGATCCATCCAAGAATCATTTAGATTTCTGTTTATATTAATGGCAGCAAACAATATATTAAGAAACAGATGCTCCCTATTGCCACTTCTGTTCAACAATGTATTGCAGCCTGAGTAATAATAGGGCAAAAATAGGTACATCTAACCAAAACTTCTATGTGCAGATGATATGATCATGAGCATGAAATCCAAGATAATCTAAATTGCTAGAATTAACCAGAAAGTCTTCAGCAAGCTTGCTTGATACAATGTTAAAAAAACTGTAGTTCTGTTCCCTAAGAGAAAATAAGTGCATAAAAATATCAATCTATATGAATACATTCAACAACCCCTATAAGAAAACTAAAACTTTTTAAATAAATGTTAAACCTAAAATGGAGAGCTATGCCACGTTTGAGGTTGGAAAACCCAACAAATGCCATTTCTCTCCAAATTAATTATATGTTTAATGAAAGCCCAATAAATCAACAGGTTGTGTGTGTAACTTGATAAGCAGATTCAATGTACATGGAACTACAAAAGGTAGAAAGCCGCCTACTCAACGCCAAAGTTCATTTTCAAGCTGTAATAACTAAGACAGAATGGTACTAGTGCAGGGAGCCAACTGGGCCAAAAGAACAGAAAAGAGCCCAGAAACAGACCCATTCACATATACTCAATTTATGACAGAGGTAGCACTGTGAACAAAGGGAAAAGATAGACTTTTCAATAAAAGGTGCTGGGACAATTGGATATTCATGTGAGAAAATACGAAATGGTCCTTTACTCATATCACATTAAAAAATCAATCAACTCCAGGTATATTAGACTGTGTAAAGCAAAACTATACAGCTGTAAGATAATATAGGAGAATAATTTCACAACTTGTGACTAAGGCAAGATTTCATAACACGCAAAGAGCACTAACTAAAAGACCACACATCTCTCCGTGAAAATTAGGTACTTCTGTTCATAAAAATAAACTATAGGCTGGTGCGGTGGCACACACTTTTAGTCCCAACTACTTGGAAGGCCGAGGTGGGAGGGACCACTTGAGCCCAGGTGTTCAAAGGCCAGCCTGGGCAACACAGTGAGATCCCATCTTTTTTTTTTTGAGATGGAGTCTCGCTCTGTCACCCAGGCTGGAGTGCAGTGGCATGATCTCAGCTCACTGCAACCTCTGCTTCCTGGGTTCAAGTGATTCTCCTGCCTCAGCCTCCTCAGTAGCTGGGACTACAGGCACATGCCACCATGCCAGGCTAATTTTTTGTATTTTTAGCAGAGACAGGGTTTCACTGTGTTAGCCAAGATGGTCTCGATCTCCTGACCTCGTGATCTGCCCGCCTCGGCCTCGCAAAGTGCTGGGATTACAGGCATGAGCCACCACGCCCGGCCGAGATCCCATCTCTTTAAAAAACAAAAAACAAAAAACAAACAAAAAAAACACTATGGGAGGGCCGGACACGGTGGCTCACACCTGTAATCCCAGCACTTTGGGAGGTCAAGGCAGGCGGATCACGAGGTCAGGAGATGGAGACCATCCTGGCTAACACAGTGAAACTCCACCTCTGCTAAAAATACAAAAAATTAGCAGGGCATGGTGGCACGCGCCTGTAGTCCCAGCTACTCAGGAGGCTGAGGCAGGAGAATCACTTGAACCCGGGAGGCGGAGGTTGCAGTGAGCCGAGATCCTGCCACTGCATGTCTCAAAAAAAAAAAAAAAACAAGAAAACAAAAACAAACACTATGGGAAAATGGAAAGATAGGTCACAGAATGGAAGAAGACATTTGTAACACATATAGCTGTCAAAGTGCTCATGTCCAGAATATATAAGTAACTTTTACAAATTACTAAGTTAATCCAATAGAAAAATGGGCAAAAGACACAGAAGCACTTCAAAAATGACATACAAAAGTCCAATAAACAAAGGAAAAGTTGCTTCATTAGTGATCATCAGGGAAATAAATAATATTAAAACGACAATAATAGCTCTATACATTGGCAAAAAGGATGTGGCAAAGTGGGAGGTTTCATGCATTGCTGTGGGAGGAGTATAAATGGGTACAACCACTTTGGAGAATAGTTTTGCATTTTCTCCTAAAGTTGAAGATAACATTCCCTACCAAAGTCACCACTCTGTACACCTCCAGAAGCTTCATTCATGTTGTTATCTATAGAAATGCTACTGCCTCAAGTTGTACAGTAGTACATGGCCTGTGTGGCTATACACATTTCCCCTTTGTTTCCCCTATGACCCAGTTGTATATATCTCAGTTCTGGATATATACTCTAGAAAACCTGTATACAAGTGTATGACGATGCACGTTGATAGCAGTACTATTCACAGTAGCCAAGAACTGAAAATGACCCAAACGCCAACTTCTAGTAGAACAAATGAATTGTGGAATATTCATAGATGGAATACTATAGAGCAATGAGAACAAATGACCTGAACCTAACAAAAACAACATGGATGCACAGTACAAACGTAATACTGAACGAAATACATAATTTTAATATACACAATATGATTCCAGCTTTATAAAAACAGTCAAAACTACATTGGTTTAGGCATATACAGACACACAAAAGTGGCAGAGGTATTTGGAAAAAAAAACCAAGGAAGTGATAAAAGTCAGGAAAATAGGAGGGAGGGGAGAAGGTGGGGAAGGATTACCAGGGGCAAAGAAAACTTTTGGCATGATGAGTATGTCTTGTTAGATTGTGGTGATGATTTCACAGGTGTATAGTATATATCAGAACTTATCAAATTGTGTGTATACTTTGAATATGTACAGTTTATTATATGTCAAGGATACATCAATAAAACTTTTAAAATCAACATTTTACATTTTAAATATTGTTAATAACTGCACTATTCTTATTTATATTTTTAATAATAAAAATTGGATAAAAGTGGATCCGATAGGGAAAGCCTAAAGCTATTTCTATTAGTGGCACTATCCTTCTCAGTGGCCCTTGAGGCACCTTCAATAAAGCCCTAGCCCTCTGAAGAAGAGTTTGAAAATTTCTGTTTTAAACTAAGTCTTAACCACAGGCTCTTAAGCCAGCTGACAAAATTTATATTAATTTTTAAATTACATTTCTTTCCAAATAGTCTCACAGCAATTTCCTGTAATAATTTTTTTGGAGATACATGCAAACTTTGATACTGCCAATAATTTTTAATTTTCAATTTTTGTGGGTACATAGGTATATATATTTATGGAGTACATGAGATATTTTTATACAGGTCTGCAATGTGTAACAATCACATCATGGAAAATGGGGGTAGCCATCTCCTCAAGCATTTATCCTTTGTTTTACAAACAATCGAATTATACTTTATTATATTAAAATGTACAACTGAATTATTTTGACTATAGTCACCCTGTTGGGCTATCAAACAGTAGGTCTTATTCATTCTATTTTTTTAATACCCATTAACCATCCCCACCTCCCCTCCACCCTCACCCCCACTATCCTTTCCAGCCTCTGGTAACCATCCATGAATTTAATCATTTTGATTTTGGATCCTACTAATAAATGAGAACATGTGATGTTTGTCTTTCTGTGCCTGACTTGTTTCACTTAACATAATGATCTTCGAGTTCCATCCATGTTGCAAATGACAAGATCTCATTCTTTAAGGCTGAATAGTATTCCATTGTGTATGAGTACCACATTTTCTTTATCTACTCATCTGTTGATGGATACTTAAGTTGTTTCCAAATATTGGCTATTGTGGACAAACATGGGAGTGCAGGTTATCTCTTTGATATACTGATTTCCTTTCTTTTGGGTAGATATGTAGCAGTGGGATTGCTGGATCTTACAGCAGCTCTATTTTCAGTTTCTTGAGGAACCTCTAAACTGTTCTCCATAGTGGTTGTACTAATTTAAATTTCCACCAGCAGTGTACAAGGGTTCTCTTTTCTCCACATCCTCACCAGCATTTAATATTGCCTGTCTTTTGGATAAAATCCATTCTAACTAGGGTAAGATGATATCTCATTGTAGTTTTGATCTGCATTTCTCTGATGATCAATGATGTTGAGCACATTTTCATATGCCTGTTTGCCATTTATCACTTCTTTTTTGACAAATGTCTATTCAAATCCTTTGCCCATTAATTGGATTAGATTTTCTTCCTATAGAGGTGTTTGGACATACAGCTTATATATTCTGGTTATTAATCCCTTTGAGAGGTGACAGCATGCTGGCAGTCCTCACAGCCCTCGCTCGCTCTCAGCGCCTCCTCTGCCTGGGCTCCCACTTTGGCAGCACTTGAGGAGCCCTTCGGCCCACCACTGCACTGTGGGAGCCCCTTTCAGGGCTGGCCAAGGCCGGAGCCGGCTCCCTCAGCTTGCAGAGAGGTGTGGAGGGAGAGGCGCGAGCAGGAACTGGGCCGGTGCTTGCGGGCCAGCTGGAGTTCTGGGTGGGTGTGGGCTTGGCGGGCCCCACACTCGGAGCAGCCGGCCGGCCCTGCCAGCCCCAGGTAATGACGGGCTTAGCACCTGGGCCAGTGGCTGCAGAGGGTATACTGGGTCCCCCTGCAGTGCCAGCCCACCGGCGCTGCACTCAATTTCTCACCAGGCCTTAGCTGCCTTCCCACAGGGCAGGGCTCGGGACCTGCAGCCCACCATGCCTGAGCCTCCCACCCCCTCCATGGGCTCCTGTGTGGCCCGAGCCTCCCCGACGAGCACCGCCCCCTGCTCCACAGCACCCAGTCCCATCGACCACCCAAGGGCTGAGGAGTGCAGGCACACGGCGTGGGACTGGCAGGCAGCTCCACCTGCAGCCCTGGTGTGGGACCCACTGGGTGAAGCCAGCTGTGCTCCTGAGTCTGGTGGGGCCTTAGAGAAGCTTTATGTCTAGCTCAAGGATTGTAAATACACCAATCGCACTCTGTATCTAGCTCAAGGTTTGTAAACACACCAATCAGCACCCTGTGTCTAGCTCAGGGATTGTAAATACATCAATCAGCACACTGTGTCTAGCTCAGGGTTTGTGAATGCACCAATTGACACTGTATCTAGCTACTCTGGTGGGGCCTTGGAGAACCTTTATGTCTAGCTCAGGGATTGTAAATACACCAATTGGCACTCTGTATCTAGCTCAAGGTTTGTAAACACACCAATCAGCAGCCTGTGTCTAGCTCAGGGTTTGTGAATGCACCAATTGACACTCTGTATCTAGTTACTCTGGTGGGGCCTTGGAGAACCTTTGTGTCGACACTCTGTATCTAGCTAATCTGGAGGGGATGTGGAGAAACTTTGTGTCTAGCTCAGGGATTGTAAACGCACCAATCAGCGCCCTGTCAAAACAGACCACTCAGCTCTACCAATCAGCAGGATGTGGGTGGGGCCAGATAAGAGAATAAAAGCAGGCTGCCTGAGCCAGCAGTGGCAACCGGCTCGGGTCCCCTTCCACACTGTGGAAGCTTTGTTCTTTTGCTCTTTGCAATAAATCTTGCTACTACTCACTCTTTGGGTCCACACTGCTTTTATGAGCTGTAACACTCACTGCGAAGGTCTGCAGCTTCACTCCTGAAGCCAGCGAGACCACGAGCCCACCGGGAGGAACGAACAACTCTAGACGTGCCGCCTTAAGAGCTGTAACACTCACCGCAAAGGTCTGCAGTTTCACTCCTGAGCCAGCGAGACCACGAACCCACCAGAAGGAAGAAACTCTGAACATATCCGAACATCAGAAGGAACAAACTCCAGACACGCCACCTTAAGAGCTGTAACACTCACCGTGAAGGTCCGCGGCTTCATTCTTGAAGTCAGACCAAGAACCCACCAATTCCGGACACACCTTGTCAGATGGGTAGTACTGGGGGAACCCACCCCCAATATTTCAATGTAGGTTCTATTTTCCCTAAGTGTTGGCCGGCTGAGAAAGAGTACAAAGAGAGGAATTTTACAGCTGGGCCTCCGAGGGTGACATCACATATCAGTAGGTCCGTGATGCCCACCTAAGCCTTAAAGCCAGCAAGTTTTATTAAGGATTTCAAAAGGGGAGGGGGTGCAAGAACAGGGAGTAGGTCACAAAGATCACATGCTTCAGAGGGCAAAAAGGAAAACAAAGATCACATGCTTCTAAGGACAAAATCAAAAACTCCTGATAAGGGTCCAACAAAGATCACAAGACAAAGGGCAAAAGCAAAGATCACAAGGCAAAGGGCAAAAACAAAGATCATAAGACAAAGGGCAAAAACAAAGATCACAAGACAAAGGGCAAAAACAAAGATCACAAGGCAAAGGGCAAAAACAAAGATCACAAGGCAAAGGGCAAAAGCAGAATTACTGATAAAAGTCTATGTTCAGCGGTGCACATATTGTCTTGATAAACATCTTAAACAACAGAAAGCAGGGTTCGAGAGCAGAGAACTGGTCTGACCTCAAATTTACCAGGGCAGGGGTTTTCCCCACCCTAGTAAGCCTGAGGGTACTGCAGGAGACCAAGGCGTATTTCAGTCCTTATCTCAACTGCATAAGACAGACACTCCCAGAGCGGCCATTTATAGACCTCCCCCCAGGAATGCATTCCTTCCCCAGGGTATTAATTATCAATATTCCTTGCTAGGAAAAGAATTTAGTGGTATCTTCCCTACTTGCACGTCCGTTTATAGGCTCTCTGCAAGAAGAAAAATATGGCTCTATTTTGCCCAACCCTGCAGGCAGTCTGACCTTATGGTTGTCTTCCCTTGTTCCCTGATAATCGCTGTTATTGTTCTTTTTCAAGGTGCACTGATTTCATATTGCTCAAACACACGTTTTACAATCAATTTGTACAGTTAACACAGTTATCACTGTGGCCCTGAGGTGACGTACATCCTCAGCTTACAAAGATAACAGGATTAAGAGATTAAAGACAGGTGTAAGAAATTATGAAAGTATTATTTGAGAACTGGTAAATGTCCATGAAATCTTCACAATTTATGTCCTCTGCTGCGGCTCCAGCCATTCCCTCCATTCAGGGTCCCTGACTTCCCACAACAGGGTAGTTTGCAAATATTTTCTCCCATTTTGTGCGTTGTTTTTTCACTTTGTTGACTGTATCCTTTGCTGTGGAGCAGCTTTTTAACTTGATGTGACCTCATTTGTCCATGTTTGCTTTGGTTGCTTCTGCTTGTGGGATATTACTCAAGAAATCTTTGTCCAGGCTAATGTATTAGAGATTTTCCCCAATGTTTTCTTGTAGTAGTTTCATAGTTTTGACGTCTTAGATTTGCCTTTAATTCGTCTTTATTTCATTTCTGTATAAGGTGAGAGTTTGGGGCTTATTTTCCTTCTTTTGCATATGGATATCCAGTTTTCTGAGCACCATTTATTGAAGAGACTGTTTTTTCTCAGTGTGTCTTCTTGGCACCCTTATCAAAAATGAGTTCACTGTAGGTGTGTGGATTTGTTTTTGTGATCTCTATTCTGTGCCATTGGTCTATGTGTCTGCTTTTATGCCAGTACCATGCTGTTTTGGTTACTATAGCTCTGTAGCATAATTTGAAGTAAGGAAGTGTGATTCTTTCAGTTTTGTTCTTTCTGCTCAGGATAGCTTTGGCTATTCTGGGTCTTCTATGGTTCCATAATACATTTTAGCATTGTTTTTTCTATTTCTGTGAAGAATGTCACTGGTATTTTGATAGGGATTGCACTGAGTCTGTAGATTGCTTTGGGTAGTATGGATATTTTAACAATATTAATTGTTCCAATCCATGAACACGGAATATCTTTCCATTTTCTGGTATCCTTTTCAATTTCTGTCATCAGTGTTTTATAGTTTTCATTGTAGAGATGTTTCACATCTTTGGTTCAGTTAATCCCTATTTAATTGTATTTGTGACTCTTGTAAATGGGATTTACAAGAGTAAATTTCCAATTTCTTTTTCAGATTGTTTAGTGTTGGCATATAGAAAGTCTACTTATTTTTTGGCCTGGCACAGTGGCTCATGCCTGTAATGCCAGCACTCTGGAAGGCTGAGGTGGGTAGATCACTTGAGGTCAGGCATTCAAGACCAGCCTGGCCAACATGGTGAAACCCAGTCTCTAGTAAAAATACAAAAATTAGCTGGGCATGGTGGTGGGTGCCTGTAATCCCAGCTACTCAGGAGGCTGAGGCAGGAGAATCACTTGAACCTGGGAGGTGGAGGTTGCAGTGAGCCGAGACTGTGCCATTACACTCCAGTCTGGGCGATAAGAGCAAAACTCCGTCGAGACGAGGGGGAGGGGGAGGGGGAGGGGGAGGGAGAGGCAGAGTCTACTTATTATTTTTTTTTTTTTTGAGACAGAGTCTTGCTCTGTCACCCAGGCTGGACTGCAGTGGCGCGATCTGGGATCACTGCAAGCTCCGCCTCCCGGGTTCATGCCATTCTCCTGCCTCAGCCTCCCGAGTAGCTGGGACTACAGGCGCCTGCCACCACGCCTGGCTAATTTCTTTTTGTATTTTTAGTAGAGATGGGGTTTCACCGTGTTAGCTAGGATGGCTACGATCTCCTGACCTTGTGATCCGCCCACCTCGGCCTCTCAAAGTGCTGGGATTACAGGCATGAGCCACCACGCCCAGCGATCTACTTATTTTTGTATGTTGATTTTTTATCCTGCAATTTTACTGAATGTGTGGGTTCTAGTTTTTTGATGGAGTCTTTAGGTTTTTCCAAATATCATATTCATCTGCAAATAAGGATAATTTGACTTCTTCCTTTCCAATTTGGATGCTCTTTCTTTCTTGTCTAATTGCTCTAGCTGGGACTTCTACTACTATTTTGAAAAACAGCGGGCAACCTTGTTGTGTTCCAGATCTTAGAGAAATGGCTTTCAGTTTTTCCCCTTTCAGTATGATACTAGCTGTGAGTTTGTCATATATGGCTTTTATTATGTTGAGGTATGTTCCTTCTACACGCAATGTTTTGAGGGTTTTCTTTTTAATCATGCAGGGATTTTGAACTTTATCAAATGCTTCTTCAGTATCAATTGAAATGATCATATGGTTTTTGCCCTTCATTCTGTTGCTATGATGTATCACATTGATTGATTTGCTTATGTTGAATCTTCCTTGCATCCCTGGGATAAATCCTACTTCATCATGATGAATGATCTTTTTAATCTGTTGTTTAGTTTGCTAGATATTGTTGAGGATTTTTCCATCAATATTCATCAGAGATACTGGCCTGTAGTTTTTTTTTTTTTTTTTTTTTTTTGCCACCTAAGCCTCCCGAGTAGCTGGGCCTACAGGTGCACACCACCATGCCTGGCTAATTTTTGCATTTTTTGTAGAGACAGGGTTTCCCCATGATGGCCAGACTAGTCTCAAACTCCTGACTTCAAGTGATCCACCTGCCTCAGCCTCCCAAAGTGCTGGGATTACAGGTGTGAAGCCACCACACCTGGCCTAGTTTTCTTTTGATGTGTCTTTGGTTTTGCTATCAGGGTAATACTGGCCTCACAGAATGAGGTTGGAAGTATTCCCTTCTCCTCCATTCTTCAGAATAATTTGAGTAGAATTAGTATTAGTTCTTCTTTAAATGTTTGGTAGAATTCAGCAGTGAAGCCATTGGTTCTCAGGCTTTACTGGGAGACTTATTACAGCTCAGATCTCATTACTTGTACTGGTTTGTTCAGGTTTTGGATTTCATGTTCATGGGTCAATCTTGGGAGGTTTTATGGGTCTAGGAATTTATCCATTTCCTCTAGATTTTCCAATTTATTGGCATATAGTTGTTCACAGTAGCCACTAATAATCCTTTAAATTTCTGCAGTATCAGTTGTAATGTCTTTTATCATCTCTGATTTTATTTGAGTCTTCCTTTGTTAGTCTGACTAAAGGTTTTGTCAATTTTCTTTGTTTTCAAAAAACCAACTTTTGTTTCATTGATTTTTTGTATTGTTTTCTTCATTTCTAATTCATATATTCCTGTGTTTATCTTTATTATTTTTCTACAAATTTTGGGCTCAGTTTGCTCTTGCTCTTCTAGTTCTTTAACCTTTTCCTGTTTAGAAAAAAAAAAAAAGTGCAGCTCGCTGCCAGTGCTCATTCCATTTTACGTAAACATGCTCTTTGAGGCTGAGGCAAATCTGATTTTCAATGTGAAAATAAAATATAAAAACTGTTCTTGTAGTTATTTCTAAACAAAACTAACGTCAGAATCATTGGAATCATAAGAATCATCTATTTCAGAAAAATCAGATTCGTCAAATGAATCTTCAGCCAACACCTGTTTGAGAATGACCTTAACATCACCTGTAGGAATGCTACATTTTCTAGGATTTGACAATTTCAGCAACTGACAATTACTGCATTTTGTAAATGGAAATACCACTACTAAAAACAGACTGTTATAAATAGAATGATATATTTTGTTTCCAAAGTAAATATATTACAGCAATGTGAAAATAATAAAAATGAGCTATTTCATGGCAAAGTTATCTTAAGGTAAACACTGCAGCTGTAAGGACCCCTGGCAAGTATTCTCAGGGCAAATGGGAAAAGAGTGAAGATGCATCATTAGGTTATTTGAAGTTTTTCTTATTTTTTGATGTAGGCATGTATAGCTATAAATTCCTATCATACATACTACTGTTTTTGCTGTATCTCATAGGTTTTGAGATGTGTTTCAAGAAAATTTTCAATTTACTTCTTAGTTTCTTCATTCACCCACTGGTCATTCAGGGACATACTGTTTAATGTCTATGTGTTTGTATAGTTTCCAAGATTCCTATTGATTTCTACTTTTAATCCATTGTGGTCAGAGAAGATGCTTGTTATTATTTCAATGTTTTGAATGTTTTAAGACTTGTTTTGTGACATAACATATGCTCTATCCTTGATAATGATTCATGTGCTGAGGAGAATAATTTTCAGTATTCCTCAGCCTTTGGATGAAATGTTTGGTAAATATCTATTAGATTCATTTGTCCCACAGTGCAGATTAAATCTGATGTTTCTTTGTTGAGTTTCTGCCTGGAAGATCTGTCTGATGCTGAAAGTGGTGTGGTGAAGATGCCAGCTGTTATTGTATTGGGATCTCTCTCTTTAGCTCTAATAATATTTAGTTTACATATCTGCATGCTCCAGTATTAGCATAAGTATTTATAAGCCTATCGTGTTGCTGGATTGACCCCTTTATCATTATATAATGACCTTTTTGTCTCTTACAGTGTTTGCCTTGAAATCTATTTTGTCTAATATAATTATAGCTACTCCTGCTTTATTTGTTTCTAATAGCATGGAATATCTTTTTCTATCCCTTTGTTTTCAGTCTATATGCATCTTTATAGGCTAAATGTGTTTCTTGCAAGCAATAGATCATTGGGTCTTGTTTCTTCATCCATTCAGCCACTCTTTGTATTTTGATTGTAGAGTTTAGTCCATTTACCTTCAATGTTATTACTGATAAGTAGGGACTTACTCCTGCCATTTTGTTGTTTTCTGGTTGTTTTGTAGTCTTCTTTTCCCTCTTTCCTGCCTCCCTGTCTTTCTTTTAGTGAAGGTGGTTTTCTCTGGTGGTATGATTTAATTTCTTGTTTTTTATATTTTTTTAATCCATTGTATATTTTTAGATTTGAGGTTACTGAAAGGCTTACTGCAAGTTATAATTCATTATTTTAAACTGATGACAACACTGATTGCATAAACAAGCAAAAATAAAATAAAAACTCTACTGTTGATCTCTCCCAGCCACCCCCCACCGCCACCCTGCCCCACCATGGCCACCACCAATGGGACTGCATTGGATTAGACCTGAAGCCAGCACAGCACTGGGTCTTGCCCAAGGCCTGCTGTAACCACTACTTGACCACCACCTACCTCTCTCTCTCTCCCACTATGGCCACCACCACTGGGACTGCATTGGATCAGACCTGAAGCCAGCATAGCACTTGGTCTTGCCCACGGCCCACCATAACCACTACTTGACCACCACCTACATTCACTCAAGGCCCTAGAGTTCTACAATCAGCAGGTGGCAAAGCCAACTAAGTTTGTGTCTTTCCCTTCAGGGTGTCAGGTTTCCCCAGGCCCTGGGCAAGTACAGAGATGCTGTCTGGGAGCCAGGGATTAGAGTCAAAAACCATACAATTTTGCCTGATGTTCTATTCTACTGTGGCCAAATTGGCACTCAAATCACAATATGAAGTCCTTCCTGCTCTTCCTTCCCCTTTCCTCTGGCAGAGGGGCTTCTCTCTGTGGCCACCACTACCACTGGCACACAGGAGGTTCTGCTAGGCCACCACCGATGTTCACTTAAAGCCCAAAGGCTCCTCAGCCAGCTTGTGGTGAATGCTGCCAGGCCTGGGACTCACCCTGAAGGGCAGTGGGCACCCAGGGCAGGGTCCAGAAATGCTGTCCAAGAGACTAGGCTTGGATTCAGGGACCCCAAAAGCCTCAGGGACCCCAAAAGCTCTATTGTGGCTGAGCTGGTACCTAAGATGAAAAGACAAAGTCCCCTTTACTTTTCCCTCTGCTTTTCTCAAACAAGAGGAGTTTTTCATCATAGCCACCACAGTTGGGAATGTGCTAGGTCACACCTGAAGTCAGCATGTCTCAGAGCCCAAGGCCCACAGCATACTATCTGGGTATTGCTGCTAGTAATTCACAGCCCAAGGACTCTTTAGTCAGTAGGTGATGAATCCTGCCAGAACAAGGTCCTGCCCTTCAAGGCAGTGGCTTCCCTATTGACCCAAGGTGTGCCTAGAAGTGTTCATGAGCTAGGGGCTGGAATGGGGGCCTTGCGACTCTACCCAGTGCCCTAACCTACTGTGGCTAAGCTGGTATCCAAGATGCAAGGCAAAGTCCTCTTTACTCTTTGCTTTCCTTTCCTTAAGCAGAAGCAAGGAGTCACTTTCATTGCTGCCTGCCTGGGGTTGGGGGAGGAGTGGTGCAAGAACTCCCTTAGCTGCACTGGCTGGTGTCTCCCTAAGTCATGTGTCACCCTAGTCCTCCGGCTCTGAGCCCATCCAGCACTAGGAGATGCCTAGGAATTAACTGTAATCTTTGTGTCCTAGACTGCCTTTCAAGTTTACCTAGGACCCCAGAGCACTTTGGCCCACGGTGGCAAGGCTTGCCAAGAAACTCAAGTTCTGATAGCTGGAATGGACAATTCCACTCTGGCTAGGTCTGGTCCAAATGCTCCCTCCATGCATTTGCGCTGGCTTAGCCCAGCATGGCTTTACTCTCCACTATGACAAGGCAGCACTGAGTTCAATGTGAAGTGCCCCAGTTGCTGTGCTCTCCCTCCCCCAAGCACACAGACTCAGACCCCACAGTGCAGCCACTGCCAGGGGGTCAGGGAGGGGTGGCATCAGTGATTCAAAGCTATCTCTCTAACCCTCTTCAATGCCTCTTTCAGCAATATGAAGTTAAAACCAATACTGTGATTGCTCACCTGATTTTTGGTTCTTGTGATGGTGCTTTTCTGTGTGTAGATAGTTGTTAAAAGTTGGTGTTCCTGCAGTGGGAATCAATAGTGTAGGCTTCTATTCTGCCATCTTGCCCTGCCATCAATTTCTTGGAATAATTTAATCAATTCATAGTATTTACATTATTGAATATCCAAATGCTTTTTGTACCCAACCCTCAAGACACAAGGTCTTCCACAAATTGTAAGTTAGTGTTTAGAAATGTAACTGCAGGCTATCATGACAAAGAATTTTAAATCTAGAAGGAGCCTATTATCTTACGTCTGATCCCTAAGGTCATAACACCAAGGATGTGGATGCTTGTTTGCTGACATTTACTCACCATTCCACCATGCTGCTTCCTGGAAATGTGTTATAATATTCTATATGCCCACCAACAAGAATGACAGAGAAATCTTCCTAGACCTGCTGCTTATAAAAGTGGGGAAGAATAGTCCAAAGTGACTTGTACTTATGGGTATGAGGCAGAACGCTGACCCTTAAGAAAACGTGACTGCATATTGAGAATACAGAATAAACAGAAGGCAGCAAGTAAAGTACTCTTACATAAAATGCAGCAAGGATGTACAAGTTGCCCAAGGAAGGTTCAGCCTAGGAAGAGAATATGACTCATTATTTGTCAGTAATATACAAGCATCACTGAGGACACTTATGTTTGGAAATTCTTTACAGAAATTTTATTTGAGATCTCAAGTCCTTATAAAAAGTGCATTACATCAAGATTGCAAAAGACACTTTTTAAATGAGAGACTTCTATCTACTCATCCATTTTACCCTATGATTCATTTCCTACCCTAACAGAAATGATGAAACAGTTTTTCTTTCTTCCTTTTCTTCCTCCTGCTTTGAAAGGGCAACTGTCATGAGGGATATCTTAACAGAATGTGCCAATTAATCCTTGCCAGGAGAGCAGTAGCTTCCTACTGGCTAAATTTAGAGAGCCCTTGGCATTCCTTTTGGTGTGGCTCAAAGATTATTACAAGCTGAATCTAAAAGATTGCAACCTACTACTTGCAATCTGTCTCCCTGGGCTCCTCTTTTACTCACAAACTCCACTCTAAAACAACCTTAAATTTTAAGCACTCAATAATTGCTTTAGAAATGAAGGGATCTAAAGTTAATTACCTTACCCTTGCAACTATTTTCTGTATAAGAATCTCAAAGTTAATAAAAATTATACAGATGAAGAATGACCTAATACTAAGAAGGGGATGAATTCTGAGAGCAAATACATTTTACAACCCTTGTCTCAAAATAAGATCAATCCTACAAAATACAAAATGTTAAGAATACAATTTACACAGTAAAAATGATTTGATTTGTTTTCAGTATGAAAGTACTTTTAATTTCTTTACTGCAGGTACAATGGCATCCAAGTCATCAATTTCTGTAATACAAAAACAGTAATAATAAAAGAGAGTAACTTTTTCTAGTGGTAAACTCACATGAAACAAGAACCTATATGCAAAGGCAAACCCCAAACATAAAGGCAATAATACTGGTGCTTTTGTGCACATGAAGTTTTTCTCCGATAGTGATGATAGATTATCACTGATTCGGATACAGATGCTTCACAGGGGCTCTGTTTATATAAGTTACCACATACCCACAAGTACCCTCTGATTCTAGTATTAACTTCATTAGCAGCATGTCCTTATTAACAGATCCAACTGCCCACATGTGTGATATGTTAGTGTCTCATTAGATCTGTATCACTACACGGGTGCATCTACATGATGAAATCCCAGGTAGAGGCGTCTCCTCCCTAGGTCTCCACGTGAGGACTTAGGAATTTCTTCTCATAGAACAGTCTTGTCCTCTTTAATTTTCTTGGGAAGATTTCTTAGTAGTGGATCACTCTAAGATGAAAGGTATCTGCCAGCTGGGTGCAGTGGCTCATGCCTATAATCCCAGCACTTTGGGAGGCCGAGACGGGAAGATCATCTGAGGTCAGGAGTTTAAGACCAGCCTGGCCAACACGGTGAAAACCCACCTCTACTAAAAATACAAAAATTAGCTGGGTGTGGTAGTGGGCACCTGTAATCCCAGCTACTTGGGAAGTTGAGGCAGGAGAATTGCTTGAACCCCAGAGGCAGAGGTTGCAGTGAGCTGAGATTGCGTCACTGCACTCTGGCCTGGGTGACAGAGAGCAAGACTATGTCTCAAAAAAAACAATTATCTGCCTAATCAAAAAGATAGCCTCATCGAGTGTACAAACCTCAAGTACAATATATTATAGAGCTTAGCCTGGTCCAGCTTACCAGATAAACCAATCCAGGCTCTTTTTTGACAGGCTCTTTCTGAATTTGATTTTTCTTCCTAAGACTATCTTATTCCAACCAGCCTAAGTTAGAATTCACTCTCTGAAGCTCCTGGCCACCAAAGGAGCAAAATCCTTTTTCTCATTATCCAGATCCCAGCCCTACTTAAGGTAAGCCACAATGGCAGGTTCTCTAGATACCCACACTTTTTTCTAGCTTATTCTGTTAAGCCATCATTAATAAACGCGTTCCCTTACATAAAGCATGCTTTCTTGGATTCCAACTCTCTCCATTGTGTAGCTGGATCTTGGTTGCTCTTCACTTAGCCTACACACATAGCCCATGCTCTCCTACTATTCATTTAGTTCTTTTAAGCTCCCGACTTCAGTCAGAATACTTGTCTGAACCCACTAACAAAGCATCAAGATATGGGAACAGAAACAATATAAGCAAACCTACAACAGAGAATTTGTTTACAATTCCCTTACATTGTGGTAAGGTACAAGATCAAGGTATTCCCTGACTCCGCCCCCTGCCCATTCTGAAATTACACCTGTTTTCTCATTAAGTGAGAAACCTGCCTTACAAATGAACCTCACAGCAAAGGACCTTGGCCGATATGGGAATTTCCTCAGTCAATCACACCATTTACATGAGAAAAAGAATGGATTGTTTTTTTACTCACTAAAGGTACTCTCCATGTCTGTTACTCAGTATGCCACCCTGCACCTACATGCTTAGTGACACCTATTAATTAAAAAAACTGTCATGTTTGCCAGATTTAACTTTCCCAATGTTAATGTTTAACACCAGAACTTCAACTTTGACCAAATTACAGAATTCATCTCCAGAGAAACCTGGCTTTCTGAAGCAAATGATCTTTATGAACCATGCTGAGTGTCATAATATCTGAAAGGAAGTTTCTATAGAAGCATTCTGAAATAAGTGTTACCAGCACACCCTATTAAAATATGTTTATTAATGTGCCAAATATTTATGAATGATGAGAACATCACTGCTTAAGTTAATAGCAATCCCAAAGCAAGAATCATATTATTCTATGAAACCAGGCTCTTCAGGATATCAGACAACACACTTATACAGTTTCATACCTCATCTCAAGTTTAACTTTCAAATTACATTTTCACTTGCTGTGATCTTTTTAAACATGAGGACAAGCCTAAAGCAAGCTCACTCATTGTCTCCCTTGCTTCCCCACTGCACATAAGACTGGTCACAAAACTTCCTTTATGTTCAGTAGGCTATATATTCTAATTAGATACTTCTTTCACTTATTCTTCTTATCAAGTTTTCATTGACTCATTCCCTTATTTTCATACCAAGCTTCATCTCCTCTTCTAAAAGCAAAGAGCCATTCTTTAAAAAAAAAAAAAAATCTTTCAAATGAGCTATACAGAAAAAATTCACTGGTGAATACATCACTTTAAAACTTTAAAAATCATTCTTAATAGTAAGATAAATAATTTTATAGCCATATGTAATTATATTTAAACTAGATAAGGTCTCTATTTTGCCTTATGAGTCCTAAGCAAATTTTTTCCTTTTAGGAGACACTACTACTAATGAAGCCCTCAATCTGACCCTCAGTATAAGTGTAATATTTCATCTTTTCCTTTCCACAGATATTTATGACTTTATGTTACTTCATATAACCAGAGAGGAAATATTATTTGTATATTTAAAAAATTTTGTAGATAGGTGGTATCTTAAGAAAAAAAAAGGAGGGAGGAAGGACCTTCTAAGATCATAAATCCTAAGAATATTTCTCATTAGACAATGACAGAGCCAGGGTTAAACTAGGCATGGACAGAATGATGCCATCTCTCATGATAAGGTCCTCCAACAAAGGTAGTTCCTATTGCTGTTAAGGGTCTGTGTTTCTGTTCTATGGACTAATCCAAACAAACTCTAACTGCTTGTAAGGAATGTGTTTCCAGAACTGTTAGTGGTTTCCAACCACTAGGTAAAAATACTAATCCAGTGACCAAGGAACACCCTTTTCTTAAATGCACTGACATTTTAAGACTCAAAATTTCACCATCACCACCAGAGATCTTACCTAAGATTTCAAGTAGATCATTAGTAAATGCCTGAAATGCTGGGAAAAATTCCTCGTGTTCTTCCAATTTGTAGATAATGCTGTTTAAAAAATGCACAATTTAAACCTGATTTCTAACTTTGGGTTCTTGCATCTGATTGCAAACAGAACATTTTCAAAATAGAAACTATATTGCTAATTTAAATATAAACTTAATGATCATTTACTACAGTCTTTTCTTTCTGAGCTTTTTGTTAATCCAATATCACTTTTCTTAAAAAAGCATTTCAATATCAATGTAAAATTTGTTAAATTCATATATAACATTCTTTTTTTTTTTTTTTTTGAGACAGAGTCTTGCTCTGTCACCCAGACTGGAGTGCAGTGGCGCTGTCTCGGCTCACTGCAAGCTCCGCCTCCCGGGTTCACGCCATTCTCCTGCCTCAGCCTCTCGAGTAGCCTCCTGTAGTGCCTGCCACTACGCCCGACTAATTTTTTGTATTTTTAGTAGAGACGGGGTTTCACCGTGTTAGCCAGGATGGTCTCAATCTCCTGACCTCGTGATCCGCCCACCTCGGCCTCCCAAAGTGCTGGGATTACAGGCGTGAGCTACCACGCCCAGCCAATATACAACATTCTTAACATGGCAAATTTCCCATTAAGCTCAAGGCTTCTTAGATCATGCTTTTACAGCATTTTCTAAAAATAATTGGCTTTTACACCCAGTATCCTATTAAACATTAAGAAAAAATATCAGGCTGGGCACAGTGGCTCATGCCTGTAATCCCAGCACTTTGGAGGCCAAGGCAGGAGGATCACTTGAGGTCAGGAGTTCGAGACTAGCCTGGCCAACATGGTGAAACCCCACGTCTACTAAAGTACAAAAATTAGCTGGGTGTGGTAGCGCATGCCTGTAACCCCAGCCACTCAGGAGGCTGAGGCATGAGAATTGCTTGAACCTGGGAGGCGGAGGTTGCAGTGAGCTGAGACTGAGCCACTGCACTCCAGCCTGGGCAACAGAGTGAGACTCTGTCTCAAAAAAAAAAGAAAAGAAAAAAAGAAAAAAAATCAGTAGTCAGTAAAACTGTGGGAAGGAAGAAATAGGCCAATAGCAAGATATATGTTCCTTTTAAAAGCACCAAGTGTCAGATTATGTAAGGGTTCTTCTAGGAAAACTTGCAAAACATATGGTTTATGTGGTATATATTGTGTGTTTCCCTTCACATATGCTGTAATATAAAATTGGGGGTCAGGTGTGGGGAAAGTTGCTTTAACTATAGCTACAATGTCTTGATATTTTCTAAAAATACCAGCTTTTATGTTATAGATGCCTAGTCTTTTAAAAACTCCTCAACATTTATCTTCTAATCAAATAAATATACTATTAATGATTATTCAGTGGTCTATGGTAGTGTCCTAAAAATAGAACTTATTGATATAATCAGAACTTACATGATGTTGCTAACAAGGTTTGAATTTCTCCATATATAATATTTCCTGAAAACAGGCTTATGCTGAAGAGTACCTGACCTTCTTTATAGGCCTTACAATCTATTTTTATCTTGAAAATATTTGGCATTTCCTCCATCCCTAAGGGTTTGAGATTATCTTAGATTGTCAAGTTACTTAAAAGATGCTATTCCAAGGCTGGGCATGGTAGCTCACACCTGTAATCCCAGCACTTTGGGAGGCCAAGGCAGGCGGATCACTTGAGCCCAGGAATTTGAGACTGGTCTGGGCAACATGGTGCAACCTTGTCTCTATCTCTCTCTCTACACACACACACACACACACACAAATTAGCTGGGCGTGGTGGCGTGTGCTTACAGTCACACACACACACAAAAGATGCTATTCCAAACAGGGAAGGTAAATAAGTTTTGAAAGTCTTTAATTTCACCCCTCCAGGAACTCTCGATAATACTTATTTTAATTTTTATTGTTTAGAGACAGGGTCTCACTGCCTTGCTCAGACTGGACTTAAACTCCTGGGTTCAAGTGATCCTCCCACATCAGCCTCCCAAGTAGCTGGGACTACAGGCGTGTGCCACCACACCCAGCCATTCTGGATGATACTTTGTAAACTTTTAAAACAAATACCTCTGGAGGTCTTCAGGTCCTAATACCTGCATAACCTGCTCATTCACATCTTCATTAATCAGCCTACAGAGTTTTCCAACAGTGCTTACTAGCACACACAATGAGGATGAACTATCTGCAAAAGAGAAATAAAAGGATATTTTAACAGAGAATTTCCAAAATTACATACATCAAACATTTTATGCTTCAGTTATCCTCAATTTTTCACTTAAACATTTTTTAATCTACTTTTTGTTAATTTATTAAAAATTCTTAAATGGGGGCCCAAAATGACAAATTAGGTCATCACCTAATTCTAAGAGTTCTTGGAGGTTTCTCACAGCATTGTTCATTTCTCCAAGCCTAGTATAAACTTCATTCATTCGGGGATAGACTCCATTTAAAGAAGGCACATCAAATAACTTTTGGAAGTGAGAAACAATAGCTTGCAAAGTTTGAAAGTGTGGCATATTGCTGTCCTGTCCAAAAAAGAGGTAAAAAAGAAAGAGTTCATTATCTTAAAATAATCCCAAATAAAAACTTTTAAAAGACAAATAGAACTCTAGTAGAACAAATATCAATATCCACAATTTATCAGTTTTTGAGATAAGAAACATTAGAAGGTGACCGTTCATGTAGGTATTACCTTTTCCTTATTTTCAACTTCTTCCAGCATAGTATCTACTATAAACAACAAATCTTCAACTTTGATACCTTCATTTTCATCCTGCTTCTTCAAATTAAGCCAAGGTACCAGTTCTGCAGATAGTGTTTTCAAGGACTTATACAAATCCTTTATAACAAAAGAAACTATATGGTATTATTGATTTAAATAATTTCTATAGTAACATAATAGAACATAATTAGTAAAATTATAAGTTTTATATATTATATGTTTTATAAAATTAATAAAACATAATTACACAGGTTAAAAAAATATATATGTAACCATCATTTTTTTTAAATAAAAATACTACTACCAATTTAGAACAAGTCAGTTAAAATTAGGTTTCTCCAGGTAAACACAGGCTTTACAGAAAACATTATATATTGATTATTCTGAATCTGAGTGCTCTAAGTAATTTTATGTTATTTATTATTGTTCCATAATATTTCATTATTTTGAATTGTTGATACACAAAGAATAAACTTGCCCTTGAATTTTGGTTTTGAATATGTTATATAACAGCTTTATTGAGATGTAATTCATATACCATAAAATTTACCCTAAGTATACAATTCAGTAGTTTTAATATTTTCACACATGTACAAACATCAGCACTATCCAATTTCAGAACATATTCATTACTCCAAAAAGAAATCTCAGACCCACTAAGAGTCCTTCCTTCCCCATTTTCCCTTCCCTGCAGCTCCTAGGGTTAATCTCTAAACTATTTTCTGTTTCTATGGATTTGCCTATTCTAGGCATTTTGCATAAAGGGAATTATACAATAAGTAGTCTTTTATGAATGACGTCTCTCACTTAGCATAATGTTTTTAAGATTTATCCATGTTATAACATGTATCTCCAGGCAAGTTTTTAATGTGAAAGGTTCCCTAAATGTATTCTACATTATAATACTCCACTTAGTTTTCTTGGCCTAGTTGTGGTGCCCTAATTGATTTTAAACTGTGCACAATGGGCAAGGCTACTGAAAGTTTAGAGCTCTAGACTGATCAATCGACAAATATTTAGAATTCCTAGTCCGAAAATCTGAAATGCTCCAAAATCTGAAACTCTGAGCAACAACAGGACACTCAAAAGAAATGCTCATTGGAGCATTCTGAATTTCGGATTTTTGGATCAGTGATGCTCAAATGGCATATATTCTGCAAATACTCCAAAATCTGAAAAAATTCTTAATCAAAATACTTCTAGGCCCAAGCACTGTGGATAAGGGATACTCAATCCATATGTGTATGGCACAGCGCTTGGTCCTTTAGAACAACGCTGTCCAAAAGAAATGTAATGTGAGCCACAGTAATTTTAAGTTGTCTAGGGCCATAGTATGGAAAGTGAAAAGAAACATGTGATATTAACTGTACTAGTATATTTTATTTAACCCAATATATCCAAAATATTATCATTTCAATATAAAATCAATTATTTTAATTTTTCCCATACAAAGTCTTCTAAATCCAGTGTATATTTTACACTTATAACACATCTGAATTAGGACTAGCCACCTTTCAAGTGATCAATAACCACATGCAGCTAGAGGCTACCATACTAGACAGCACAGCTCTAGAGAACAGAAAGAAGTACAAGAAGTTCCTCCTTTTTCTAACTTATTTTAGTACTTCACTTGACACTCTCCACTTAAGGCTCAGACTTCACATATTGGTATCTTTAACCTTTCAATTGGTAGGAAGGCAGTTACTATTTTAGTAATTCATAGCAATAAATTCCATGTCAAATGAATGTTTTACAATCAATGCCACTAGAATTTGAAAAAAAAAAAAGTCAGCAAGTAACAGCATAATGATACCTTTATTAACCAATGCTCCAGGAACAAGGCACATTTATAAAGTAATCTATGGTAAAAAGCATACCCAATCTAATACATTTTTGCTTCAGAATAAAAGAGTATTACAAAGCTAAGAAGAAAAGATGTTCTGGTCTCCTAAGCAGTGACAGGATGGTTGTAGCACAGTCCATCAAGTAAGCTCTGAAAAATATAAGAGGGTCTCCTAGGTTCTTTACATTGCCCAGTTGTGGAGATGTAGAAGTACTACCATGAGCCAGCCTACCGTGTACGTCTGGCCTCTGAAGCACTGGAGAATAGCAAAGCAAAAGTATTCAAGAGTGTACTGGGTTGGGGAAAGCTACAACATCTGTAGTTCACCTTTCTTGGAAAGGCAGGAGGGAAAAGACACAAGGCTGGAGGCAGCTGGCTCCATGTCTTTCCCAGCCTTCTTTTCTTCCAATTTTTAAAACTAGTAAAATACCCATAAAATTCACCATCTTAACAATTTTTAAATGTAAGTTCAGTGTTAATATGTTCATAATGTTGTGCAACCAACATCACCATCCATCTCCATAATTCTTTTCATCTTGTAACACTGAAACTTTATACCCATTAAACAATAACTTCCCATTTCCCTCCTCCCTCTAGCCATCACCACTCTACTTTGTCTCTATGATTTTCACTAAGTATCTCATACAAGTGGAATCATATAAGTGGAATCTTCTTGTGACTGACTTATTTCACTTAGCATAATGTCCTCATAATGTTCACCCATGTTGCAAGGGTCAGAATTTCTTTCCTTTTAATGGCTGAATAATATTGCAATATATGTATATACCACATTTTGCTTATCCATTCATCCCTCAAACCTATCTTACTCTTTAAAGCCAAATTTAACCTGAGGGAAAAAACTAATCTGGGAAGATGGTTGTCCCAAACTTAGAGGTTGCTACATATCAAATAACCTTTGATATGAGGCCTCAGAGAATCTCATGTAGTTTCTTAATTTGGACCCTGAAACTGTAGTATTAATATCTGAAGCACTGCTCAAAATCCATGAGTTACTCCAATGGCAGAAGTAACTAATTCTTAATAATTTCTTCTTGGGTGTCCTCAGAATATTCTAATTATAAAGCGAATTCCTTGCCTCCTCCTCCTCCTCAGAAAACCATACAATAGCAAGAACTCACCACCATGGCAAAGCCCTTCTTGGGGGCTACAATCAGAGTGTTCTCTTTCTCCTCCAGACTCTAGAGCACAAGTTATCTGCATCATTCACTCAGAACTTCAACCGGTAATCTATTTTTATGTCACTCATTTCCTTTAACGATATAAATGATTACATTTTGTTTCATATTTTTTAGTATATTTTGTCTAATTAGTCTGAATCTTGTGTTCATCCCATAATGGCTTAGCATGATAAACGATCAATAACTATCCATTAGTGTGATTCTTCCCTTTGTCTTCTTCCTCTTCTAGTCTTTTCTTCTAGGAAGGCTAGGGCTTTTTCTAGTCCATCCCTTCTGAGATGAAGAAAGGTGGAGTCAGCACTGTTTCCTCCTACTGGGAGAACCCTCTGACAGGCAGTGATTGAGGAAATACCATGATTTACACTATTACTAATTATTTTACACTCTTCTGAGATACAGACTGGAGGAACTCCGGTCTATAAAGTAAGTATATTAATCTAGCACTGTCACTCAATCAAAATGTTTATGTATTGTATAGCTCTGTCTGAGCCCTATATAAAAAGGGAAGTCGAAATTTAAAAAAAATTAACATCACCACCCCCAATTTTGTTGTCTTGGAATATAATATTCTGCTTCATTCCTTTTAACAAATATTAATTGAGCACTCATTCATCAGGAGGATCTTGGGGACATATCAGAACAAATAAAAACACTGTCTTCATGGAGCTTATACATTCTTAACAGATATCTTCTGCATCATTTGTACTTCATGTAATAAGACTTATGTTGCAAACACTGTTATTGAATCACATTTTCATTAACAGGCATATGCTATGTATTATATTAGTTACTAATAAATCTAAAGTGTAAAGGGCAAAGAAGTTAAATACTACTGATTTCAACTATTTACCTTTCAGCAAACTAGTTAACAAAAACTGAAAAAACCTGAAGCTATGCAATAAATACACAATAACTCTATAAATAAAATGTGGTCTTCCATGAAGAGATAGGATAGGGAAGGGTAGCGTTGGCTGCTAGCTTACTATCTGTTCTAGAGAATAAGCAGAAATGGAGATAAGCTCAGTTCTGAGAGACAGAAAATAAAGTGTGAAGAGAGAGAAAATATCCCCAATTATAATAAAATGAAGGATAAGACATTATATCTGAAGAGGGATAAGGGCCAGGAAAATCGCAGCATGGAGATATGAAAAGGAGGCAGATGAAGGTAGAACAGGGAAGGGCCTAGAAGTACAAAGTGGATCCACTATAGATTTTCAATAAGGAAACTAACCCCAAAATTTCTTGTTTGGTAGAATCTTAGAGGAGGTAAAGCTTACAGTAATGACAACATCAAATAGACAGTACCTAAAATAGATATGTAAGTAGGAAGATTTCGGTTTTAGATAATAAGCTTTTTTAGCTTTAGAGTTAACACACAAACAAAAAAATTAAACCCTATTTAATTTTTAGCCCTGAATTAAGTCCTATTAATAAAGCACATAGAGTCCAATAGATGTTCAAAGCATATAATCATAGTCAACCCCTTACCTTTAAGGATGTCAGTTGATCTGCCCACATTTCTATTACAGGAACAAGATGCTCAAATCCACAATCTTGAACAAGATCTTTATTAAAATTTTGGACTCCCCCTTTGGTCTGTTTATAAATTATTACTGGAGCTCTTGGATTGTGGATAATTGAATTGATGCTACACAGCACCTTTAAAAAAACATAGTGTATATAGTCAAAATATTTATCCTATGCCTACAAAGTTATATATTTTAAAGGAGTGCTTTATGTCTATATATATTATATACACATATTTCATTAAATATACAAAGAAAATTATCATAAGGAATTGGCTCATGCAATTATGAAGACTGACAAGTCCCAAGATCTGCAGTGAGTAAGCGAAGACCCAGAAAAGGTAATGGGTATTTGCAGTCCAAATGCAGGCAGACTGAGACCCCTGCAAGTGCTAATGTTTCAGTTTGAGTCTGAAGGCAAGAAAAAAACCAGTGTCCCATCTTGAAAGCAGTCAGGGAGGAGGAGCTCCCTCTTATTCAGCCTTTTGTTCTACTCAGGGCTTTGAATCATTGGATGAGGCCCACCCCATTAGGAAAGGCAGTCTGATTTACTAAAGTCTACTGATTCGGATGTCAATCTCATCCAGAAGCACCTTCCCAGACACATCCAGAATAATGTTTAACCAAATATCGGGCATCCTATGCCGCAGTAAAGTTGAAACAAAATTAACTATTACAAACACTACCTAGGTTCAAAAATTGTTAGTATTTTGCCATATTTGCTCACTATCTATATTTTTAGGTGAACCATTTGAAGAAACTCTTCACCCTCAAATAATAAAGCATGCATCTTTTAAAAGTAGGCATATTCTCCTACAAACTCACAAGAACATTATCAGACTATTTAAGGAAATTAACAGCAATCCCCAGGCTGAGTGTGGTGGCTCATGCCTGTAATCCCAGCACTTTGGGAGGTTGAGGCAGGAGGATCACTTGAGCCCAGGAATTCAAGGCTGCAGTGAGCTATGATAATGCACTTCAGCCTGGGCAACAGAGCAAGACCCTGTCTCCAAAAATAATATCATTGATGCCTGGATTGAATTTTAGGTATCTTAATATATTAAGATAGTATACTATTTGACTATAACCCTCTCCCCATAAGTGATGGGTTCTACCTTACATATCATCCGAGGAAAAAAAGGGAGACCTCAAAAAGCATGTTTAAAGAGAGAAGAATAAAGCCATTTCCTATTACCACCATCAAGTTCAGCCTATTTAATAAAAAGTTTCACAATATAAAGATAGCATTTTGCTCTTGAATCTTTGTCCCTGGTCATACTTCAAGATATAACTAATAGGCCTCCTGGTAATATGACTTAAGATGTTTATTACTTCAGATGTTTATTTAGAAGCTTTTTAAGTCCAAATTAGTATAATTCAATATTTCACTTCAAATTGATGTATGTATATTTGTTTTATATATTTATTTGACAGAGTCTCACTCTGCAGCCTAAGATGGAGTGCAGTGGTGTGAACGGAGCTCACTGCAGCGTTGAATTCCTGGGCTCAAGTGATCTTCCCATGTCAACCTCTCAAGTGCTAGGACTACAGGCACAAGCCACCATGCCCAGCTAATTAAATTTTTTTTTTTCTAGAGATGTGGTCTCACTATATTGCCCAGGCTGGTCTCAAACTCCTGCCCTCTAGCAATCCTCCTGCCTCGGTCACCCAAAGTGTTAAGATTACAGGCATGAGCCACCATACCCGGCTTGAATTCCCCTTTTAAAGGACAAAGCCTCTCAAATTGAGTCTCAGAAACAAAATGAAATCCAGTTATATACTGGTACAAGAAAGTCTAAAACAAAACAGTTTTCAGAAAGGTGCTTGGTTCCCATTTACAATAGCAATAAAAGTTATAAAATACCTAGGAAATAACAAGGTATTTCCTAACAAGAAATATGCAAGAGCTAAATTTAAAAATACACAACACTTTATTGAAGACTATAAAAGATGACCCTGATGAAAGTACATATTTCTGAATGTGATGATTCAAAAAGGTTAAGGTGTCATTTCTCCAAATATTAATCTATAAAGTCAATTCAATTTTAGTTCATCTCAATGAGATTTATTTTTTAATTTGAAAAACTGTTCATCCAGAAGAATAAATGTGCTAAAAATATAGCCAATAAAAAAAATTTTTTTAATGATAGGATACTTGCCTCAAAGGCTATTAAAACTTTTAACTATAGAAATTAAAATATGGAAATAGTTGAGAAATGCAACAGACTAGAGAATCTAAAAACAAATCTGTGCATATAAATGAATATGATCTATGATAAAATGTTATTTCAATAAAGTAGAGAAAAAAGTAGCGTATTAGAGACTGCAAACACAAATGCCCAGAGAATTCAGGTACGAGTATAAATGAGTGACGTAAGGATGAATAGGGACTGCTAACTATAGAACACATGCTCATATCTGACAAGGGAAAGGCCTAATTCTGCTGTGATAATAACCATGCAGGAATTTGTTGCCAGATCTTCTGACTTTTTAGGAGAAGTTAGAAATAGCAGCCTAGAAAAAATAAAATATCTTAATTTTTAAAAAAATGAATAATCTAAAACTTAAAAATCTTATGTGTACCCAATAAAATGTGAGTGAAAGTCCAGTTCAGTCACTAAACTACCAGGTTTAACTGCTCAGCTATTCAATAAATGATCTATAAAACTAGGAAGGTGAGATTCCCTATATCACACCATATAGAAAATTAAATTTCAGATGAACTAAGGTCTCTAAACAAAAACAAAAGCCATACAAGGACCCTAAGAAAATAGATTTACTTAATAATAATGGTAACAACAGAAACAATACGAGGGAAAATGGCTTACATGGGGAAAGTAGGGAAAAGGATTATAGAAACTTTTAAAAATCATAAAGCTCTTTACTAACCTCCTTTGAACTAGGCCAGAGTCTCTTTTAAGTAGTAAGACGAATTCTACAATGTTTTTAGTCAAATAGTTATGTCACGGAAAGACAAGACAGAATAAGTACACATAAATATGAGGTGCAAGTATTCCTTACCAACTGATAATTTATTACACCACAACTGATAACCAAGATTCATGACAAACATCAGTCTTTTTGTCATGAAAAATCAATTCAATACCTGAAAGTATCTCTGGTCAATTAGGGCCTGTTGCTGATTATATTTGCTGGGCTCATCTTTCTTCTCTGTGTCCTCAGCCTTCTTATGATTAATAAGCTCCTGTAATCTAAAAGGGGGAAAAAAATCAAGATAATACAAAATTACTTCCTAGACACTGGACCAAGATGATAAACTAAGTCAATGATCCAGCCACCCTCCCAACAGCCTTATATCACTTTACTTATATGTGTGTGTGCACACATGTATGTATGTGTATGTATAAACACATACATATATGCATATATAGAGTTAAAAAAAATTTTTTTTTTTTTTTGAGACAGAATCTCGCTCTATCACCCAGGCTGGAGTGCAGTGGCGCAATCTCGGCTCACTGCAAGCTCCGTCTCCCGGGTTCACACCATTCTCCTGCCTCAGCCTCCTGAGTAGCTGGGACTACAGGCGCCCGCCACCATGCCTGGCTAATTTTTTATATTTTTAGTAGAGACGGGGTTTCACCGTGTTAACCAGGATGGTCTCGATCTCCTGACCTCGTGATCCACCCACCTCAGCCTCCCAAAGTGTTGGGATTACAGGCGTGAGCCACCGTGCCCGGCCAGAGTTTAAAATTTTTTAAATCATATTGTCACTGGAAAACTAGAAGGCCCTCTCAATAAATCGCAAATTAGAAGGAATCTCTGAAGACAGAAGAGATCAGATTGAAGAAGAAAGTTCTAACCACCCCCCAGCACCCACAAAAGACAGCACAAGAGAGAAATACAACAAAGGATGGAAGCGACTTCCATCCAACGTGCTCCAAGATCACAGACTACAGATAAAGGGAGCAGGAAGCATGGGAAGGGCCACTGGTTTGGGTACTGTAGCAGGAACAGCTAGACGTTTGGTCCCTCTCTCTTTGTATTCTACCAGTGGCAAAGAACAGAAAATGGCAATGCCTGGGCCAGTCAAGAGGGCGTGGAGATCCAACAGACCATTATTCCAGGTGGCTACTAGAATGCTAGGGGAAAGGAGAGTCTCTTCACCCAGAAATACAACTATGTATAAGTGTATCCACCTAGTAGTAAACACTTGTCCTTCTCCAAATATCTAGAAGACAGGCTGTAGTAATCTTTCTTCTCCCTCCTCATGGCTTTGAAAACAGTACAGTAGTACACGCTGATCCGTAGTTTCATTTTCCATGGTTTTAGTTATGCAAGGTAAACCAGGGTCCAAAAATATTAAAAGGAAAATTCCAGTAATAAATAAGTTTTTTTATTTTATTTTTTTTTAATGCTCACTAGTCTGAGTAGTGTGATGAAATCTCATGCTGTCCCACTCCATCCCACCTAGGATGTGATTCATCCCTTTGTCCAGCTTATCCATGCTGTAACTGTATACATACACTACCTACCAGTTAGTCACTTAGTAGCCATCTTGATTATCAGATCAACTGTTGGGTACCACAGTGCTTATGTTCAAGTAACAATCCTTCTTTAACTTAATAATGGACCCAAAATGCAAGAGTAGTCATGTTAGCAATTTTGATGTGCCAAAGAGAAGTCATGAAGTGTGTCCTTTAAGTGAAAAGGTGAAAGTTCTCCACTTAAGAAAAAAAGTGTATGCTGAGGTTGCTAAGATATACAGTGAGAACGAATATTCTATCTGTGAAATTGTGAAGAAGGAATAAGAAATCTGGGCTAGTTTTGCTGTTGGACCTCAAACTGCAAAAGTTACAGCCACAGTGTGTGATACATGCTTAGTTAAGATGACCTCAGGATCACCTGAGGTCAGGAGATTGAGACCAGCCTGGGCAACATGGTGAAACTCCCTGTCTACTAAAAAAAAAAAAAAGAAAAACAAATACAAAACTTAGCTGGATATGGTGGCGCATGCCTGTAGTCCCAGCTACTCGGGAGGCTGAGGCAAAAGAATCGCCTGAACCTGGGAGGCAGGGGTTGCAGTGAGGTGAGATCGTGCCACTGCACTCTAGCCTGGGTGACAGAGTGAGACTCCATCTCCAAAAAAAAAAAGAAATACTGTGTTAGGACTAATGGCATGGAGAGTTTTGAATGCTAGCCCAAGGATATTAGATTTAGCACATAAAAAAATGAGAAATCATTGATTGTTTTTCAACAGGAAAATGACATGATGGAGTTTTACTATTCTATTTTACAAACAGCAGGCAGAGCGCATCGTTAATGAGTCATAGAGTCAGTTTAGTGGGTTGAAGTCCCAGCAGGAAACTGATGGCATACTCAAATTGAAGAGGGGTAATTTGAAGGATTATTACGAGACTACAGTAGTCCCCCCTTGTCAGTGGGGGATACATTGTTCCAGGATCCCCAGTAGATACCTGAGACCTCAGAACCAAACCCAGTTGCCATCAATTGGAACACATTTCTGTCCATGTCTTCCACCCACAAATTTAATGCTTTTTCCATCTTTTTTTTTTTTTTTTTTTTTTGAGACGGAGTCTCGCCCTGTTGCCCAGGCTGGAGTGCAATGGCACGATCTCAGCTCACTGCAACCTCTGCCTCCCGGGTTCAAACAATTCTCCTGCCTCAGCCTCCCAAGTAGCTGGGATTATAGGCACATGCCACCATGCCCAGTTTTTGTTGTTGTTGTTGTTTTTATTTTTAGTAGAAACGGTGTTTTACCATGTTGGCCAGGCTGGTCTCAAACTCCTGACCTTGTGATCCGCCCGCCTTGGCCTCCCAAAATGCTGGGATTACAGGAGTGAGCCACCGTGCCCCCCCAGTCCTAACACAGTATTTCTCCTGACTCCTTTCTTACTTGATTCTACTACTTCCCTACAATTACCTACACCAGTCACATATATTCCCCTTATATTCACTCAGTTGCTATTCTCTGCTTTCTAGTGAGTATATGCCCAAGCCAAATTATAAATGACTTCCTATTTACTACATTCACATTCTTCACAGTTTTGCCTAAAGGCAGTGCCATGAGCATATTATCTAGAACAAAAAAGGACACAGAAAAGCTGATATGGCCTCTAGAAGGACTAGACGTAAACTGATATATCTGAATTTAAATGTTACTTCCTTTCACTTAGGTGAAAATGTTCAACTTATCAATGAATTGTTTGCAAATCTGATTAATAAATGTTACACTGTAGATATACAACATTTTTACTGTCAGTGCAATAACCTAAATATATAATTGCATGTACTGATCAGTTACTCTGGGAAATGAAATGTGATTTCATTAACCAGATGAATAAATAGATACCCTCACTTAATAATGACAGTAACTACAACTTATTGGGAGCCTAATGATGATAACTAGTAGGTACTGAGAGCCTTCTCTATGCAGGAATTCTAAGCACTTTACATGTATTCACTCATTTAGTCCCATTGTTTTTCTATTTATATAAGACAATGATTAGTAAAAGCTGGGGACTCATAGGAAACTGGTTCACTTAGTCTCACAGAAAATATCTGCCATTAACAGTATTACTGAAAAACTTCACATTCTGCAAAATCATGCAAGTAATTAACAGGGCTCAGGAGAAAATAGTATTAGAAACCAGACTACTTACAACTGATGTAGCTTTAGAACTGGAGAATAAAAACAATAATTGGTGCCTCAGGAGTTAAGTTGGACAGATCAAGCATGTCTGGAGATTGCCTCAGGATATATTAAAAATGCACAGACAACAAAGAAGAAATGTTGGCTTATGGATGCCAAGACATAAAGACTGAAGTGGAGCCTTGGGCCAAAGAAGCTGAGGTTAAAATGGGCAAAGGAGGAAGTGCAACTTGCTTCCAGCCTATAGTCTGTCTAATGCTGGGGGTCAGGGAAGGAGCCCAGGGTACTGCTGCTCATTCTAAATTTTCTTAAACTAGAGCTAAAAAGGGCACTTGTCTATGTACTAGCAAAGCTTGCCCCTTTCCTGAAGGCTATAAATATTACTGCAGTTATTCTAGTGCCTTGAGTCTAGGAAAAACCACACATGAACAATATAACTTCTATGTTATATTGCTGATGATCCCCTCATTTTCTATTTACATGACTTAATTGGCATTTTAGAAACCTGTGTTGTAGCTGCCTGGACTGTACTCAGAAATACGCTAGAGCTGTTCTACAGTATCCAGAGCAGTCAGGAAGGGCCTGAAAGATAATAAAAATCCCCTAGGAGTGCCTAAGGGGTACTTCACATGCTTTGCAGACACTCATTCCATGTATTCAACAGCAGCAACTATGTTTTTTTGTGGACACTGAGAAAACAGAAAACTGTACCTCCAACTTAAAATATGCTGTTTTATCTATTTTGTATAGCCATCTCCATAAGATAACTTTCCATGTGCAGAAACTTTATAGCTTTTAACTGTGTTCTGTTGGAGCTTTTCCATGATCTCACAGTGGAATAAGATCCATGCTGGAGATCAGGAACAAGTTAAAAAAAAGGACTGCCAATTTTGTTTTTAAAAATTCCACTAATTTAGCTACATGCAAAACACATAGGTGCATCAATGTGAGCTTCTCAAAGCTATACTGTTCCCCGAGTCTTTTACCCTACAATCTTAGGACTTTCTAAGATAGTTAGTGATGAAAAGAAGGGTGGTTCACTTCAACCCAGCACCAGTGCCAAACTCTGAAGGCAAGTGTTTCTCTAGGTGAAAAGTCCAGCTCCTGGCTAAAATCCAATGTGTTATATTTCAGGCACAGCCACAGGTAATTACAAAGGCTCTGCCTGGAAGATCTCTTGCAGGGAAAGCTGTCCTCTCCACACCAGACATGATGCACAGCCTGTGCACTGCAATCTCTCGAGACAGTTGCAGTCAAGGACACGCCACCTCCTTTCCTTCCTGAAAGCTATACTACTACTACTACTGTTATTCTAGTGCCTTGCCACAAGCATTTCTGCATTCCTACCCTAGTCACCTGCATTAGGGGCCTCTTTACTTGGAGCTTAGACTGAGGCATGTGTCAAGTACCTCTATCCAAGATCTTCTTATTGGTGGAGAAGCCTTAATTAAAATACTTTTCTCCACTCTGACTCAGTACTTTTCTACTCCTAGCCTTTCTTCTCCCTACACTTTAAAATAGCAGGAATCTTTTGTGCAGGGCTCCTAGGCAGTGAGATGATTCCCCCCATCTGGGTGTATGTCAGACTGTTCCTCACCTGGTGCTATTCCATAGGGAAAAATGCAACACTGAAGAGTCAGCCCTTTTCATTTTGGCCTCTTGTTTATCCTATAGCAGTAAGTTAACAGTTTGACTGTTAATTTCACTTTGACTCATTGGCCTAACCACTTCAAGGACTGTCAGCTCAACACAGAGTGGCTGTAGGATTTTGTTTTTCCCCTAGCAAAACATAAATACTATTGAAAAATTAAATGAAATTAGTGTAGTACCTTTGTTTATCTTATAGGGACAGACTTATTTAATCACTTCCTAAGAAGGAAATTTTATAATCAGCCTGTTTGTAATACTAACTCAAGAAGAGTCCATGTTCTCCCACATTAAATTGTTAATAGCCTTATTTGACATTGAAAGTTGGTTAACTACAAATCTAAAAAAAAAAAACAAACAAACTCAATTTTCTCTGGTTCCAAAAGGAAAAGAGACTATACCCTCTTCCATTTTCTTGTAGCATTTCCTTTAGAAAATCTGTAACTACAAATCCTTTACTCTCTTTAAGATGTACATAAATCTTATTAAGAGCTAAAGAAGGCTCTTGCCAGTTTTGAATCTCAGCAATGTCTTTCTTGGGGGCTTTGGAATCATTTCTTTGAAATGTGAACATCTCGGAAGATGGTACCTTGTTTCCCTGTCTCTGTTGGAATTTCGTCAAGGCTCCTGGCCCCAAGTTGTAACCTCTTACTTATCAAAAAGACATTAGAAGTTTTTATTTTTCCTTTAATACAGATAATTAACATGTATATAATGGATTGTATCTGCCTTGCTATACAAAAGGGTGACATTTCTTTCTGTCTTTGCAATATCTCTAACAGATTGCCTGTAATGTGCATCACAATCTGATTGAATCTGATTGAATTCAGTAATAAAACTGTTTCTTTTTTTTCCTACGTTTGTAAAGAGAATTCACTGGATTGACAGGAGATTTTAGTTTTAATTATTTCCCCAGCATCAGTAGTACTTTGAAAAAATATTCTACCTCTGGCACTACAGAAATAAAAATTTTTAAAGTTTTACCTTGAAAAGTAAATTTTTTTAAGTTTTTAAAGTTTCTTTAATTTTAAATTTTTTAAGTTTAAGTTTTTAAAATCTTTTTTAAGTTTTGTTAAGTTTTACCTTGCAAAGTAAAATTTTTTTAAGTTTTACCTTGAAAAAATTTTTTTCATTGAGTGTTTTGTTTAGTTCTAACTGTATGGTAGCTAAGAGTATAAGTTTTGGAGTCAGAATGATTGGGTAAGGATCTGATTTCTGTTCAGTTCTTCCATATACCAGTAACCTGTATAACTTGGGCAAGTTATATAACACTCCCAAATTTGTTTCCATGTCTAGATACTACCAAAGTTTTAAACTTTATTAAAAACAAAAACACATCATTTCTTCAAAATTTAGCAGAAAAATATAGCAGGAATTGGGTCTGAATCATAATTTTAAAGGACAATAATAAAAGTCACTCGAAAGACCGGAGCCCAAATAAACAACAACAAGAACAATATATATATGCAATCAATTCTCATTATTCATGGTAGTTATGTTCTATAAAATCACTATGAATGCTGAATTAGCAAATACTGAACCACTGCTCCTAGAGGAAATACAGGGTCAGGGTCCTGCAAGTCTGGTCACATTTTCCTTAAATGATCAATATATAACCTTGTTGTCTGTATGTTTCTATTTAAAGACACCTTTAAAATATATATTTTTTTGATTCATTAACATTGAACTCATGGACAACAGCACTCTATAACTCATACCTGATAAAGCTTATCTAATAGGTGTATTTTTTCCACAAGGCATATTATAGCCTTCTTGTGGATAAGAACACCAAACAGCACTTCAGCACTAACTCAGAGGCCATCTTAAAGAAATCACCAACAAAAGGCATAGAAATGCAAAAAAAAAAAAAAAAAAAAAGTATCACTAAATAGATGGACAAAAGGACATTTGTTTATAGTATGAGAGCTCAAACAACAGGGCAGATCATCATCTTGTTTGAAAACTAAACATGTGTGTGTTGGGTGACCCAAATTATTTGCCACTGTGTACATGTCCATGAATGACTACAGGTGCTGTATGGATTTGTGATTATAAATAAATTTTAGCAGGTAGACAAATTCATAAATATGGAATCTATTAATAATGAAGACTATCTATCTCTACGTATGTGTAAGTGCATACACATGTGTACGTGTGTGTGTGCATGTTATACACTTGCTTTAGAGTCAACAGTCAATTCTCATTATTGCCTTCTCTTTTTACTTCCCTACATCCTCCTTCTCCTAGTTGCTTCTCTCTCAATCTCCTATCTCATTAGTGGCACTGACAACCACCTTGTTATTCAAGGTTAAAACTCGGGAGACTTCTGACTCTTCCTTTTCCCCCACAACTCCCTATATTCAACCCATCATGAAGTCCTATTAGTTCTACCTCCATTCTCCAATTCCAAATACTTCTCATCACCTCCACTACTGCCACCTTTGACCATGTCACTACCATCTCTTCTCCAAACTCATATAATGGCTACTCTCCCACGATTGTACGTTTAGTACTTATAGCATATCGAAATTGTCTTATTTTTTCATTATCTTTCTCCCTTCATGTAATCTCTATGAGGTCAGGGACCTTTTCTATTTTGTTTACCACTGCAACCAGTGCCTAGAATGCCAAACAGATGTAAGAAGAACTGTAAGTACACAAAATATCAAGGAATAGTAGGAAGGGAATAATTATTCATTGAATATGCATGCATCCTTTCTGAACCTTCCACTTCTCTTTTCTTGTTTAGTTTTCCTCCTCTATTATCTTTTTTTTGGGGGGACGGGGGGTGGAGGGACAGGGTCTTGCTCTGTTGCCCAGGCTGGAGTGCAGTGGTGTGATCACAGCTCACTGCAGCCTTGACCTCCTGGGCTCAAGCAATCTTCCCACCTCAGCCTCCTAAGTAACTGGGGCTACAGGTAAGTACCGCCACACCTGGCTAATTTTTAAATTCTTTGTAGAGACAAGGACTCACTACATTGCCCAGTCTGGTCTCAAACTCCTGGACTCAAGCAATCCTCCTGCCTCAGTCTCCCAAAGTGCTGGGATTACAGGCGTGAGCCACTGCACCTGGCCCCTATTATTTTAACCCAGTATGTAATTCCTGGATACTCATGATACTTGCCTGTCACTGTGTTATGTGTTGCCATAGGAAGGAGGAAACAGAGCTGTCGCTGAAAACTGAATCATATATGCTAATACAACTGACTTAATATATTTAATGCATATATTAACTCATAGCTTTCAAAATATGTCATCCCAACACTCCCCACTTTCTCAAATCCCATTCCCTTGAATCAAAGAGTACACATAGATAATCTTCAGAAAACACAATCACTGAGATCAACTCTTTGAAACACTGAGCACTTGCTTTTCAAAGTCAGGAAGGGTACAAGCAGTAGATATAAATGGCTCACTGCATTCCTTCTGGTACTTTTAAAGTGTGATAACGCTCACTTTAAAACATTCAGATCATAATTATCAACAGCAAAAATTGGAGGCTTGTCACTTCTAATTTCATTGATTCTCTTGCAATTCTTCCATTACTTCCCAAGATAATTTTCTATTTAAAATCTTTGTCCTTTATTACTTTAGGCAACTACCTTTTTTGTTCTCACTTAAATATATAGCCAAATCCAGCATGGTAGAAATTGCTCTTAAACTGTGAAACCAGAAACACCCCCTTTTAATGTCATTTTCCCCATCAGCCTGGTAGGTCCAAGCCAAAGCCACTAGTAGGTAGCATAAGCTGACATGTAATAAAAATAAATAAAATAAGGCCAAGCGCGGTGACTCATGCCTGTAATCCCAGCACTTTGGGAGGCAGAGGCGGGTGGATCACGAGGTCAGGAGATCCACACAGTGGCTAACACAGTGAAACCCCGTCTCTACTAAAAATACAAAAAAAAATTAGCCAGGGGTGGTGGCAGGTGACTGTAGTCCTAGCTACTTGGGAGGCTGAGGCAGGAGAATGGCGTGAGCCCAGGAGGCAGAGCTTGCAGTGAGCTGAGATTGTGCCACTGCACTCCAGCATGGGCGACAGAGCAAGACTCCGTCTCAAAAAATAAATAAATAATAAAAATAAATAGGGGTGGAGCCAAGATGGCCAAATAGGAACAGCTCCAGTCTACAACTCCCTGCATGAGCAACGCAGAAGACGGGTGATTTCTGCATTTCCAACTGAGGTACGAGGTTCATCTCACTGGGGAGTGTCGGAAAGTGGGTGCAGGACAGTGGGTGCAGCGCACCGAGCGTGAGCCGAAGCAGGGCAAGGCATCGCCTCACCCGGGAAGCACAAAGGGTCAGGGAATTCCCTTTCCTAGTCAAAGAAAGGGGTGACAGACAGCACCTGGAAAATCGGGTCACTCCCACCCTAACACTGCACTTTTCAAACACCCTTAGCAAACAGCACACCAGGAGATTATATCCCGCACCTGGCTTGGAGGGTCCTACGCCCATGGAGCCTTGCTCTTTGCTAGCACAGAAGTCTGAGATCAAACTGCAAGGCGGCAGCGAGGCTGTGGGAGGGGCGCCCGACATTGCTGAGGCTTGAGTAGGTAAACAAAGCGGCCAGGAAGCTCGAACTGGGTGGAGCCCACCGCAGCTCAAGGAAGCCTGCCTGTCTCTGTAGACTCTAGCTCTAGGGGCAGGGCATAGCCAAACAAAAGGCAGCAGAATCCTCTGCAGACTTAAATGTCCCTGTCTGACAGCTTTGGATAGAGTAGTGGTTCTCCCAGCTCGCAGCTGGAGATCTGAGAACTGGCAGACTGCCTCCTCAAGTGGGTCCCTGACCCCCGAGTAGCCTAACTGGGAGGCACCTCCCAGTAGGGGCAGACTGACATCTCACACAGCCGGGTACTCCTCTGAGACAAAACTTCCAGAAGAATGATCGGGCAGCAACATTTGCTGTGCACCAATATCCGCTGTTCTGCAGCCTCTGCTGCTGATACCCAGGCAAACAGGGTCTGGAGTGGACCTCCAGCGAACTCCAACAGACCTGCAGCTGAGGGTCCTGTCTGTTAGAAGGAAAACTAACAAACAGGAAGGACATCCACACCAAAACCCCATCTGTACATCATCATCATCAAAGACAAAAGGTAGATAAAACCACAAAGATGGGGAAGAAACAGAGCAGAAAAACTGGAAACTCTAAAAATCAGAGCACCTCTCCTCCTCCAAAGCAATGCAGCTCCTCACCAGCAATGGAACAAAGCTGGACGGAAAATGACTTTGACGAGTTGAGAGAAGAAGACTTCAGAAGATCAAACTACTCCGAGCTAAAGGAGGAAGTTTGAACCCAAGGCAAAGAAGTTAAAAACCTTGAAAAAAAATTAGACGAATGACTAACTAGAATAACCAATGCAGAGAAGTCCTTAAAGGACCTGATGGAGCTGAAAACCAAGGCACGACAACTACATGACGAATGCACAAGCCTCAGTAGCCGATTCGATCAACTGGAAGAAAGGGTATCAGTGATGGAAGATCAAATGAATGAAATGAAGTGAGAAGAGAAGTTTAGAGAAAAAAGAATAAAAAGAAATGAACAAAGCCTCCAAGAAACATGGGACTATGTGAAAAGACCAAATCTACGTCTGATTGATGTACCTGAAAGTGACGGGGAGAATGGAACCAAGCTGGAAAACACTCTGCAGTATATTATCCAGGAGAACTTCCCCAATCTAGCAAGGCAGGCCAACATTCAAACTCAGGAAATACAGAGAATGCCACAAAGATACTCCTCGAGAAGAGCAACTCCAAGACACATAATTGTCAGATTCATCAAAGTTGAAATGAAGGAAAAAATGTTAAGGGCAGCCAGAGAGAAAGGTCGGGTTACCTACAAAGGGAAGCCCATCAGACTAACAGCTCATCTCTCAGCAGAAACTCTACAAACCAGAAGAGAGTGGGGGGCAATATTCAACATTCTTAAAGAAAAGAATTTTCAACCCAGAATTTCACATCCAGCCAAACTAAGCTTCATAAGTGAAGGAGAAATAAAATCCTTTACAGACAAGCAAATGCTGAGAGATTTTGTCACCACCAGGCCTGTCCTACAAGAGCTCCTGAAGGAAGCAATAAACATGGAAAGGAACAACCGGTACCAGCCACTGCAAAATCATGCCAAATTATAAAGACCGTCGAGGCTAGGAAGAAACTGCATCAACTAACGAGCAAAATAACCAGCTAACATCATAATGACAGGATCAAATTCACACATAACAATATTAACCTTAAATGTAAATGGGCTAAATGCTCCAATTAAAAGACACAGACTGGCAAATTGGATAAAGAGTCAAGACCCATCAGTGTGCTGTATTCAGGAAGCCCATCTCACATGCAGAGACACACATAGGCTCAAAATTAAGGGATGGAGGAAGATCTACTAAGCAAATGGAAAACAAAAAAAGGCAGGGGTTGCAATCCTAGTCTCTGATAAAACAGACTTTAAACCAACAAAGATCAAAAGAGACAAAGAAGGCCATTACATAATGGTAAAGGCATCAATTCAACAAGAAGAGCTAACTATGTTAAATATATATGCATCCAATACAGGAGCACCCAGATTCATAAAGCAAGTCCTTAGAGACCTACAAAGAGACTTAGACTCCCACACAATAATAATGGGAGACTTTAACACCCCACTGTCAACATTAGACAGATCAACGAGACAGAAAATTAAGAAGGATATCCAGGAATTGAACTCAGCTCTGCACCAAGCGGACCTAATAGACATCTACAGAACTCTCCACCCCAAAGCAATAGAATGTACTTTCTTCTCAGCACCACACCACACCTATTCCAAAATCGACCACATAGTTGGAAGTAAAGCACTCCTCAGCAAATGTAAAAGAATAGAAATTATAACAAACTGTCTCTCAGACCACAGTGCAATCAAACTAGAACTCAGGATTAAGAAACTCACTCAAAACCACTCAACTACATGGAAACTGAACAACCTGCTCCTGAATGACTACTGGGTACATAACAAAATGAAGGCAGAAATAAAGATGTTCTTTGAAACCAATGAGAACAAAGACACAATATACCAGAATCTCTGGGACACATTTAAAGCAGTGTGTAGAGGGAAATTTATAGCACTAAATGCCCACAAGAGAAAGCAGGAAAGATCTAAAATTGACACCTTAACATCACAATTAAAAGAACTAGAGCTCCCTCTCCCTCTCCCTTTTCACGGTCTCCCCCTCTCCCTCGTCTCCGTCTCCCACTTGGCCACAGTCTCCCTCTGTTGCCAAGGCTGGACTGTACTGCCGCGATCTCGGCTCACTGCAACCTCCCTGCCTGATTCTCCTGCCTCAGCCTGCTGAGTGCCTGGGATTGCAGGTGTGCGCTGCCACGCCTGACTGGTTTTTGTATTTTTTGGTGGAGACGGGGTTTCGCCATGTTGGCCGGGCTGCTCTCCAACTCCTGACCTCGAGTGATCTGCCTGCCTCGGCCTCCCGAGGTGCCGGGATTGCAGACAGAGTCTTGCTCACTCAGTGCTCAATGCTGCCCAAGCTGGAGTGCAGTGGCATGATCTCGGCTCGCTACAACCTCCACCTCCCAGCCGCCTGCCTTGGCCTCCCAAAGTGCTGAGATTGCAGCCTCTGCCCGGCCACCACCCCATCTAGGAAGTGAGGAGCGTCTCTGCCAGGCCGCCCATCGTCTGGGATGTGAGGAGCCCCTCTGCCCAGCCGCCCAGTCTGGGAAGTGAGGAGTGCCTCTTCCCGGCCGCCACCCCGTCTGGGAAGTGAGGAGCGTCTCTGCCTGGCCGCCCATCATCTGGGATGTGAGGAGCCCCTCTGCCCAGCCGCCCAGTCTGGGAAGTGAGGAGTGCCTCTTCCAGGCCGTCATCCTGTCTAGGAAGTGAGGAGCGTCTCTGCCTGGCTGCCCATTGTCTGGGATGTGGGGAGCACCTATGCCCGGCCGCCCCATCTGGGATGTGAGGAGCGCCTCTGCCCGGCCGCCCTGTCTGGGAGGTGAGGAGCATCTCTACCTGGCCGCCACCCCATCTGGGAGGTGAGGAGTGCCTCTGCCCGGCCGCGACCCCGTCTGGGAACTGAGGAGCGCCTCTGCCCGGCCGCCCCGTCTCGGGGGGTGGGGAGACCCTCTGCCCCGCCGCCATGTCTGGGAAGTGAGGAGCCCTTCTGCCCGGCCGCCACCCTGTCTGGGAGGTGTACCCAACAGCTCATTGAGAACAAGCCATGATGACGATGGCGGTTTTGTCAAATAGAAAAGGGGGAAATGTGGGGAAAAGAAAGAAAGATCAGATTGTTACTGTGTCTGTGTAGAAAGAAGTAGACATAGGAGACTCCATTTTGTTCTGTACTAAGAAAAATTCTTCTGCCTTGGGATGCTGTTAATCTATAACCTTACCCCCAACCCCTTGCTCTCTGAAACGTGCTGTGTCAACTCAGGGTTAAATGGATTAAGGGCGGTGCAAGATGTGCTTTGTTAAACAGATGCTTAAAGGCAGCATGCTCCTTAAGAGTCATCACCACTTCCTAATTTCAAGTACCCATGGACGCAAACACTGCGGAAGGCCGCAGGGTCCTCTGCCTAGGAAAACCAGAGACCTTTGTTCACATGTTTATCTGCTGACCTTCTCTCCACTATTGTCCTATGACCCTGCCAAATCCCCCTCTCCGAGAAAAACCCAAGAATGATCAATAAATACTAAAAAAATTAAAAAAAAAAAAAAAGAACTAGAGAAGCAAGAGCAAACACATTCAAAAGCTAGCAAAAGGCAAGAAATAACTAAGATCAGAGCAGAACTGAAGGAAATAGAGACACAAAAAACCCTTCAAAAAAATCAATGAATCCAGGAGCTGGTTTTTTGAAAAGATCAACAAAATTGATAGACCACTAGCAAGACTAATAAAGAAGAAAAGAGAGAAGAATCAAATAGACGCAACAAAAAATGATAAAGGGGATATCACCACAGATCCCACAGAAATACAAACTACCATCGGAGAATACTATAAACACCTCTACGCAAATAAACTAGAAAATCTAGAAGAAATGGATAAATTCCTCAACACATACACCCTCCCAAGACTAAACCAGGAAGAAGTTGAATCTCTGAATAGACCAATAATAGGCTCTGAAATTGAGGCAATAATTAATAGCTTACCAACCAAAAAAAGTCCAGGACCAGATGGATTCACAGCCAAATTCTACCAGAGGTACAAGGAGGAGCTGGTACCATTCCTTCTGAAACTATTCCAATCAATAGAAAAAGAGGGAATCCTTCCTAACTCATTTTATGAGGCCAGCACCATCCTGATACCAAAGCCTGACAGAGACACAACAAAAAAAGAGAATTTTAGACCAATATCCCTGATGAACATCGATGCAAAAATCCTCAATAAAATACTGGCAAATGGAATCCAGCAGCACATCAAAAAGCTTATCCACCATAGTCAAGTGGGCTTTATCCCTGGGATGCAAGGCTGGTTCAACATACACAAATCAATAAATGTAATCCGGCATATAAACAGAACCAAAGACAAAAACCATATAATTATCTCAATAGATGCAGAAAAGGCCTTTGACAAAATTCAACAACCCTTCATGCTAAAATCGCTCAATAAATTAGGTATTGATGGGACATATCTCAAAATAATAAGAGCTATTTATGACAAACCCACAGCCAATATCATACTGAATGGGCAAAAACTGGAAGCATTCCCTTTGAAACCTGGCACAAGACAGGGATGCCCTCTCTCACCACTCCTATTCAACATAGTATTGGAAGTTCTGGCCAGGGCAATCAGGCAGGAGAAGGAAATAAAGGGTATTCAATTAGGAAAAGAGGAAGTCAAATTGTCCCTGTTTGCAGATGACATGATTGTATATCTAGAAAACCCCATTGTCTCAGCCCAAAATCTCCTTAAGCTGATAGGCAACTTCAGCAAAGTCTCAGGATACAAAATCAATGTGCAAAAATCACAAGCATTCTTATACACCAATAACAGACAAACAGAGAGCCAAATCATGAGTGAACTCCCATTCACAATTGCTTCAAAGAGATAAAAAACCCAGGAATCCCACTTACAAGGAACGTGAAGGACCTCTTCAAGGAGAACTACCAACCACTGCTCAATGAAATAAAAGAGGATACAAACAAATGGAAGAACGTTCCATGCTCATGGGTAGGAAGAATCAATATCGTGAAAATGGCCATACTACCCAAGGTAATTTATAGATTCAATGCCATCCCCATCAAGCTACCACTGACTTTCTTCACAGAATTGGAAAAATCTACTTTAAAGTTCATATGGAACCAAAAAAGAGCCCGCATTGCCAAGTCAATCCTAAGCCAAAAGAACAAAGCTGAAGGCATCATGCTACCTGACTTCAAACTATACTACAAGGCTACAGTAACCAAAACAGCATGGTACTGGTACCAAAACAGATACATAGAACAATGGAACAGAACAGAGCCCTCAGAAATAATGCCACATATCAACAACCATCTGATCTTTGACAAACCTGACAAAAACAAGAAATGGGGAAAGGATTCCCTATTTAATAAATGGTGCTGGGAAAACTGGCTAGCCATATGTAGAAAGCTGAAACTGGATTCCTTCCTTACACCTTATACAAAAATTAATTCAAGATGGATTAAAGACTTACATGTTAGACCTAAAACCATAAAAACCCTAGAAGAAAACCTAGGCAATACCATTCAGGACATAGGCATGGGCAAGGACTTCATGTCTAAAACACCAAAAGCAATGGCAACAAAAGCTAAAATTGACAAATGGGATCTAATTAAACTAAAGAGCTTCTGCACAGCAAAAGAAACTACCATCAGAGTGAACAGAATGAACAGAGTGAATCAGAGTGAACAGAGTGAACAGGCGACCTACAGAATGGGAGAAAATTTTTGCAATCTACTCATCTGACAAAGGGCTAATATCCAGAATCTACAATGAACTCAAACAAATTTACAAGAAAAAAACCAAACAACCCCATCAACAAGTGGGCAAAGGATATGAACAGACACTTCTCAAAAGAAGACATTTATGCAGCCAAAAGACACGTGAAAAAATGCTCATCATCACTGGCCATCAGAGAAATGCAAATCAAAACCACAATGAGATACCATCTCACACCAGTTAGAATGGCGATCATTAAAAAGTCAGGAAACAACAGGTGCTGGAGAGGATGTGGAGAAATAGGAACACTTTTACACTGTTGGTGGAACTGTAAACTAGTTCAACCATTGTGGAAGACAGTGTGGTGATTCCTCAAGGTTCTAGAACTAGAAATACCATTTGACCCAGCCATCCCATTACTGGGTATATACCCAAAGGATAATAAATCATGCTGCTATAAAGGCACATGCACACGTATGTTTATTGTGGCACTATTCACAATAGCAAAGACTTAGAACCAACCCAAATGTCCAACAATGATAGACTGGATTAAGAAAATGTGGCACATATACACCATGGAATACTATGCAGCCATAAAAAATGATGAGTTCATGTCCTTTGTAGGGACATGGATGAAGCTGGAAACCATCATTCTCAGCAAACTATCGCAAGGACAAAAAACCAAACACCGCATGTTCTCACTCATAGGTGGGAGTTGAACAATGAGAACACATGGACACAGGAAGGGGAACACCATACACTGGGGCCTGTTATGGGGTGGGGGGAGTGGGGAGGGATAGCATTAGGAGATATACCTAATGTTAAATGACGAGTTACTGGGTGTAGCACACCAACATGGCACATGTATACATATGTAACTAACCTGCACGTTGTGCAGATGTACCCTTAAAGTATAATAAAATAAAAATAAAAATAAAAATAAATAAATAAAATAAAAAATCCTAATAAAAGAGGCAATTTTGGTAAAAATATAATTACTTGACGTTTTTCTTAAGGGCTTTTTCCAGCTTCTTCACCTGCTGTTTATAAAGTCTTAATTCATGCTGCGTAGGCCTGTGGAAAATAAATAATGATAAATTAATTCAATTTACTGAATAAAAGCATAAAGGTACTTAAATATTAACGACATACAAAACTTTGTTACTTGTCACAAATATACTTATTAAGCTTCTGAAAATATTTCATGACTGCTAATTTGGAGTTTACTGGCCATTTAGATTTCTTCTTCTCTGTAATCCCTTATTCAAAGCCTTTTAGTCGTTTTTTGCTGCTAATCTGTTACTTGTTTTTATAGTGAAATATTTCAAGTATACAGACAAAAACAGAGAACATTATAACAAATCCTGGTGTATCCACCACCTAGCTTTATCAAATTTGAATATTAACAGATTTGATTCAAATCTTAACTCAAACTTTATACATATACTTAAAATTCCCTCATTAATGTCATTCTTCTCCTTCCCATACCATAGAGAACCACTATCCTCAATTCATTGTTCATTATTCCCATGTATGTTTTTAAATTTTTACTACATATTTATATAATCATAAATTTACATATTATTGTGTTCAAGGTTTTCACATTTTATATAAATGGCTTATGCTAGGTATCAGGTCCTTCTCTCCATTAAGGTATAAGTTTTTTCTTGTTGTTTTTTGTTTTTTTTGAGAAAGGGTCTCACACTGTCACCTAGGCTGGAGTGCAGTGGCACAAGTTCAGCTTACTGCAACCTCCACCTCCCAGGTTCAAGCTATTCTCTCACCTTGGCCTCTTGAATAGCTGGGACTACCGATGCGTACCACCACACCGGGCTGATTTTTGTATTTTTTTTGGTAAAGACAGGGTTTCACCAAGTTGGCCAGGCTGGTTCTCAAACTCTTGACCTCAGGAGGCCTGCTTCGGCCTCCTAAAGTGCTGGGATTACAGGTGTGAGCCACCACGCCCAGCCATTAAATATAAGCTTATTGAGAACAGGAAATTTGTTTTGGTCCCTTGTTCACCCCAGAGTTTGGGACAGTGTCTAACTTACTATAGGTATTCAAATATTTGTTGAATGAAAAAAGGCTCAACAATGTTCATTCTTTATTACTGTCAACATAGAGAGTGTCATCCTTTTGTAGCTATGCTGGATATATCTTTCTGTTGTGTGCCATTATAAATTTTACTTTTCTTCTCATCCCACAGCACAGGAATAAGAATAACAAGGCATTCCAGTATAATTTGAGAATGAGAACTCCGCTGGCAAAAGACTGAATCTAATATAGTAAATATTAATGTATTATACATTTCAAAATCAATAAGAGTAAATTTCAAATGTTTTCAACCACAAAAGGTATTAGATGATGGATATGTTAATTAGCTTGATTTAATTATTCTGCATTATAATCATGAATCGTAACATCACTTTGTGCCTCATAAATATATACAGCTGTAATTTGTCAATTAGCAATTAAAATAAAAATTTAAGATAATAATCATGCTGAGTGAAAGACGATAGACAAAAAAAGAGTAAATATTGTATAGCTCCACTTATAAGAAGTCTAGGAAATATAAACTAACGTATAATGATTGAAAGCAAATCAGTGGTTGTCTCAGGGAAAGGCAAAGAGGGGCAGGAGGGATTACAAAAGGGGCAAGAGATAACTTTTAGAGTTTTTTGTTTTGTTTTGTTTTAAGAGACAGAGTCTCTGTTGCCCAGGTTGGAGTGTGGTGGTGTGATCACAGCTCACTGCAGCCTTGACCTCCTGGGCTCAAGTGATCTCACCTCAGCCTCCTTAGTAGCTGGGACTGCAGGAGTACGCTACCATGCCTGGCTAATTTTTTTTTTTTTTTAATATGGAACGCTTCATGAATTTGCGTGTCATCCTTGCGCAGGCCTGGCTAATTTTTAAAATTATTTGTAGGCCGGGCACGGTGGCTCACGCTTGTAATTAACACTTTGGGAGGCCGAGGCGGGCGGATCACGAGGTCAGGAGATCGAGACCATCCTGGCTAACATGGTGAAACCCCATCTCTACTAAAAATACAAAAAATTAGCCGGGCGTGGTGATGGGCGCCTGTAGTCCCAGCTACTCGGGAGGCTGAGGCAGAAGAAATCACTTGAGCCCGGGAGGCAGAGGCTGCAGTGACCCAACATCGTGCCACAGCACTCCAGCCTGGGCGACAGAGCAAGACTCCGTCTCAAAAAAAAAAAAAAAAAAATCTCAATGGGCTAAAATTATTTGTAGAGATGAGGTCTCACATGTTGCTCAGGCTGGTCTCGAACTCCTGGCCTCAAACAATCCTCCTACCTGGGCTTCCCAAAGTGCTGGTATTATAGGTATGAGCCACTGCACCTAGCCTCCAAGGCGATTATCTTGACTGTGATTGTTAGGGTGATTATCTGGATTATAACTGTTTCATAGGTGTATACACATATCAAAATTCAATAAATTGTGTACCTTACATATATGCAGTGTACTGTACATCAATTGTAACTCAATAAAGCTATTTTTTAAAAGCAAAAAAAAAAAAAAGACTGAATCTATTTGAAGTTTTTTTTTTTTTTTTTGACACAGGGTCTCGCTCTGTCACACAGGCTGGAGTACAGTGACACAATCATGGCTCACTGCAGCCCTGACTTCCTGGGGTCAAGTGATCCTTCCACCTCAGTCTTCGGAGTAGCTGGGACTACAGCCACAGACCACCACACCCAGCTAATTTTTATATTTTTTGTAGAGAAGGGGTTTTGCCATGTTGCCCATGCTGGTCTCGAATTCCTGCCTCAAGCAATCCACCTGCCTCAGCCTCCTGAAGTGCTGAGATTACAGGTGAAAGCCACTATGCCCAGCTTATTTGAAGTTCTTAGCTAGTTTTGTCTTCTTCACTGTGGACTCCTATTTTCTCATTTCCCTTGCCTACCCATGTGCTCTTGTTCCTTTCATAAGTTATCACGGGAAAGAACTGACTAAAGTGAGTATAAGAATATTATGTACTCATGATTAGCTTTAGAGCAAAGGAGCTAGAATGGTGCATTTAATATTCCAAATTCCAGTATGTTTACTTTTCAAAGGATGAAGAAAAATTGGCCGGATGCAGTGGCTCATGCCTGTAATTCCAGTACTTTGGGAATTCTGGCACTGGGCCTAGGAGTTCAAGACCAGCCTAGGCAACACAAGGAGACCCCATCTCTACCAAACAAAAAATTAAAAAATTAGAGGCTGAGGATGGTGGCTCATACCTGTAATCCCAGCACTTTGGGGAGGCCAAGGAGAAAGGATCACTTGAGGTCAGAAGTCTGAGACCAGCCTGACAAACATGGCAAAACCTCATCCTACTAAAAATACACAAAATAGCCAGCCGTCGTGGTGTGCACCTGTAATCCCAGCTACTCGGGAGGCTGAGGCAGAAGAATCGCTTGAACCTGGGAGACAGAGGTTGCAGTGAGCTGAGATCGCGCCACTGCACTCCAGCCTGGGTGACAGAGTAAGACTCTGTCTCAGTTAAAAATAAATAATTTTTAAAATTAGCTGGGTGTGGTGGCTTGCACCTATAGCCCCAGCTACTTAAGAGGCTGAAGTGGAAAGATTGCTTGAGCCCTGGAGGTCAAGGCTGCGGTGAGACGTGATCACACCACTGCACTTGGCCTGAGTGACAGAGTGAGACCCTGTCTCAGGAAAAAAAAAAAAAAAATTAAGTTTCTCTCACCTGGTTTCCAAATCTTTTTGGAGGTTCAGCTTTTCACTTGAAAGTGCATCAATCTTAGATTTTGATTCCTTGAGTTGATTCTGTAATGACTGCAACACATTTCATAGAAAAATAATTAACTTTCTTAGATTACTTAGTTTATTAAAAAGTATTTATTAGTTATGCAGTCCCCATACCATTAAAAGGCCTTTATAAGTTGGTGAGGCATCCAGATTTCTGTAGTCGTTTTCTTCTTCTGACTGACTTTCATCTTCTTTATATTGCCTATGAAAATATGTATGCAGTATACTTATGAAAAATCTATCTTCAAAGAAAAAAACTAATTAAACCAATGTAATGAGGGTTTAATAATCTAAACATGAATTAAAATTAATCCACATTTCCTACTTGTTCTCATAGAGAATGGTATTAGAACACTACTACTATCTAATATTATAGTACATACAGTATCCATTTACTCTCTTTTTACTTAGAATATATGATCCATGAGGACCAGAACTTTGTCTTATTCACCACTGTATCTCACTGCCTAGAAAAAGTATGGAATATAAGAGGAGGTGAAAAAGCACTGCTGAATAAACAAACGAAACATAGGTGGAACATCCATGTTCTTTTAAAAAATGCATTCTCCACATACTATTTTTTCCTTCTAGTACATTTAGGTCACCAAAAAACCTATATGAAGAAAATGTAGATCATAAGTGGAAAAAGCAACAGATTTAATAGTCTTGGTTCAAGCCTTGATAACACCACTAACTAGTTGTATTATTTGAATAAGTCAATCTCTCAGAATTTATTTTCTCATCTGTAAAATAGTATCTGTCACATCTACTTTACAGGACTGGTGTAAAAAGCAAATGAAAGATACTGAAGGACTCTGTGAAATGCAAAGTGCTAGCAAATAAGTATGATTATTTTTAGCAATCTTGATTAACTATCACTGTGATGTCCTATATGGTAACCAATAGCTACATGAGCTAGTGGTTACCGCTTAACACTTGAAATACGGGTAATGCCACCAAGGAACTAAACTTTTAATTTCATTAAATCTTAAATTTAAAAATTGAAGTAGTATAAAATACTTTTCTGTTAAACACAACTTTATTGTTTAGGACTACATTTCACTTTAACTATTGTATCACATAAAGTATTACTATTGTAGCCTAGTGTGCACTGGGTACATGCATGATTTCTAGTATTACACATAAACATATCACCAGTCTAGTAAGTATCAATGGATTGATTCAGTTCAAATGATTTATTCCCAATGTGTTTATTTTACACATGTGCATATAGTCTGATGATAAAAACAACAACAACAACAAAAAACTTCGGACAACACTGGCCTTAAAAAAATGGACAAGCAGAGAAGCTTTTGCCACTGCGAGAGGCCCATGTCCCACCTGTCTTCTTCCTTTGGTCTTGCTGCTTCAGTTCTACAGGGTCACAGCTCTTCTCCTCTGCTTCCTGTTTATCCTACTTAGGCCTCCAAATCTTGGCCTGGCTTCCCCCGTCTTCTCTTTCATCTTCTTTACTAATGTAATACTTGTCAATGAATTGTTACATCCTCCTGTTACAGTACTCCTACTTCTTTAGATGATACCTATATCCTATTTGTAGATCTCAAAATCTATCCTGAAATTGCCAGAATCTCACTTTCAAGTTAGTACTTACTCTTAGAAAGGAGACTGAGTTTATAATATAAACTCCACTCAGTCAATGAATCCCGAAAAACTCCCTCCTTAGGAGAGAGACTCTTTTTATTGCTGCAAATTTTCTCATTTGTAGAATATTATTTATTAATGTATCTCCTATTTTCTTCCTATCCTCCACTTCCCTCAATAAGACATCCAATCCAAATATCTGACCCAAGGATAATTTGTATAGGCCAAAATACTTTACTTCAGCTAGACAATTGATGAAAAGCTTTTTAAGTTAAAAAGTGATTCTTTTCCAAGTCACTCATTCCTCAGCCCCAGATTTTCATTACAAATTCATGACAACTAAATTCAATACCACCACTCCAATGGCCTCAATCCTTTTTATCATCTTTAGTCAGAGAACCCCGTTTGCAGAACTCTACAAGTACCTCTCACATCATATTCTACACAAAAGATTTCCTGATGGATATGTTATGTTAAATCTTTTCTACTCTTACTAAAAACCCCAAATCCCCTCTTCATCATCTAGATCAGGGGTCAGCAAACTGCTGTCTGCAGGCTATATTCAGCAGGCTGTTGGTTTTGTAACTATTTTTATTGGAACACACCTGTGCCAATTCATTTACATATTATCTGTGGCTGATTTTGTGCTACAACAGCCGAGTTGAGTAGTTGTCCTATCTTTGTAGAATCTCCACCATCTAAACGACAGTTTCATTTGGAAGTCAGAAGGTCCCTGAAGCTACTTGATAAAATGCTGCTTTCTGAAAAGAACATAAAGCAAGAAGTTGCTTTTTAATTAGTTGCTCTCTTCTTCCCTTCCTTCCTTCTTCTTTTCCTTTTTTTTTTTTTTTTTGGAGTCCCCACAGTACTACAGATAATCAGCAACCAGCAACCCACAGAGCTCTGCCATTATTCTCTCCAAGATTTTGGAAAGTCACTATTCTTGGGGCAAGAATACTAGAGCATACGCTTCATAAAAGTGAAGAATTTATCTGCTTTATTATGGGATCCTAATTACTTAGAACATGGTACAAAATAGGTGCTCAAATAAATATTTGTTAAAAGAACTGTTCCATCTATAAATAATAAAAAGATTAGCTACTGTTTTAGTGACCTTACATTAAAGCATTTTAGATTATATCTTAGATATCCTTCAGCTATTTTAGTTTAGCCAAAGACCATTTATCTCTATGCTTATTTAATCAGGTGATAAGTGTGTTTTAATCTATAAGCTTGATTTTTCACTGACATTTTATCTTTATCTCACATAAATCTGCATACTAATTAGGTTACACTTTGATAGGCAGCCAATCTAATTCTATGCACTTTGCGGATATACTTGGTAACTACCCAGGGGCTAGATCATATCAGTAGAAAAAATTATAATACTTCAAGAAAATAAAGGGAAATACCATTTCTGCTATGACCAATACTTTGGTGATAATTAAGTATACATAATTTAACATAAATACAACAATACATCTTGACTTAAGTTGTAAAATACAGTCTTCAAGTTCTTTATAAAAAAGAACTTCACAGTGACATATTAGGTGGATTTCCATAGTATATTAAAGTTTCAAAAGCTACAGAAACTTCTGGTGTGAATACTGGATTAAAACCTTTAAAAACTGTAATACAGGATTACTCGTACCTTTGTGTATGAATTTTTCTAATTTTAGATTCATAGTAATCAATTAGACAAAGCAACCTAGAAAACAGAATATTGAATTATTTTCAAAATGCGGTATGGTATTACAGCATCTACTAGTTTCACCACATAATTTCAAATTACAGTGTAAAAGTAAGTACAGATTATCTGGCAGGCTTTAAAAAATTTAAGTGATTCTTACCAAAAAGCAAATACTATACTAAGTCATATGTTATATTAATTTCAAAGTATAGATTTAAAAATAACTATAAACATTATATCTCAACATATTAAATGCATATCCTCCTTGTCCCAACAATTCTACCTCTAGCAATATCTCCCACAGAAATAAGTCAAAGGATGCAACTCAATATGAACAAAGTTGTTCACTGCACCATTATTTAAGAGTGAAAAGCCAGAAATAATTTAACTCTCCATCAGGAGAAAGGTTAAATAAATAATGGCACATCCATACTACAGAAAATAATGGGCTGGGTGCAGTGGCTCAAGCCTGTAATCCCAGCACTTTGGGAGGCCAAGGCAGGCGGATCACAAGGTCAGCAGTTCGAGACTATCCTGGCCAACATGGTGAAACCCCATCTCTACTAAAAATACAAAAAATTAGCTGGGCGTCGTGGCGAGTGCCTGTAGTCCCAGCTACTCGGGAGGCTGAGGCAGGAGAATCACTTGAACCCGGGAGGCGGAGCTTGCAGTGAGTCAAGAGCGCACCACTGCACTACAGCCTGGTGACAGAGCAAGACTCCATCTCAAAAAGAAAAAAAAAAAAGAAAGAAAAAGAAAATAATGGAGAAGTAGAAAAAATAATGTAACTTTGTATGTCCTTAACAAGGAATGATGATGGAAAAAATTAATGTTGCATAATCAAATGTATATTTTTTACTTTTGTCTAAAAAGAAAAGAAAAAAGTTAGATGTGAATATGTATATATACTGAAAAAGAACTCTGTGGGTTCTTAACCAGAGAATAATATTGTAAGCTAGCGGGTGTATGAAGGGGCAATGTTGCCATATTGACTAGTTGGAGAGGGGGCAGAATGCTAAAAATTCATCGGTGAACAACACAACAATACACAAAGAAGAACTGTCTCACTCAAAATGCCAACAGCACTCATTTTGAGAAACAGTAGGAAGGACACACACCAAATTGTTAGGAGAGGAGGTTATTTCTGGGATGTGGGGATTAGGAAAGCAAGCAGATTTGTTACATTTTACCATATACACTTTCATATTGTTTGAATTTTTATTTTTTGTTTTTTTTTGTTTGTTTGTTTTTTGAGATGGAGTCATGCTGTCGCCCAGGCTGGAGTGCAGTGGCGTCATCCTGGCTCACTGTAAGCTCCACCTTCCAGGTTCACCCCATTCTCCTGCCTCAGCCTCCCGAGTAGCTGGGACTACAGGCGCCTGCCACCACGCCCAGCTAATTTTTTGTATTTTTAGTAGAGACGGGGTTTCACCGTGTTAGCCAGGATGGTCTCGATCTCCTGACCTCGTGATCCGCCCGCCTCGGCCTCCCAAAGTGCTGGGATTACAGGCGTAAGCCACTGCGCCCGGCCTGAATTTTTATAAACATTTATTGCTTTTGTGATTTAAAAAATGAGAGAAAAACAAAATAATACTATGCTTTCATGTGTTATTCTTTTTAAACGAACAATATACTGTTTCCCTCCTATCTTGGGAAAATATTACCAACCCATCCCCCTCTTCAGAACTAATTCAGCCAATTGTGCTCTTAATGTCACAACTTTCTAGATTACTCTTTTTCTCTTCAACCCTTCCCCAATTACTCTTTTTCTCTTCAAGCCTTCCGCATCTTAACATATACCAGCTTTCACATTATCCTGAAAATATGCTTTAATCTTTATATCCTGCACAAATCCTCTTGACCTACTTCCCCCTTATGCTATGATTCTATTTCTAATATTTTCCTTCATAAAAAAACTTCATTCATTCTGAGTGATTGTAACCAATTATCTTCAATAAAGTTTTAGGGAGGACTTATTACATGTTAAGTACTGGGAATTCTGAGCAAATAAAATAGTGGGAAAGTAAACAAGTTAACCAATGAGGAAGCATGCAACACTGCCGATCACCCTCTCCTTGAAACACTTTTGTTCCTTGGTTATCATGATACCCAAACACAATTCCTCTTCTGCCTCTTCTTTCTCTATATGGACTTTGGAAGTTCTCTGGAGTTTGGCCCTTTTAACAACAGGCCTGATATGTCTACTTGGATGACTGAAGGTGCCTAAGTATATATCCATAAATGAATTCATCGGTTTCTTCCCCGTTCCTTCAAATGTAGTTTAAAAACTGGCCATCTTTGACTCCTCCACTCCTTTCAACATCTATAGCCAATTCGTCTGGACAACTCCTATCCATCTTTGCAGTGTCTCTCCCTTTTTTTTGGTCCTAGTTAAGACCTTCATTAGCCCTCTACTACTACAACCGATTCCTAACTTGTCTTTCTGTCTCTGGGTTTAATCTCCTTGCTCAGGAATCTTTGGGTATGTTCCCTGCCACACAGAAAGTAGAACTCAAACTCTTCGGCCAATTTAAGTCTCTCAAAGTTACAGCACACTTTCCATATTGTCATATTGTCTCTTAAGACTCTTCCCAGAATCTCATGTATCCTATGTTCCAGACCTCTTGGACTCTTGACGTCCCAAACACATTCACTTTTCCTGTTATCATATTTCTCTAATTGAAACATCCTTTCTCTCACCTCTTCCTATTAATATTCTATAGTTCCTAGTAGTCCAGCTAAAAAGATAACTCATTCATGAAGCCTATGTAGTCATTCTTACCTTTCACTAATTTCTCCCTATGTCACACCCACTTAGTATCCTATCTGCCCCACCTTATAGTACATACCACTATCTGCTTTATATTTTACTTACATGCATATATGTCTATCTACCCAACTAGACTACCAGGTCACTGAATGCAGGAATCATGGCTTTCCTCATCTGTGTGTGCCCTATTACTTAGCCCAGTACCCGTGTAACTTTTAATAATATCTGTAGTGGCTACAACTCATGTATTTCCAATAGGTTTAATTCACAATTTTTCATTTCAGTGTCTCAAACTGAAAGTTTGCATTGACAAAAATCAAACAGTGGAAAATCTCTGGCCCACTGGACAAATTCATACCTGAATTAGCCTGACTTCATCTGGTACATTGCAAGTTCTCTCAGTGCTTCTCTCACCCTCTTACCCAGTCATCTTAACTGTTTTTTGTTTTTTCATTCTTCCCTTCCAATTTCTCTCTTCTTCTTCCCACTGTAGTTCTCTCTCCCTCACCTCTCTCCTTTTTGTTCTTCCTTACCTCTCCTATTTTTCTTACCTAGCCTCCCTTTTCTATTTATTCACACCTCTCACTAACATTTTTATGTTTTTTTATGTGTTTGTCGTTACTTTTCCTTCAAGAGGATGAAAATTATATATGTGTATATATGTGCATTATCTCTCAAATAATTATCAAAAAATCTATAGTTTTAACTTGTTTTTACTTTATATCTGACCTCATTTATTTTTATTGTAAAATAGAAACATCTAATTATTCAAGATTTCCAGTCCTACTAGGTAAACATATAATACCGCTTAAAATGCAATCAGTTTAAACTGTTAAGAGAAAAAAAGAAGGTGCTAGTACATAAGAGAGAATATGTATATAATATCCATACTACTTATATTGCTAAAAATAACTCTAAACATTTAAAATCAATTACCTATAGGGGAGGTAAGGATAGGATAGAATAAAGGGGACAGGAATGAAAACACAACTTCTCTGAATATAAATAATGAATAGTTTTGATTTTGCAATTACATAAATGTTTACACATTCAAAAGTAAAAATTTAAAAAGCAATCCCTGAAAATTGAAAAGAAATTGAAACAAACCTAACTGCATTATAATTTGGTGACGCAAACACACAGAGAAACAAGTATTTCAAGATATTTTAGAAATATACATCTTGACTGCATACATAGTGGAATATATTAATATCAAAGAAAGCTGCCCAGAAATTTAAATCTCATTCAGTAGGCTTATTGTTAGTAATTCTAGTTTTATTATTTTGAAACTATTTTTATGTATTATAGGATATAGCAAATAATTATAATATTGTTCTTAAGAATGATTTTCAGTAGGAAAGACAACAGTTACAAATGTAAAATCAGAATTTAAATAAAAATACTATCTTAACTTCAGCTAGGTTAAAAAAAAAAATCAATGATGATTTTTTTTTCCCTCCAAAATATATAGTCCCTGGTTCTTTCCACTAAAAACTCCTAAAATCAATAACATAATAAAACTAAGCAACCCCAAAACCCATACAGCGATCTCTCAATAGTATTCTTCACTAAAAGGATCAGTTATTTTGAGAAATGTCTGATTAATTATGAATTTATTTAAAAGTTTAGTGTTATTTTTAGTAAATGTTCAATTCCATTCTTCAAAGGACCTCTAGAACAAAAAAAAAAAAAAAAAAGAACAGGATGAGCAGGGAAAAACAATGCAGAAGAGGAGGAGAGAGAGGCTTTTCTAGTTTATAAGAGTTATAACCACCCCCAAGATAATATCAGGTAAAACAAACAAACAAACACAACAATGAATCTAGCTACATATCAATTTATGTAGCAAAATTACTGTCTATCCAAGACGGTATGAGGAACTCTTTTGCACAGATAGGCAAACACTCTGTTTTGAGTGACAATGCGATCTTCTTCCTCCTTTTTTAATCTACAGACTTCCATTTGCAAAGAAGCAATAGTTTCTTCTTGCTCCGTTCGTTTTTTCTTATAATGCTGGCACTTCACCTATAAGATATTTTTTAAAAACATGATTATGATATGTACATCTAGGACATGCTATCCTAACAGTATTGTACACAAAGGCATCTTCATAGTTTCTACTGAGCTGTTTCATTCAAGAACTTCAGTATTGAGGCTGTTTTTAAATGAGTATAAGCTCCAGGAACATTAATATATCATAAACCTGAAAAAATATAAGTCAAATAGCTATAAAATGGGGAAACTACAGTTCATAATTGCGTGCATTCAAGACATTTCTTACCAAGTAAAGGAACTCAAGAATTTCCATAAAACTGGTATAATTTTATGTTTAAGTTTACATTAAAACAATAATCAGGAAAGAATCAATATTAATTGGGGATTGCAAATGGTGTAGTCAACTTAGGCATTCATGCAATGTGGGTGACTGCAAACTCACAGTAAGTCCATAACCAGGAAATTATCATCAAGAAATAATCAGGGAGAAAGACATCACCAAAATGGCAAAGTTGAAGCAATCTGGCTTCACTTCCCCCAACAGAAAACCAAAAACCAATATCCAATGCCAAGATTATTACCAGCAATATCCCAGAACTCAAATCTGAGGATGGGACAATCCCCGGGACCACAAAGAAGTGAAAAAATTTCAAGCAGATGGTAAGAGAATCGGACTTCTGTAACTGTGATGCCTCTCCCCTAATCTGCAAGGAATTGCCTGTGGAAAATTTTCCCCAGACTCAGTTTCTACACTGGAAAAAGTGAGATCAAGACCAACTTCCCCACTATCTTGGGTTCCTTGCAGGAGAACTGTTCCTGCCTCAACCCACAGAAAGCATCACAAGTGTCTATAGCAAGAAAAACTGAGAGCAACCAAAGACAAAGATGGAAGGTGGGAATAGCAGCAACCCCAGCCTGCAAAATCTGCTTGGTATCTCAGCCAAAGAAGATGCTAAATCAGAGTGGCTGTTCAGCAGCACCACACTGTAGGAGGTACACTCTACAGGTTCGCTGGGTATGAAACCCTAGCCAGCTTTTCCACACAGCTGGGGTATCCCATTTGGGATCTCCCCAACCTAGTACCATCAGCACTCTGAATGCTTGCCAGAGCTGTAGCAAACCTGGACATGAGCCACCATCTAGTACCAAGAAGGAAGCAGTGACCTAGCATAAAGGAAATTCAACAGGTGAATTGTAAAGAACCTCTATGTAAACATATCCAAGAAAAACCCAAACAAGCCAGACAGTGAAAACTGAAATAACTAATCCTTCAATGAGAAGACATAGATATATGTCCACAAGAAACAACAGCTAACAAAGAACCATGACCCCCACAGATGGAAAAAGGAGCCAGTGACTGACCCTAACGAGACAGTGTGGTGAGATTCTTCAGATCAAGAATCCTTATTCTTTTTCTTTTTTTTTAAGTCATCTGGTTCTGGGCCTTTATTTGTTCAGAGGTTTTGATTATTGACATAATCCATTGTTACACATCTACTAAAGTTTTTTACTTCTTCTTGAGCCAGTTTTGGCAATTTCTGTGTTGCTAGAAATATGTCCATTTCATCTAGGTTAGCTAATCTGTTGTCATATAATTGTTCAAAGTATAGTCTTATAATCATTGCTTTAATGGAGGGGTGGAGGTTTAGGGTTTACTTCCTTACAACTTTCAGTGATGTTAAATCTCTTTTATCATTGTTTTCGTTTGTTTGTTTGAGACAGAGTCTCACTGTCGCCCAGGCTGGAGTACAGTGGCATGATCTCAGCTTACTGCAACTTCCACGTCCTGGGTTCAAGTGATTCTCCTGCCTCACCCGAGTTGCTAGGATTACCATCACACCTGGATAGTTGCGTACCATCACACCTGGATAGTTTTTGTATTTTTAGTAGAGACAAGGTTTCACCATGTTGGGCAGGCTGGTCTGACCTCAAGTGATCCTCCTGCCTTGGCCTCCGAAAGTGCTGGGATTACAGGTGTGAGCCACCATGCCCAGCCCTTTTTATCATTGTTAAAGAATTTTCATGTTATATCTCTATATTCCTTAATCATTGCTTCTTCCTAATCCCTGTCTGCCCAGGATTCAAAAACTCAGTGAACTCCAATATAACACAGGGAATCAATTCAGAAATCTATCAGTGAAATTTTAAAAAGGTATTGAAATAATAACTTTTAAAAAAACAAACAGAAATCCTGGGACTGAGAAATACATTCCCTGAACTGAAAAATGCATTAGAGGCTTTTAATAGCAGACTGGATCAAGCAGAGGAAAGAATCAGTGAGCCTGAAGACAGGCTACTTGAATATAAACAGAGAAGAAAAAAGAAAAAAGAATACCTACAAAATATAGAAAATTACCTCAAAAGAGCAAATCTAAGAATCATTGGCCTTCAAGAAGGAGTTGAGAAAGAGCAAGGGGTAGAAAACTTATTCAAAGAAATAGTAACAGAAAAGTATCCAAATTTACACAAAGATATAAACATCCATGAACAGGAAGGTCAGAGATCACCAAACAGATTCAATTCAAATAAGCCTACCCCAAGGCATATAATAAATTCCCACCTAGGCAATACCATACTGGACATAGGAATGAGTAAAGATTTCATGACAAAGACACCAAAAGCAATTGCAACAGAAGCAAAAATTGACAAATGAGATCTAATTAAACTTAAGAGCTTCTGCATAGCAAAAGTAACAAAGTAAATAGAAAACCTACAGAATGGGAGGAGACATCTGAAACTATGCATCCGACAAAGGTCTAACGGCCAGCATCTATAAGGAACTAAATTTAGAAGAGAAAAACAAATTCATTAAGAAGTCGGCAAAGGACAAGAATAGACACTTTTCAAAAGAAGATTATACATGCAGCCAACAAGCATATTAAAAAAAAAAGCTTAGGCCAGGCGCGGTGGCTCATGCCTGTAATCCCAACACTTTGGGAGGCTGAGGCAAGTGGATCACCTGAGGCCAGGAGTTCGAGACCAGCCCGGCCAACATGGTGAAACCCACTCTCTACTAAAAGTAAATTATTCAGATGTGGTGGCGCATGCCTGTAGTCCCAGCTACTCAGGAGGCTGAAGGAGGGGAATCGCTTGAACCTGGAGGTTGCAGTGAGCCGAGACCACACCACTGCACTCCAGCCTGGGCAACAGAGCAAGACTATGTAAAAAAAAAAAAAAAAAAGCTCAATATCACTGATCATTAGAGAAATGCAAATCAAAACCACAATGAGATACCATCTCACACCAGTCAGAAAGCTATTATTAAAAAGTCAAAAAATAAGGCAAGGCAAGGTTGCAGAGGAAAGGGAACACTTATACACTGTTGATGGGAATGTAAATTATTTTAACCATTGTGGAAAGCAGTATGGCAATTCCTCAAAGAGCTAAAAGCAGAACTACCATTTGACCCAGCAATCTCATTATTGGGTATATACCCAGAGGAATACAAATCATTCTACCATAAAGAAACATGCATGAATGTTCACTGCAGCACTATTCACAACAGCAAAAACATGGAATCAACTGAAATACTCATCAATGGTAGACTGGATAAAGAAAATGTGGTACATATACACCATAGAATACTACATAGCCATAAAAAAGAACAAGATCATGTCTTTTGCGAGAACATGGATGGAGCTGAACGGCATTATCCTTAGCAAACTAATGCAGAACAGAAAACCAAATACTACTTGTTCTCACTTATAAGTGGGAGCTAAATGATGAGAACTTATGAACACAAAGAAGGTAACAACAGACACTGGGGTGGAGGGTGGGAGAAGGAAGAGAAGGAGAAAAGATAACTATTGGGTACTGGGCTTAATGCCTGGGTGATGAAATAATCTGTATAACAAACCCCAATGAAACAAGTTTACCTACGTAACAAACCTTCACATTTACCCAAATCTAAAAGTTTAATAAATAAGTACATTCTCAAAGTCAAGCACAAAGAGAAGATCCTAAAAGCATCAAGAGAAAAGAAGAAAACAAAATATAAAGGAGCTCTGATTTATCTGGCAATAGAATCCTCAGCAGAAAGCATATTGGCCAGGAGGGAGTGAAATAACATATTCAACGTGGTGCTGAAAGAAAAAGAAAAAGAAAAAGAAAAAGAAAAAAAAAAACCTGTCAACCAAGAATATTATTCTCAGCAAAGCTATCTTTGAAATACAAAGGAGATAAAGCCTTTACCAGGACAAGCAAACACTTGAAAGGGACTCATAAGAAATGCTAAAGGGAGTTCTTCACTATGAAAGAGAAGGACACCACATGCAAAAACAAAAAAACATTTGAAGGTATAAAACCCATTGGTAAAAGTGAATATACAGACAAACGCAGAATACTCTAATAATATAATTGTGGTGTGTAATCCAGTCATATCTCTAGTATGAATACTAAAAGACAAATCTACTTAAAACAGTAGGCTAGGCACAGTGGCTCATGCCTATAATCCCAGCACTTTGGGAGGCAGAGGCAGGCAGATTGCTTGAGCTCAGGAATTTGAGACCAGCCAGGGCAATATGGCAAAGCCCCATCTCTACCAAAAATACAAAAAGTTAGCTGAGTGTCGTAGCATGCACCTATGATCCCAGCTACTTGAGAGGCTGAGGTGGGAGCATCACAAGATCCTCAGTGTGTCGCTTCACCAGCCAGAAACCTCTGTGGCCAGTGGTACCTCTGCTTGAGTTTTGCTCACACCTGCTGGGCTTATTCTGCCCACTCGGCCTGGCAGGCTGCACTCAGCTTGTGCTACCAGCCCAGACCCCATGCCTGCTAAGGGCAAGCCAGGTGCAGAGCAGTGAGGGGTGTGTGAGTTAGCAAATGTGGGGTCTGGCTATGTGCACAGCCAGGCACACTGGCTGTTGCAGTGAGGCAGGCAGCTCCAGCCACCAGCACAGGCACTGGCTCCATGTGAGACTGTGGCTGGACCAGATGTACTGCAAGCAGCTTCCGCTGTGGGCACCAATGCCTGGACAAGGGGAATGCAGGGGCGCCTGAAAGCTCAGAGATGCCAGGAACCACAGAGGCCCAAAGAGGGTGTTAGAGTGTGTCAGAGCCCTGGCTCTGGGAGCCCTGAGGTTTGGGATCCCAGAAGAGTCACAACTCTTCTCTCCTTGTCACCCGCAGCGCAGCAAGTCGGGGGATGTGTTTCAGGTGGCACATGTTTCAGCCCATTTGTGTTACAGCTGTTTCAGTCCCACCACCCTGCTCTGGCCAGTGGCTCCTGGGCTGGCCTGGCCCCACAGCTGCTTCCCATTGCATGGCGCAGCCACCAGGTGCCAGTGGAGGGTGGGAGGCCTATGATGTGACAGCACCTCTGGCTCAGAAATCCTGAGGTCTGGGCCCCTAGAAAGGTCACCACTCTTCACTCACGCAGTTTGTCTTTGTCACCACGCACAGCCCGGCGAGTCGGCCAGGAACGTGTTACAGCTCCTTTCACTCCCGCCATTCAGTGAGTCCCAAGTTCTTGTCCTGTGTCCAGGAAGAATGAGGTTACACAGACAACTGGAAGGTGAGCAAGGTGGGGAGAAGCCTTATTGAGTGACAGAACAACTCTCAGTAGAGAGGAGACCCTAAGTGGGCAGCTCCTATCCACAGTCAGGTAGTCCCAATGAGTTGATGAGTCCCTGAGTCTAGCTGAGCCTTGGGTTTTTACGGGCTCAGAAGGGAGGAAGTATGTGCTGACTGGTCCATGGACAGCCATGGGAAGGCCTGGAAAAAGCATCATCCAATTGGCCAAAAGGCATGAAGGAAGTTCTCACTCCAGGTTGCGGACTCCACCTGGCACTGGCAGCCTGGCCTCCAGGCTTCAGGCTGTCCTTGGCTTGAAGGTGAGGTTTCACTGAGGACCTGCCCCTTCTGCCTAGGAACCTGTCTACCTCTCACCACCATCAACATGCCATCTGCAGTGCCCAGGCTGTCTGCACTGCAGGACACTCACAGGCCCATGCCAAGCTGCCCTCAACCTCCCAGCCTCCCTTCTGCGCTCGTCGGCATCCAAAGTCTTGGGGGAACCAAGGCAGTAGGGGGCTGGCATGTCAGCACTGCCCCGAGTGTACACACACCTGACTGGGTCATGACAGCACCCGTGCTCAGCCACAACTTCACTCTACACCAGAGTGGGTACTGGGAGTGAAGAGAGGCCAGGCAGTGGGAGCAAGTACTTCCAAGCCTGAGGGGGCAGGGGGCTTTCCAGGCCCATAAGAGCGCAGGGATGCCCAAGTCCCAAGCTGTGGCTGGGCAGATGCAGCTGTGCCTGGGAGCACAGGGTCCCCACTGGGATCACCTGTTCCTAGCCCCTGACAGCTCCATGGAGCACGCAGCCCTGCCTGCACCTCCTCCACTGCTGGCTTCCTTACAGCAGCTGCTTCAGATTTGTTGCCACCTCTATCAGGAGGATAGCTTGAGCCTGGGAAGTGGAGGTTGCAGTGAACTGAGATTGCACCACTGCAATCCAACCTGGGTGACAGAGTGAGACCCTATCTCAAAAAAAAGAAAAAACAAAAACAAAAAGCTCCCCCTCAAAATAACTACAGCAACTTGTTAAGGTATAGATAATGTAAAAAGATGTAAACTGAGACAACAAAAAGTCATAATATGATGGAGTAAAAGTGTAGAATGTTTTAGTTTTTCCTTTGTTTGTTTCTATTATTTGTGATCAAGGCAAGATATCTATTTAAAGTAACCTGTTGTCCAGGCACAGGCTCATGCCTGTAATCTCCACACTTTCGGAGGCTAAAGCAGGAGAATTGCTTGAGGCCAGGAGTTCAAGACCAACCTGGCCGACACAGTAAAATCCCCATCTCTTTTAAAAACTCCTTAACTTAAAAAATAACTTGTTATATCTATAAAATGTTTTTTTGTAAATCTCATGGTAACTACAAAGCAAAAATAAAACAGGTACACTAAAAAAAAAGCAAAAAATTAAAACAACCAAAAAAGAAGAAAATCACTTGACCACAAAGGAAGACAGTAAAAAAGGAAGAAAACACAATGAGATATCATCTCACTCCAGTTAGAATGGCTATTACTCAAAAGACAAAAAAAAAAAAAGTACTGGTGAGGATATAGAGAAAGAGGAATCCTGGTACACTATAGGTGGGAATGAAAACTAGTACAACTACTATGGAAAACAGTATGGAGGTTCCTCAAAAAACTAAACCATATGATCCAGCAAACCCACTACAGAGTGTGTATGTATGTATGTATGTATGTATGTATGTGTGTGTGTGTGTATATATATACACACATATTATATATATAAACATATTGAAGAGGTATCTGTACTCTCTTGTTTATTGCAGCACTATTCACAACAGCCAAAATATGAATTCAACCTAGGTGTCCATCAATGGATGACTGGAAAAAGAAAATGTGGTATGTGTACACAAATGGAATATTATTCAGCCATAAAAAGGAATGAAATCCTGTCACATGCAGCTACATGGATGAAAATGGAGGTCATTACGTTAAATGAAATAAGCCAGGCCCTGAAAGACAACTATTGCACATTCTCACTTAAATGTGGAAACCAAAAAAGCAGATCTCAGAAAGAGAGAGCAAAACAGTGGTTAACAGAGGCTACAAAAAGTAGGAGGGAAGGGGGAAATGAAGAGAGGTTGATTAATGGGTACAACAATACAGATACATAGAAGGAATAAGATGTAGTATATGATAGCACAGTAGGTTGACTATATTAACAATAATCTATTATATATTTCAAAATAGCTGGAAGAGAAGAATTCTAATGTCTCCAACATAAAAAAATATAAATATTTGAGGTGATGGATATCTCATTTACCTTGATTTGATAATTACACATTATATGAATATGTCAAAATATCTCATGTAGCATGAAAATTGTTGCGGGAAGTCAGGGACCCCAAATGGTGGGACCAACTGGACCCAGGGCAGAGGAACATAAATTGTGAAGATTTCATGGACATTTATCAGTTCCCAAAATTAATACTTTTATAATTTCTTACACCTGTCTTTACTGCAATCTCTGAACATAAATTGTGAAGATTTCATGGACATTTATCAGTTCCCAAATAATACTCTTTTAATTTCTTATGCCTGTCTTTACTTTAATCTCTTAATCCTGTTATCTTTGTAAGCTGAGAATGTATGTCACCTCAGGACCACTATTGTACAAATTGATTGTAAAACATGTGTGTTTGAACAATATGAAATCAGTGCACCTTGAAAAAGAACAGAATAACAGTGATTTTCAGGGAACAAGGAAAGACAACCATAAGGTCTGACTGCCTGCAGGGTCAGGCAGAATAGAGCCATATTTTTCTTCTTTCGGAGAGCCTATAAATGGATGTACAAGTAGGAGAGATACCGCTGAATTCTTTTCCCAGCAAGGAATATTAATAATTAATACCCTGGGGAAGGAATGCATTCCTGAGGGGAGGTCTATAAACGGCCGCTCTGGGAGTGTCTGTCTTATGCGGTTGAGATAAGGACTGAAATACACCCTGGTCTCCTGCAGTACCCTCAGGCTTACTAGGATTGGGAAATTCCAGCCTGGTAAATTTGAGGTCAGATCAGTTCTCTGCTCTCAAACCCTGTTTTCTGTTGTTTAAGATGTTTATCAAGACAATATGTGCACAGCTGAACACAGACCATCATTAGTAATACTAATTTTGCCCTTTGCCTTGTGATCTTTGCTTTGCCCTTTGCCTTGTGATCTTTATTGCCCTTTAAAGCATGTGATCTTCGTGACCTACTCCCTGTTCATACACCCCCTCCCCTTTTAAAGTCTTTAATAAAAACCTGCTGGTTTTGCGGCTCAGGACATCATGGACCTACCAATATGTGATGTCATCCCCGGAGGCCCAGCTGTAAAATTCCTCTCTTTGTACTCTTTCTCTTTTTTCTCAGACCAGCCAACACTTAGGGAAAACAGAAAGAACCTACGTTGAAATACTGGGGGCGGGTTCCCCCAGCAGAAAATATGTATAGCTAGTATGTATCAATAAAAAAGAGTCAGTATGTACCCTAAGATTTATACAAAGGAATATGTATTTTCAACAATTTATTCTCTTGTCATCAGCAAGATATCACTTGCCTGGTTTCCCCTTATTCTCTAGCTTCTATCCCTCAGTATCCTTTTAAAGCTCATTATCAAAAAGCACTATCATAGCCAGATGCGGTGGCTCATGCCTGTAATCCCAGCACTTTGGGAGGCCAAGGTGGGCAGATCCCTTGAGGTCAGGAGTTCGCGATCAGCCTGGCCAACATGGTGAAACCCCGTCTCTACTGAAAATACAAAACTTAGCTGGGCGTAGTGGTGGGTGCCTGTAGTCCCAGCTACTCAGGAGGCTGAGGCACAAGAATTGCTTGAACCCAGCAGGTGGAGGTTGCAGTGAGCCGAGATCATGCCACTGCATTCCAGCCTGAGTGACAAAGCGAGTCTCCATCTCAAAACAAATCAACAAATAAAAAAAAACAAAAAACACTATCACCCTTATTAATATACTATTCATAAATGAAAAAGACTCAGTGAAAACCCTTTTCCCTACCTGGCCTGTATAATACAGACACAAATCTCTTATGGAACAGGACACTCATGTCTAAGCACATGTTCATGTGCCCATGGTGTAATGTTTGCTGAGACTTAGCAACCCTCAGAGGAAAAAAGGTTCTCAGCTTCTGGAACTATTTCATCTTATAAGATGAAAAATGAAATGAAATGAAATTGAAATGAAATAATGAAATTGAAATGAAATAAAAAACGGATGTGACTCATGGCTACTCTAGTACCATGGGTTACATCCAGAAGGAATCCTCTGCCTCAGCCCTCCCTAGAAGCCAGGGAGGACCTCTGCAGCCAAGTGATGAGGGTGTCAGTCCCACCTGTTTCTACAAGTTAAGCCATGAACTAGAACTAGAAATTGAGTTTTACAAAACTGTAGGATAGAAAAGCAATACAGTAGTCCTCCTTATCCATGGGGGATACATTCCAGGATCCTCAGTGGATGCGCAAAACTTCAAATAGTACTGAACCCAATTGCCATCAATTGGAACATACGAGTTTCTGCTTATGACTTCCACCAACAAATTAATGGCCTTTTCCATCTTAACTGTGCACTATCACTCACTGTGGCCATAACAGTTGCAGTTTGAGGTGTGATAACAAAACTAGCATTAATTTCTTTTTCCTTTGTCAGGATAACATAGAAGATTCGTTCTCACCATAGATCTTAGCAACCTCAGCAATTTTTTTTCTTTCCTTATTAAGCCAAGAACTTTCACCTTTTCACTTAAAGGAAGTACTTCACAGCTTCTCTTTGGCATATCCAAATTGCCAGCATCATTCCTCTTGCATCTTGGGCCTATTATTAAGTAAAATAAGGGTTACCTGAAAATAAGTACTGTGATACTATGACAGTAGATCTGATAACCAAGACAGCTACCAAGTGACTAATGGGCAGGTAGCACATACAGTGTGGATAAGGTGGAAAAGGGATGATTCATGTCCTGAATGGGACTGAACAAGATTGTGTGAGATTTCATCATGCTACTCAGAATAGTGTACAATTTTAAACTTATGAACTATTTATTTCTGGAATTTTCCATTTAATATTTTTGAACTGCAATTGACTGACCACAGGGAACTGAAATCACAAAAAGCAAAACCATGGATGAGGGGGAACTACTGTATACAAAAATCAGTTAGATATCTCCTAATTCATTGTATCAGGCCAACATTATCCTGATACCAAAGCCAGAGATACTACAAAAAGAAGAGAACTACAGACGAATATCTATTATGAATATGAATGCAAAAATCCTGAACAAAATATTAGCAGGCCAAATTCAATAGCATATTAAAAGGATTATATACCACAACCAAGTGGAATTTATCCTTGGAATGCAAAGATGGCTCAACATACAAAAAATCAATCAATGTAATACACCGCATTAGCACAATAAAGGAAAAAAGCCATATAATCATCTCAATTTTCAAAAATCCCAAAACACTCCTGGGGAAACTTTAGCCCCCAAAGCTAAACTCACTTCTTTGGTTTTCCTTTCTAAGATCATGGTATGTGCACAGCACCTTCCTCCAAAGAGGATTTTGATTTTACGTAAAATGCAATATATAAACTATCATTTCTCCAACTCCTTAAACTAAGATCTTGGCTTGAGGTTCCCTGGTTATATCCAGGAGATTGGAAACCAGATTGTGACCCTGCTTACTCTTTGGAATAAGATGCCTTAATCTTAGGCTTCAAATAATTCCCATTAATACTTTTTAAAATACTATTCCCTGCATATGCAGATAAGCAGGCACATAAGGAAACAAGACACCATGAACTACAGTGTAAAGAAACAAGACATGGAAATTCTAGGGGAAAATGGCAGATAGGAGGCAGGACTAGATTGCAGTTCCCACTCAGATGAACAGAGCAGTGGGTGGAGACTCACATCATGAACTTTTGCTCCAAAACTACTACAGGAATACATCAGGAAAGCTGAGAAAATCCACAGACCCTCTGAAAGAAGCAGACTGCTCCTGCAGGACCTAGGAGACACCCCAAATATTGTGAATGCCCAAGCTATGAAAGTAGGAAAGGAGAGATTGTCCACCCCTGAATACATACCCTCACTGGGGAACCTGAAGGTCTAGCTCATGGGACAGGATTTGACTTTACCTGGAGCTGAGTCAAATTAGAGAGCTGAGCAAAATAAAGGGGTAGAGGAAGGAATGGGAAAAGCCCTGTGGGCTCTCTGGGTCCCCTGGGAAGCCATTTCTGACTTGTCTCACAGGGGTCCTTTGGGAGGGCTGACAGAGGAACTGGTAAAAGACCATACAGGAAGGAAACCTCCAGCTGAACTTTCTAACAACTCCAACCGGACGTGAAGCTTTCTGGCCGAACTCGGGGAAGGGCATGAATCTAGTGTGCAGATTTGAGAAGCGGGGAGGCACGGAAGCCCTGCTGGCTTTCTCAGCTGGGAGGCTGGTAGCCTGAGGCAAATTCTCAGCTCTGCTCACTCACTGCCTGGAAACAAACTTGGTGTTGTTGGGTGGGGCGGGTAGTGGGCATGATGGGAGTGAGACCGGCCTTTTGGATTGCGTGGGAGCTGGGTGAGGCCTATAACTTCCTGCTTTCCCCAACTTCCCTGACAATCTGCATGACACAGCAGAGGCAGCCATAATCCTGCTGGGAACAGAACTCCACTGAACCTGGGACCCATACCCCCATGCCCCACAGCAGCTGCAGCAAGCCCTGCCCAAGGAGAATCTGAGCTCAGACACGCCTAACCCTGGCCCAACATGATGGTCCTTCTCTATCTGCTCTGGTAGCTGAAGACAAAGAGCATATTCTCTTCGGAGTTCTAGGGCCCTGCCTACTGCCTGATCCCCGTTATACTACCACAGCTGATGCACTCTTGAATGTGCCACCTCCTGGCAGGAGGTCAACCAGTGTAAAAATAGCGCATTAAACAACCAAAACTAAAAATCCTCACAGAGTCCATTTCACTCCCATGCCACTTCCACCAGAGCAGGTGCTGGTATCCACTGCTGAGAGACATGAAGACGGTTCACATCAAAGGACTCTGTGCAGATAATCCCCAGTACCAGCCTGGAGCCTGGTAGCCCTTCTGGGTGGTTAGATCCAGAAGAGAAATAACAATCATTACAGCTCAGCTCTCAGGAAGCCACATCCCTGGAAAAAGGGAGATAGTATTACATCAAAGGAACATCCCGTGGGACAAAAGAATCTGAACAGCAGCCTTGAGCCCCAGACCTTCCCACTGACATAGCCTACCCAAATGAGAAGGAACCAGAAAAACAATTCTGATATGACAAAACAAGGCTCTTTAACACTCCCCAAAAATTACACTAGCTCACCAGCAATGGATCCAAACCAAGAAGAAATCCCTGATTTACCTGAAAATAATTCAGAAGGGTGATTATTAAGCTAATCAAGGAGGCACCAGAGAAGGGTGAAGTCCAACTTTTAAAAAATTCAAAAAATGATACAAGAAATGAGGAGAGAAATCTTCAGTGAAAAGATTGCATACATTTTTTGTTGTTGTTGTTTTTGAGACGGAGTTTCGCTCTTGTCACCCAGGCTGGAGTGCAATGGAGTGATCTTGGCTCACTGCAACCTCCGCCTCCCAGGTTCAAGCTATTCTCCTGCCTCAGCCTCCTGAGTAGCTGGGATTACAGGCATGTGCCACCACGCTTGGCTAATTTTGTATTTTTAGCAGAGATGAGATTTCTTCATGTTGGCCAGGCTGGTCTCAAACTCCTGACCTCAGGTGATCTGCCCGCCTCAGCCTCCCAAAGTGCTGGGATTACAGGCATGAGCCACCATGCCTGGCCAATTGCATAAATTAAAAAACAATCACAACTTCAGGAAATAAAGGACAAAGAGAAAGGCAAAATGTTCTGGAAAGTCTCAGCAATAGAATTGAATAAGCAGAAGAAAGAACTTCAGAGCCTGAAGACAAGCTTTACGAATTAACCCAATCCAACAATGACAAAGAAAAAGAATAAAAGAAAATGAACAAAGTCTCCAAGAAGTTTGGGATTATGTTAAACGACCAAATCTAAGAATAGTTGTCATGCCTGAGGAGAAGAGAAATCTAAAAGTTTGGAAAACGTCTCTGGGGGAATAATTGAGGAAAACTTCCCCAGCCTTGCTAAAGACCTAGACATTCAAATACAAGAGGCTCAAAGAACACCTGAGAAATTCATCGCAAAAAGATTGCCTAGGCACATTGTCATCAGGTTATTTAAAGTCAAGACAAAGGAAAGAATCTTAAGAGCTGTGAGGCAAAAGCACCAGGTAACCTATAAAGGAAAACCTATAAGATTAACAGCAGATTTCTCAGCAGAAAACTATAAGCTAGAAGGGATTGGAGCCGTATATTTAGCCTCCTTAAACAAAACAATTATCAGCCAAGAATTTTGTATCCAGAGAAACTAAGCTTCACAAAGGAAAGATAGTCTTTTTCAGACAAACAAATGCTGAGAGAATTCACCACTAACAAGCCAGCAATACAAGAACTACTAAAAGAGCTCTAAATCTTTAAACAAATCCTGAAAACACATCAAAACAGAACCTTTTCAAAGCATAAATGTCACAGGACCTATAAAACAAAAATACAATTAAAAAAATCTGGCTGGGTGCAGTGGTTCATGCCTGTAATCCCAGCACTTTGGGAGAACGAGGCAGGTGGATCACCTGAGGTCAGGAGTTCAAGATCAGCCTGGCCAACATAGTGAAACCCCGTCTCTACTAAAAATACAAAAATTCACCAGGCATGTTGGCGTGTGTCTGTAGTTCCAGCTACTCAGGAGGCTGAGGCAGGAGAATCACTTGAACCCAGGAGGCAGAGGTTGCAGTGAGCCGATATCCCGCCACTGCACTCCAGCCTGGGTGACAAGAGTGAAACTCCATCTAAAAAAAAAAAAATAAAATAAAACAAAACCCAAAGTATACAGGCAAAAAATAGCATGATGAATGGAATAGTACCTCACATCTTGATACTGATGTTGAATGTAAATTGCCTAAATGCTCCACTTAAAAGATATAGAATTGCACAATGGATAAGAATTCACCAATCATCTGTTGCCTTCAAGACACTCAACTAACATATAAGGACTTACATAAATGTCAGGTAAAGGGGTGAAAAAAGACATTCCATGCAAATGGACAAAAGCGAGTAGGAGTAGCTATTCTTATACCAAACAAAACAAACTTTAAAGCAACAGCAGTTAAAAAACAGACAAACAGGGACATTATATAATGATAGAAAGCCTTGTCCAACAGGAAAATATCACAATCCTAAATATATATGTACCTAACCCTGGTGTTCCCAAATTTATGAAACAACTACTACTAGACCTAAGTAATGAGATAGACAGCAACACAATAATAGTGGGGGACTTCAATACTCCACTGACAGCACTAGACAGGTCATCAAGACAGAAAATCAACAAAGAAACAATGGATTTAAACTATACCCCGGAACAAATAAACTTAACAGATATTTACAACACATTCTACCCAACAACTGTAGAATATACATTCTATTCATCAGCATATGGAACTATCTCCAAGATAGACCATATGATAGGCCACAAAACAAGTCTCAAAAAATTTAAGAAAATTGAAATTATATCAATTACTCTCTCAGACCACAGTGGAATAAAACTGAAAATCAACTCCAAAAGGTACCTTCAAAGCCATGCAAATACATGGAAATTAAATAACCTGCTCCTGAATGATCATTGGGTCAACAATAAAATCAAGATGGAAGTTCAAAAATTCTTTGAACCGAGAGATAATAGTGACATAACCTATCAAAACCTCTGGGATACAGTAAAGGTGGTGCTAAGAGGAAAATTCACCACCTTAAATGCTTACACCAAAAAGTCTGAAAGAACACAACTAGACAATCTAAGGTCACACCTCAAGGAACTAGAGAAACAAGAACAAACCTGACCCAAACCCAGCAGAAGAAAGGAAATAACCAAGATCAGAGCAGAGCTAAATGAAACTGAAACAATCAAACAAAAATACAAAAGATAAATGAAACAAAAAGCTGGTTCCTTGAAAAGATAAATAAAATTGATAGACCACTAGCAAGATGAACCAAGAGAAGAGAGAAGATTCAAATAAGCTGAATTAGAAATGAAGCGGGAGATATTACAACTGACACCACAGAAATACAAAAGATCATTCAAGGCTACTATCAAAACTTTTACGCACATAAACTAGAAAACCTAGAGGAGATGGGTAAATTCCTAAAAAGACACAACTCCTAGTTTAAATCAGGAAGAATTCGAAACCCTAGACAGACCAATAACAAGCAGTGAGAACGAAATACTGCCTTCAAAAAAAAAAATACCGGCTGGGCACGATGGCTCACGCCTGTAATCCTAGCACTTTGGGAGGCCAAGGTGGGTGGATCACGAGGTCAGGAGATCGAGACCATCCTGGCTAACACGGTGAAACCCCGTGTCTACTAAAAATACAAAAAAATTAGCTGGGCGTGGCAGCGGGTGCCTATAGTCCCAGCTACTTGGGAGGCTGAGGCAGGAGAATGGTGTGAACCCTGAAGGTGGAGCTTGCAGTGAGCTGAGATTGGGCCACTGCACTCCAGCCTTGGCGACAGAGAGAGACTCCATCTCAAAAAGACAAAAAAAAAAAAATCCAGGACTAGACAGATTGACAGCTGAATTCTACCAGACATTCAAAGAATTGGTGTCAATCCTATTGACACTATTCCAAAAGACAGAGAAAGAGGGAATCCTCCCTAAATCATTCTATAAAGAAAGTATCACCCTAATACCAAAACTAGGAAAAGATATAACAAAAAAAGAAAACTACAGACAAATATCCCTGATGAACATAGATGCAAAAATCCTTAACAAAATATGAGCTAAATGAATTCAACAGCATATCAAAAAGATAATCCACCATGATCAAGTGGGTCTTATACCAGGTATGCAGGGATAGTTTAACATACAAAAGTCAATAAATGTGATACACCATATAAACAGAATTAAAAATAAAAATCACATGATCATCTCGATAAACTCAGAAAAAGCATTTAACAAAATCCAGGCCAGGCATGGTGGCTCACACCTGTAATCCCAACACTTTGGGAGGCTGAGGTGGGTGGATCACCTGAGGTCAGTAGTTCAAGACTAGCCTGGCCAACATGGTGAATGAAACCCTGTCTCTACTAAAAATACAAAAAATAGCCA